>NT_187614.1:959024-1278699 GCF_000001405.40 Homo sapiens | reverse complement strand
AATGCTCCCAAGTAGATTAAAAGAAAAAAAATTCAGATGAAATTAAATAAAATATAGGTGAATAATTGTTCTGGGATACAGGAGAGATTGCCTAATCATAAAACAATGAAAAACACCCCCCACAAAAAGGTTCTTATATATTTAATCAGGTTAAAAAGTAAAACTTCTATGTAACCAATAAAAATCATTAATATTGACAGGTAAGCAAAATATGGAAATCTACAAAAACCAGGAAATGTTATATAACCATAAATATAGCCATAATATAGAGAATTCATACAGGAAGAAAATTCATAAAGAAAAGTCAAAACTCAAAAAGAAAATGGGCAAAGGATAAAAACAACTACAAATGATAGAAATACATGATTAATACTCTTCAAATTTACTATTATAAGAGAAAATAAACATTAGATTATAGCCCACTGCCTACCATATTATATGTCCTCAATAAGGTGTCATTTGTTATGAACTTAAAAACAGTAAGTAACTTTTATATCTAAATAGGAAATATTTTTTAAAAGATGGCTCTCCCGGCCGGGTGTGGTGGCTCACACCTGTAATCCCAGCACTCTGGGAGGCTGAGGTGGGTGGATCACCTGAGGTCAGGAGTTCGCGACCAGCCTGGCCAACATGGCAATACCCCGTCTCTACTAAAAATACAAAATTAGCCGGGTGTAATAGGACACGCCTGTAGTCCCATCTACTTGGGAGGCTGAGGCAGGAGAATCACTTGAACCCGGGAGGCGGACATTGCAGTGAGCCGAGATTGCACCATTGCACTTCAGCCTGGGCGACAGGGCAAGACTCCGTCTCAAAAAAAAAGAAAAAGAAAAAAGAGCTCTCCAGCTTAGCAAAGATAAAATGACATAAGCCTCAGCTGGAAAGAAAAGAGTCATGTAACTTAGTAAAACTCATCAAGAGTCATTAGAAAGTTTAGATATTTGACCCAGAAATCTATTCTAAAGACACAGCAAAACCTAGAACATAGATTTCTGTATATATATGTTCACTGCAGCACTACTTGAAAAGAAAGGCAACTACAAACAACCTAAATGTCCAACAATAATACATATTCCATAATAGATTATTAGGTTATTAAAATGCTTTTAAAAATACTTAAGGCATTAAAATGCTTATAAGTTAATCTGAAAAAAGATTCAAACACATACGTATATATCTGTATAAAATACATACACAAAAAATTCTATAAGAAAACATGTAAAAGTATTAATAATGTTCTACCCTCAATAGCAGGATGACAAATTTTTCTTTGTCCTTTCTATATTTTTCAAATTTTCTTCCATAAGCATGCACTATTTTTATTATACAGGAAAAAGATACTGTCTCTAAGAAAAGTAGGTGATAGGTGCCTGACTATGGCAGAGAATAGAATTACATGCATAAACTGACTAAATATACCAGATCAGGATTCAAAGCTAATTATGAGGTCTAAGGTCTTTGTAACCAGAATGATATAACATAAAACCAGGTTTGGGAATCCAGTGATTCACACTAAAATATGAATGACTGACAGGCAAAACCTTCCTGTATAGAAAGCATCTCTCCTATAAAAGAAAGCGTGGGGGGGGAAGCATTTTAATCTAAAGAAGTTCCCCCCCCCAAATAAGTTTTTGAAAGAGTAGCTAGGGGTGGGGATGGGGGCCTTCCCTGTGGCACATGATTCCCAAATATTTCTAAAAGTTTGTGAATTTCTTGGCAACAGCAGTGGGGGTTGGGACCACACTCTTAGATGCACACACCTGTTCCACTACTTACTTGCTGTTCAGCTTAGGCAAGTTATTTAATTGTTCCATGCCTTAGTATTCTTATAAAATGCAGATAACATCAATCACTGTTTTTTTTTTTAAATGAGGAACAAATGAAAATATATGTGAAGGGCTTAGTGCAATGTCTGGCATATAGTAAACTCTCAGTAAGTGAAATATGATATGATTATTCTATATTATTTCATTGCCCATCAGACACAGGGGACAGACTTACAGTGGATAAATCAGAGCGAAGGATAACTGCACTTAGAAACAGAAATGGTATCTCAGCAATCGACTGTTGGCTCAGTGATCACTGTGGGGCACATCAATAACATGATTATGACTAACTAAATTAAGGTGAAAAACTTAGCTATTGCCTACCGGCTTGCAAGTAACTTGCCAGTTACTTAGCTGTGATTAATACAATATCTGTAAGATATTGCAATATATTTAGAAAGCCAATAATAATAAAAATTAAAAAACAAGTCCTTAAGAGAAACATTTACACACACTTTAAAGAATGTGAAACATCCCTTTGGGAAAAAAAGAGGATTTACAATCCTTTGAAGAAGCGATGAGAATATAAGTGCAGAAATGAGAACTATAGTCAAAAAGGCCCATTTTGAGGAAGGATTTATCTGTTCAGCATCTACAAATCTCTTTCTAGAAGATGTGCTTTTATCACTCTACCTCCTGCTTGGAGCCAAGGCTTCATTTTGACAATGCAAGTTCTCTAGAATAAGAGACTGAACAGCAGCAAATCAGGAAAAATAGAAGAAACAACAGCAGTGTTTTTTTTCCAACCCAGTTTTAAAACTCTGGCCCAAGCCTTAGGTTTGAACTTGAGAGTGTTTCCTTTGTCCTTTCTGACATTACTGGCGAAAGAAGGCCCCATGCCCCTATCTCTGTGCTGGACGCCATCCTTAATGATGATATATGCGGGTCCTTTCCCCTCAGCACTGCTGGGGGGTCAAACGTGTGGTGCTACCCACCTGAGAATCAACAAGCAAATTATAAACTATGTCAATCCGAGTTAATGCAAAGCTGTAATCCTCTTTAACAAGAGATCAAATCACTGCCATGAGTTATGTTCATTCTGTAATCTGATAAGGAAGAGAGGGAACCTCTAATAAAAGAGTAATGGGAGCCTTTAATGACGCTGGTAAAAGGTAGCCCCAGTTAAAACATCACTCTTGTTCTTGCTGATTAGATCAATGTTGCATATTTGCCTGGGCTTGTCTCACCTGTCAGAATAACCTGTGTCTTTTTAGGAGATACGAAGCCTCAGAGAAAACATCTGTACTTTAACCATTCTTGCTTGCAAGTTTTTAACCAACAGAAAATGCTCTATGGAGGGTATTTCAGGGGTTATTAGCTGATGTGTTCTCAAATGCTGAGCAAGCTACACCAGAATATCTCACCATGATTCAGTGCATATTCCTATTAAATATAGGTAGGGGGGAGCAAGAAATGGTTTAACTATCTTCTGGGTTACCAACTGGGGGAAAAGAATATCATCAGTAGAGTGGTAGAGTATGCCCATATTTAGGGTGCAGACCCATACACAAAAATGGCAAGCTGAAGATAAATTGCCTGTACAATTTCTATTATACCAGGGCATCTCAAGAACAACGTGGCAGTGATGTTGACAAAGCACTTTACAAGGCTGGATTGCATTTGTACATTTCTTTTCTAAAACTCCAGATGTAAAACAATAATGTATTTGGTGCTCAGTACTTATCATTAAAGGATCCTCTCCTTGTTCTTTTTTTAATGCCAGCAGCTTTATAAAAGGAGTGGGAAAGGTAGTTTTGTATTTTTGGGGAGAGAACAGGGAGCTAAAATTGAAACTCTTGCTGTACATTTTGAGAATTTCTTTAAGTTATTTGCAAAGGAATGGAGTACCTACAAAATGTTAATCTTGCTACCATTTTTGGAATAAGGGGGGGAAATCTATTTAGAAAAATTCAATACCTACACTTTTAACTGACAGTACCAGCATCAAATCTATCTAATATCCTCTCCTTGAAGCAGCATTTAATGCAAGGCAAACACCTATTTTCTTTGGCATGCATCAAGCTGACTGCCATCACCAGACCCTTTCCATCCTGACAGCCAAAACCAATGCCAACAGAGCAGGTTCACATGAATGTCCCTTCCCAAATCTGAGTCAGTGGCCAGTTTTGAGGAACACATCTCTTCCTGTCTCAGGGGTCTCAGTCAGTATTTGTTTGTCTTGTCATACTAGCATTTTACTGACTTACATCCACACAACAAATGACAATTAACTCAGTCTGCCTCAGAGGGTCTGTCAAAAACACAGGCAAAAAGCAGATGCTTATTTCCATAACCCCAAATTCCTTCACTTTGTTAGAACTATAGTGAGAGATCATCTGCATTTATTTTATTTTATTTTCATTTTTGGAATGCTTCTGTATTAGGCCATTCTTGCAGTGCAGTAAAGAAATATTTGAGGCTGGGTAATTTATTGAGACAGGAGGTTTAATTGGCTCACGGTTCTGCAGGCTGTACAGGAAGCATGAACCAGGCATCTGTCCAGCTTCTGATGAGGCCTCTGGAAGCTTACAATCATGGCAGAAGGCGAAGGGGGAGCAGATGCCTCACAAGGCCACAGCAGGAGCAAGAGAGAGAGTGGGGACAGGGGAGAAGCCACACACTGCTAAACAACCAGATCTCTCAAGAACTCACTGTTATGAGGACAGCACCACGGGAATGGTGCTAAACCACTGATGAGAAATCCACCCCCATGATCCAATCACCTCCCACCAGGCCCCACCTCCAACACTGGGGATTACATTTCAACATGAGATTTGGCAGGGATGCCAATCCAAACCGTATCAGCATCCAACACTGGCTTTACTTTTTCTGTATTGATAGATTATATGTGTACTTATTTATGGGGGGCATGTGATATTCTGATATACGCATAGCATGTTTAATGGTCACATCATACTCCCTCTGGTCTAATGGCATGGGGCAGGTGGGATTTCACATTACACAATGTAAGCACTGTTTCTAAAAGGTCCTTGATGAGCTTAGAATAACTTCAATAGAGAAGTGAACAACAGCCCTGCAAATCATGCAAGTAAAGTACTGACCCGCTCTTGCTGGTGATAATATGCTTAGAGGATTCTCTACCAATGAGATGTCAAGCCTTTTCTTCTCCTTAGGCCACTGATAGCTCTGGCTCTACAAAAACAAGTGATCCTTTGCCTCTTAAAGATGACGCTGTCAGCCAGGTATGGTGGCTCACGCCTATAATCCCAGGACTTTGGGAGGCCGAAGCAGGTGGATCATGAGGTCAAGAGATCCAGACCATCCTGGCCAACATGGTGAAACCCCACCTCTATTAAAAATACAAAAATTAGCCAGGGGGTGGGGAGGGGTGGTGGGCGCCTGCAGTCCCAGCTACTCGGGAGGCTGAGGCAGGAGAATCACTTGAACCCAGGAGGCGGAGCTTGCAGTGAGCCGAGATTACCCCACTGCACTACAGCCTGGGTGAGAGAACGAGACTCTGTCTCAAAAAAAAAAAAAAAACAAAAAGATGATGCTGTCCTGGGAGCTGAGCTACCCCGTGTCAAGAGCATCAAGGGTTTAGCAAAGCCAGGGATCATTTTTAGGCTTATGGTAACCTCCTCCCTTGCAAGCAAACACATAATACACGGACAAATTGGGCTTTCTTTTGTTTTCTTTCAATATTGGGAATGCTCATCAGGCATGCAATACAAACCATCTGTAACCTCATACTGGAGAAGAGTATAAGATCTACTAGACCAGCACATAGAAAGTATCAGGGGTTGCATAAGATTTCCACTAACAAAGGAGATCCGAAAGCATTAAATCAATATCCAACATCTACCTAGAAGGAAATGCCCCAAAGGGAAATTTGGTAACAACAGGGACACAACTTGGCTACTTTGCATTTTAAAAGGTTTTTTTTTTTAAAAAAATAGATCGCTTGAAGAGAAAAATTCTTAGCGTGAGAAAAGAATTTGTATCAGCAGAAATTAACTAAATAGATAACACTACTCAGACCACACAACAGGAGAAACAAAATGAAGATGCCACTATCCTTTCAAAGATAGCATTTCTTTCTCCACCAGGATATACCACCAGGATAATATCCTGTGTTAAAGATCTCTCTCTCTCCCTTAATGAGCTACGTTCCAGTTTCAATTTAAGTCAACCAGGGGCAAATTTACTGAGTTCAAACTGGAAAAGGGATATGGGGGGGATTCAAGGATACGCAACTGGACACCCCACCAAAACCACTGAGGATTAATCCAATTTAGGCACGTGTGGAAGGGTAAACTGGAACCAATGAGCAACTAAGGAAAAGAAGAGGGTTTCTACTTCCAGATGTGGGTAAACTAAGAACCATAAGCGGAGGTGCCTCTGGGAACAAGAAGTCAAAAGGGCAGAACATTTTGTTTCATGTATTTTACCACAATTAAAATTAGTGGAGTGTGGTGGTGTGCATCTGTTAGTCCCAGCTACTCAAGAGGCTGAGGTGGGAGGATGGCCTGAGCCCAGGAATTGGAGGTTGCAGGGAGCTATGATTGCACCACTGCATTCCTGCCCAGAAAATACAGTGAGACCCTGTCTCAAGAAAAAAAAAATAATAAATTCATTGAATGATTTTACTGTGATTATTTAGTTTGGGTCATTTGGATTTTTTATTTTTCTACAAACAATACTGCAATAAAGATCCTTAACACAAATGTATTTGGCAACTATTAAAGACTATCTCCTACAAGTAGATTTTTCTGTGTTAACAGACACATTTAAAAGTCAGAAACAGGGCCAGGCATGGTGGCTCACGCCAGTAATCCTAGCACTTTGGGAGGCCGAGGCAGGTAAATCACCTGAGGTCAGACTGACCAATGGGAGGCTGAGGCAGGAGAATTGCTGAACCTAGGAGGTGGAGATTGCAGTGAGCCAAGATTGCACCACTGCACTCTTGCCTGGGCAACAGAGCAAGACTCCATCTCAAAAAAAAAAAAAAAGTTGGAAACACAATGTCAAATAATCCTCCCAAAAGATTTTGCCAATTACATTTCCAAAAACAGTATGCAAAGGTGCATTTTTCCTTACACCATCAACACTGGGTATTACTAATCCTTTTAATATTTTCCAACTGAATAAGGACAACAAAAAGGAGGGCGTGTGTGCATGGTGGTGCACGCCTGTAGTCCCAGCTACTCGGGAGGCTGAGGCAGGAGAATCGCTTGAACCCAGGAGGCGGAGGTTGCAGTGAGCCCAAATAGTGCCATGGCTCTCCAGCCTGGGTGACAGAGCAAAACTCTGTCTCAAAAAAAAATAATAAAAAGAAATCTCATTATATTAATTTGCATTTCTTTGATTAGGTTGAAAGTGCTTATGGTTTTTGGCCCTTGAAATTTTTCTTTTTTGATTTTTTTTTTTTAAATGGAGTCTCATTCTGTCGCCCAGGCTGGAGTGCAGTGGCACGATCTCGGCTCACTGCAAGCTCCGCCTCCTGGGTTCACGCCATTCTCCTGCCTCAGCCTCCCAGTAGCTGGGACTACAGGCGCCCACCACCACGCCCGGCTAATTTTTTGTATTTTTAGTAGAAAAGGGGTTTCACCGTGTTAGCCAGGATGGTCTTGATCTCCTGACCTCGTGATCCGCCCGCCTCAGCCTCCCAAAGTGCTGGGATTACAGGTGTGAGCCACTGTGCCCGACCTTCTTTTTTGATTTTTAAGTCTTCTTGTTGATATGCTGTGTCCATTATTGTTATTGGGATATTCTTAGACATTTGTAAAAACTCTTTACATAGTAGAAAAATATGTCATCTGCTGGAATTTTTTTGTTCAAGTTCATCATTTACCTATTAACTTTGTTTTTGATGTCTTTTTCAATGTGACTTTTATGTAGTCAGGTCTATTAATATTTTACCTTTTAGTTTCTGGCCCTGTGGTCATTCTTATAAAGTCCTTCACTACCTTGAAATCAGTTTAAAAAATTCTCTATGCCCCCGGCACACCAAGAATGACATATGTATAACTTAGGAAAACCAAAAGTATTTACTTGAGGAAAAGTAGCATGCAGTGATATTGATATTCTAACAATTATGAAAGCTTCCTATTTGTGGTGTACAAATGGGACACAAAATAGAATGGTACTAGGTTACTTCCACTTTTGTTTTTCCACTAAAAAAAAACAAAGGAGGATAAGCTATTACTACTTCCTTCTTACTTAAGATAAAGTTAACAATACCTACTGGCCCTAAAAATTTTGATACTAGGAGAGAGAGCTAGTTCCTATTTACTGTACCCATAGTTAATCTGGCCTATTCAAACCATAAAGCTTGAGCAGTTGATATGGACACGTCTCCCTATCCTTAGGAAACACAATGAGAATGGTGCGCACTTTGGTAAAAACAAATGTTCAGTTCTCCAGCTACAAGACTATTATTCCATTCCTTAAGTAGCTAAACCAGCTGGAGAACAATGCTGGTAATTAGGAATCAGTCCACAAGGGATAGCCCTTTCTCCTTATAAATGTCACAAGGACTGTCACCCAGCAAACACATTCCTAACCCCTTCTCCCTTGCTTGCTCTACCTGGAGTGGCAACATAACACAGTTCTGGCCAATGAAATACAAAAAGTTTGCTGAAGGGAATTCTGGGGAAGGTTTTACTTTTCTGATTAAAAACAAACAGGTATGGCTGGCACAGTTCTTTCCTCTTCTTCCTGCCTTGAATGCATGTTTGATGGCGTTAAGTTGCAACAGCCATCTTGGGACCACAGGGGAAAGACCAAGAGATGTTGGCCCTAACACCACCGAGAAGCAAAAGCCATGGACAACAATTGCCTACCACCCCTAGAATTATCCTGTCACAAAGATGAACTTCCATTTCCTTATGCCTCTGTAGTCAGGTTTTATATTTTTTATAGGCCATACCCAAATTAATCCTAATAGAGTCATTTTCAAATAATTTTTATGTCTAGCAAATAGTAGACCTTCAAAAATTAGGAGTTAATATTGGTAAGATTCTGGAAAAACTAAGTACACCTCAAGGGATTCAAGTAAAATTCCAACTAAGAATGGCATAAAGTTGATTTCTGAATGATTTCATAGTACTATGATCAAAAGATACCACTAATATCTAAACTAGATTTCATTTTATGCCTGGGATAATAACGTAACCTTAAAGGGTTTGGTTTAATTTTCAAAATCTAGTTTTGCTTTCTTCTTGATATAATTTTTTCACAGCATCCTGACAGGGAATCTAAGATGCACTCACTTTACTCTGCAATTTTTAAACAGACTGGATCCAGAAATGAACAAAAAACCATGGCCATATCTAGACATTCACTTGCAAAGCACAGGATAGCAGATGTGGTCACAAAGCCAGACACAAATGTACTCAGAACCATCCATAGGCTGTTTTGTGCTCAAAGTACTGAATAAACCAAATAAAAAATAATAATAGTATTTGTCAAAATTTGCAGATCTCATACTTTCAGACAAGGAGGGGAAAATCTGATGGCATTTGGTAGCAAACAAAATACTCTAAAATAAAAAGTTTATATGTAGTTTGAGGGATAAAACTGGCAAAAACCACCTGTGCCTATGTTATGACCAATAATTTCACTTGGTAAATATGTTTAAAAATGCTTCTCATAGCATTATTTACAATGATGACAATTAAAAGCCATTTAAATGTCCAACAATCAGTGAATGGCTAAATAAATATTATAACAATATTATTTCGTCATTGAAAAATTTTAATTATTTTAACGACATGAAAATGCTCTCAGTATATAAAACATTTCCTGAATATAATTTCAATATAAAAAAGAAAAACAGGAAAATACTGAAAGGGAACTTACAAAAACTGAAATGAAATGCTGTAAGATGTTAAAAGTGGCTGTCTTCTGTGTAGGTGTGAGTGTATATACATACACTTCCCGTCTCTGCTGACAGGTCTAGAAATAGCAATACTCACTAACAAGGAGCACCCCTAGTACCTAGATCTTGGTTTCTAAATACCACAATCCACTAAACAGAGCCAGGGCTCCTTCAAGAAAGACTGATTTCAGGGCTGGAAGATGGAAAGTCTAAGATGAGCATTAAACATCTTCTTGTGCCAGAAAGTAAGGAAGTACTCAAAGATTGACTGAAGACAACTTTGAAGGACACAAGCCAGTTTGACGGCACTTCCACTATCTGGGACAATTTTAATATCAAAATAAACATAACTCATTGAATAAAATAGGAAAACATGAGTCCATATTGATATAAATGAATAAATAAATGGTAAATAAATGAGGGAGAAGAGGAAGCTCTTCATTATAGAATGCCAATTAATAGATACAGAAGAAACTATTATTTTAAAAAGGTTATCCCTGAACGGTAATATTATGAGCATACACTTTTTTTCTGTATTTCTCTCGTTTCAGCTTTATAAAATAAGCATATACATCTTTTGTAAAAACACTCACAATCCCCAACAAATACAACATATGCACATCTCCAGAGCACTCACTAGAGCCACTTTCAAAAGGAAAGCATATGCACAACAGCCCCAAGTACAAACGGCAAGAACATGGGCCACCTGCCCTGTCCTAGAGAGCTCACATGTCCCAGGGCGCTGGGCTAAAGTTCAAAACAAAACAGGAAAAACAAACAAACCACCAAAGGCAGCACTGAAATTTATGCAAGTTTTTGGTTTGGTTTTATAGTAATTATGAGGGTGAAGAGATGTGACCCTTACTGCGATGCCAATGACAAATGGTTAACTGATAAGAAGAAATGGAGAGGGCGAAGGCTGTAGAGCAGGTCAATATCAGGCTGTCATGAAGCCATTTGAGACACATAATTAATCTATTACTCACCTGGCATCATCATTCATTGTAGTATGGTCAATAGGTGCCATGAAACTCAGTAGCTTGCTAAGGACATGAAACCTAAATAAAGCAGGAAGCAACAGGCAGCAACATTAGTAACTATTAACCTAGGAGAGGAAACACATTCAGTGAGTTAACAAACTCCAGAACTGATCACTGGAACATCTGGGTACAAAGTGGGATAGGGAAAAATTCATAGGCACTTACCACTGTCATTGGGATGACCAACTACAGTCATCCCATGGTATCTGTGGAGGAATGGTTCCAGGACTCTCTATGGATACAAAAATCCACGGATGCTCAAGTTCCTTATATAAAATGGCATAGTATTTGCATGTAATCTACACACATGCTCCCATATACTTAATTCATCTCTAGATTACTTAAAATACTTAATGCAATGTAAATGCTACGTAAATAGTTGTACAATGTATTGTTCAGGGAATAATGACGAGAAAAAAGTCTGCACTTGTTCACAGGTACAGACATTCCTTTCCCCATGCCTGAATATTTTCAATCTGTGGTTGGTTGAATCCACTGATGTGGAACTCACAAATATGTAGGGCTGACTGTACATTTTTCCCTTTTTCCCTAATGCTACAGGAGAAAAGTCTGATAACAGTATACTGTAAATGACAGTTCAACACAGATTCATTTATAGTACAGCCCCAAAAAAGAACAGGTACACTTGTGCTTTTGAGCAATATACAACCCTTAAACATTATTCCAGACTAAAGACAATGAGGAATTGACTACCTCATTTTCTTCCTCTACATATATCTTAAGCATTTTTCATTTTAATAGATGTCACAAAAGCCATCTACTGGCAGCAGCACAGGTAGTGGTACAGTATCTGAATGCAACACCTCACCAACACCACACACACTGCCACTGGTTCCCCAAGGCAGAAAAGGGGTCTGCAATTCCACGTCATCTCCATGCACTAGATCCAGGGGGTCTTTCATTTCCCCCACCTTTAAATGGAGAAACACAACTGAATTCACAGTAAGTTTGATTCCTAGATCTTCAGTCTAGGTACTATGGAAGTTTAAGTTATATCACCTACATTTCCCACCAAATGGAAAAAAAAATATTTTGTATGATGTGTTTGAGATGCTCTAGAAAATATATGACCTTATACAGACCAAATCATACCAAAGATAATTCAAAGGGGTATCCTTTTCTACTCATTATAATGTGCCCTCTCTATATACATAAAATAAAATTCTAACCCAAAAAACTCTACTAGGGCAAAACACTATCCATAAAACAAAATGTGGTATTTTCATGTATTTAATACATAATATTTTAAAGTTTTAGGAACATTTTTACACATATCAAATAATTTAATTATTTATTATATCACCCACAGCTCAGCCTCCCAAAGGTAATTCTTTATCTCAACAAATGAATTTTACAAGAATAATACTGGTTAAGATTTTTCCTATTATACAAGTAATAGAGGCAGGGTGTGGTGGCTCATGCCTGTAATCTCAGCACTTGGGGAGGCTGAGGCAGAAGGATTGCTTGAGACTAGGAGTTCAAAACTAGCCTGGACAACATAGTAAGACCCTGTCTATACCCCCACACCAACCCAGAAAAAAAGTAATACAAAAGGTATAAAATACAGAAAATTGAAAAAAAACCAAACCACACAGAAAACACATACAGTTGGCCTGGCGCAGTGGCTCATGCCTATAACCTGAGCACTTTGAGAGGCCAGGCAGAAGATCACCTGAGCCCAGGAGTTCAAGACCAGCCTGGGCAACATAGCAAGACCCCGTCTCTACAAAAAGTAAAAACAACTGGCCAGGCACGGTGGCTCACACCTGTAATCCCAGCACTTTGGGAGGCTGAGGGGGGGCAGATCACCTGAGGTCAGGAGTTCAAGACCAGCCTGGCCAACATGTTGAAACCCCATCTCTACTAAAAATACAAAAATTAGCCAGGTGTGGTGGCACATGCCTGTAATCCCAGTAAATAGGGAGGCTGAGGCAGGAGAAACCCTTGAACCCGGGAGATGGAGGATGCAGTGAATCGAGATTATGTCACTGCACTCCAGCCTGGGCGACAGAGAGATTTTGTTTCAAAAATAAAACAAACAAAAACCAAAAAGTAAAAAAACTGGCTGGGTGCAGTGGCTCACGCCTGTAATCCCAACACTTTAGAAGCCTGAGGCGGGTGGATCACCTGAGGTCAGGAGTTTAAGACCAGCCTGGCCTGCTAACACGGCAAAACCCTCTCTCTACTAAAAATACAAAAATTAGCCGGGCGTGGTGGTGTGTGCCTGTAATCCCAGCTACTCGGGAGGCTGAGGGAGGAGAATTGCTTGAACTCAGGAGGCAGAGGGTGCAGTGAGCCGAGATCAGGCCACTGCACTCCAGCCTGGGTGACAGAGCAAGACTCTGTCTCAAAAAAATAAATAAGTAAAATAAAAAAGTAAGAAAACTAGCCAGGCACGGTGGCATGTGCCTGTAGTCCCAGCTACTCGGGAGGCTGAGGTGGAAGGATTGCTTAAGCCTAGGAGGTTGAGACTGCAGTGAGCCCTCCGGTCTGGGCTTTGTAGCTCAGGCTGGAGTGCAGTGGTGTGATCATGGCTCACTACAGAGTATGAGCTTATCTAAAAAACAAACAAACAAAAAATCCCACACACAATCCTTCTACCTATAGACAATTGTTGTTACGTTTGTTTCACATAATGATCCTTATATATATATATATTCACACAATTTTGAATGAATTCTTTTCTCACCTAGCCTTATAAGCAATGTCCCATAAACAATTTATAAATAGCTGCATATAACCGTAGGAACAGAAGTACCCTATTTTCATATTTTTGAACACATACATTGCTTCTAATTCTTCACTTTTTGTTGCTGTTGTTGTTGTTGAGACAGGGTCTCACTGTCACCCAGGCTGGAATGGAGTGGTGCTATCTCGGCTCACTGCAACCTCTGACTCGCAGGTTCAGGCCATCCTCTCACCTCAGCCTCCTGAGTAGCTGGAACTACAGGAGTGTACCACCATGCCCAGCTAATATGTGTATTTTTAGTAGAGATGGGGTTTCACTATGTTGCCCAGGCTGGTCTAGAACTCCTGGACTTGAGTGATCCACCTGTGTTGGCCTCCAAAAGTGCTCGGATTACAGGCGTGAGCCACCATGCCCAGTCTAATTCTTCACTTTTTATAAAAAAGGCCTCTATGTATCCTTGTTTTTTTGTTGGTGATGTTTTGTTTTTTTGAGATAGGGTCTTGCTTTGTTGCTCAGGCTGGAGTGCAGTGTGCGATCACGGCTCACTACAGCCTTGACCTCCCAGGCTCAAGCCATCCCCCCACCTCTGCCTCCCAGCCCCGACCACCACCAAGGAGCTGGGACTAGAGGTGTGCGCCACCATGCCTGGCTAATTTTTAAATTTTTTTTTTTGGTAGAGAGAGGGTCTTGCTATGTTGTCCAGGCTGGTCTCAAATTCCTAAATTCAAGTGATCCTCCCACCTCAGTCTCCCAAAGTGCTGGAATTACAAGCATAAGCCACTGAGCCTGGCCAATACATAACTCTTAGATGTGAAATTGCTGAGTTGAAAGGTATGTATATGTAAACTTGACTGAGTCAAAATGCCTTCCCAAAAGTTATGTCAATGTATGAGCATAAATATTTATATAACCTTTTTATTTAAATATAAACCAAAAATACTGTTAATTAAATATATCTTTTAATGTCCTTAGGCCTCACTAAACTTCAGTGTCCATCTGAAAGTATGATTACTATTCTTGGCTGTGTCCACAGACGGCTTTAATTCACTTTCTGGACAAAGACTATGAACTGTACCCTACAGTTGTGTTATGCAATACAGTAGCTACTAGCCACACGTGGTTACTGTGCATTTGAAATGGGGCTAGTCTGAATTGAGATGTACTGTAATTAAGTATAATATACAAACGAGATTCTGAAGACTTGGGACAAAAAAAATACATATCACTAATAATTCTTAAAATAGTAAATTGTTGAAATAATATTTTTATATATTGGGTTAAATGAAATGTCACTAAAATTAAGTTCATCTTTTTCTTTTTACTTTTTCAATGTCGCTACTAGAACATTTAAAATTGCATATATAATACATATTAATATTTTTATTAGATGGTACTGCTCTGTAGAATATCTTTACATTTAATACAATATAGTTAATAACTATTAACTACATGATGAAATACAGGCTTTAGGAAGAAATCAGATTAAAGACCATTTAGTAATCTGTACTTAGCATCTAGTCTCGGTGCCACTGCAAATGGGTGTATGTTTTAATATTAAATCATCTTTTACCAACCATACTAAGAAAAGACAAATATTATTTTGTTGTGGAAGAACAGACCAACACAGTAAGACGTCATATTATTAAAGGCTTGGGAGTTTGATCCATTTACATTATGATTTCTGATTAAATCATAACTAAATCCACTTATATGTAATGCTGAGTAGAATACTGACAATCAATAATTATAATTACTGTATTTCCAAAAACCAAAATATTTGTTTTTTTAAAAAACGTTATTTTCTAGCATCCAATTAGCAAGTCTGACCAGGCTGTACCATTTAAACTAATGAAGTGTTATTATTTAAACTGTTTCCAGAAGGTAATGTTAATCTTTGCTACAACATTTCTGGAAGTCTTACATATACAACCCTATCACAAACAAGGAGCAAAAATTGCTCAATGGTGGGACCTAGTATCAGTGATGACAGCTGGCATACACTGTCTGTTCTTGAAGTTTAACTCAAGAAAGTTGTTTATAATATTCTCATCTAGCCTGGGGGGCCACTTGGTTTAACCCCTTAGGAAAGGATGCTAAGGTGGCCAAGATGTCATTCTGGTGCCTGTATAGGGTTGGTCCTGCCAGTGAAACAACTCAAGATCCAGAGATTAGAAGAACAGGCTCTGGAATCAGACCAATTAGTTCAAATCCCAGTTTGCTACTTACTATGTAACACTGGGGATGTTACATCACATGAATTAGCTCATTTAGTCTGCATAACCACCCTATAAAATTGTCACTTCTATGATTATACTCCTTTCACAGATGAGGAAATTGAAGCACAGAGATGTAAAGTAATTTGTTCAAAGTCTCAAGGCCGGGAAATGGAAAAGTCAGCTTTCAAACCTAGGCAGTTTGGCTCCAGAGCTTATGCTCTTTCTGCCTCCGCATGTAAACTGATTAGCAGTGCCTGACCTGGGATTTCTGGAGATGTTAGTTCTTACGCTATTGCTATGAGTAAAGACTACTCTCTGATTCTGACCACATCCTCACATTTATGGTCTCAAGATGAGCCAGGTGAGTACAGATGACAAAACCAAAACCAATTCAACACACATGAACTTACATTAAAAACTTTTTGTTCTGTAATAATTTTGGGCTTCTAAGACCCCACATTACACCTTGCTGTGATGTCTCCTTAGTCTCCTGCAATCTGTGACAGTTCCTCAGTCCTTGTTTTATCATTACTTTGACACTTGATGAGTACTGGTCATTTATTTGGTAGAGTGTCTCACAATGTGGATTTGTATGCTGTTTTATGATGAGATTAAGGTTAGGCATTTTTTTGCAAGAATACCACAGAAATGATGTTGTATCTTTCTACTGAAGACACAGGGGGTATAGATATGTCTTTTTACTGGTGCTGTTCATCTTGAACACTTGGTTAAGGTGGCATCTGCTAGATTATTGCAAAGCCACTATGTTTCTCTTTGTAATGGACAAATATCTTGGGGGAGATACTTAGAGACCAAATAAATACAGTTTCTCCTCAAATTTTTGCCCATTGATTTTAGCATCTATTGTGGACCTTGCCTGCAAAAATTATTACTGTGGGGCTTCCCTAGTGGTGGTTTTCTATTTCTCTCATTCCCTTTACAACTGGATTCCAAAAGGCTTTTATGAAACAAACTAATCAAGATAGTAAAAGTTTACACAGAAATTCTAGAGGCCTTTCAAGTATGGAAAGTTTTAGTTTGCAGTTTCTGGAACTCTTCAGTAACCAAAGGCATTTCATGTGAAGAAATGTGATCACAAATGAAACGATGCTGCCCTTTTGTGATTTCTCTGAGGCACCAGGCGCTCCTGACCCCTTACTAAACACTGTCCTGTATTCATCGCTGTCGTAACCTCCTCCTGCCCTCCCCCGTCAATGGCCACTGTTCCTCAGCATTCTTTATGGGCTCCTCTTACTCTAGCTCACGTATGTTGACATTCTTCAGGATTCTACTCTTGTCACTCTGTATTCTTGTCACACCGTACCCTCCCTGGGTAAACAGCAATTAAACTGTTGCCAAACTATCAACTAATAAATACCCACATCCTCCTCTCGACTGAAAAATATCTCAACTTGGATTTCTGAAGGTTGTGTCAAACTTCAACATATTCAGAAACTGAATCCACTCCCTCCCTCAAAAAACAACAACAAAAAAGATGTTCTCCTTGCAGCCTCTCTCTTATACATATCAATGATTACTACCAAGACCTATCTAGTTCCCTGAAACTCTGGGAGTCATTCCAACCTTCTCACTTTCCTTTACCTCTTCATGTGTGGCCACTCTTAAGTAAGAACTACTCACCTGTATAAATGTCTCTCAATCCGTCATCTCCTATTCCTTCCAGGCCTTGCTCTCATAACTTTCTAGTCCTTTATAGAAAATCTCCTACAATTATCTTTTTTTTTTTGAGACAGGGTCTCGCTCTGTGACTCAGGCTGGAGTGCAGTGGCATGATCTCCGCTCACTGAAACCTCTGCCTCTCTGGTTCAAACGATTCTCCCGCCTCAGCCTCCCGAGTAGCTGGGACTACAGGCACATGCTACCATACCTGGCTAATTTTTGTATTTTTAGTAGAGACGGGGTTTCACCATGTTGGCCAGGCTTGTCTCAAACTTCTGACCTCAAGCCATCCACCTGCCTCAGCCTCCCAAAGTGCTGGGATTACAGGTGTGAGCCACTGTGCCCAGCCAATTATCTTTCTGAAATGTGCATGTGATGACAATATTCCTCTGCCTAAAATCTTTCAATGACTCACTACAGTCTACAGAATAAAGTCCAAAATTCTTAACGTGGTCATGATCTAGCACTCACCCATGCATGCAGCCTTATCTCCTGCCATTCTCTCATATTCACTTTTGGTGCTGGTATAGGCCAGTTGGCCAGTGAAACAACTCAACAGCCAGAGGTTAAAAGAACAGGCTCTGGAATCAGACCAATTAGTTCAAATTCCAGTTTGCTACAAAAGTCTCTGCCAAAACAAATTAATTACAGTTCCCAAAATGGGTCCCAGACTCTCTCAAGCTTACAAACCTTTTTGTACACATTCTCTTTGTCTTTCACTGGGCAAACGCCTACTAATCTCTCAAGGCTCAGTGAGGAAGTCGTCTTGTGCAAGTCTTCCTGAGCAGTCTGCATCCCTCAAGGGTGGAGCAGGATTATTTCTACTGCTACACCTCCCACACAGCACCTCAGTCGGCTAGGGTCTGCCATCCTCTCCAGACTAGTTGGCTCTCTGATGCTGTGGGTTCAGCATCCACAGATTTAATCAACCATGGATCAAAAATACTTAAGACATAAATGATTGTGTCTATATTGAATATGTCCCAATTTTTTTTCTTATTATTCTAAACAGTGTAGTGTAATAATTATTTACATGGCGTTCATATTGAACTAGGTATTATAAGTAATCTAGAGATGATTTAAAGTATAGGGAGGATGTGTGTAGGTTATATGCAAATACTATGCCACTTTATATAAGGAACTTGAGCATTGTGGATTTTGGTTTCTGCAGGGGTGGGGGTGTGGGGCTGTTTGTGCGTCCTGGAACCAATCCTCCACAGATAGCACAAATGACTGTGTATGCTCCCTGAGGGCAGACTGGGTCTTAACTACCACCTAATGACCATCTTCTTAGAAGGTGAAGGACACTAAAACCACTTACTATGTTTTCATGTTTAACTCTGTTTAAAAAGAATGCCTCTTTTTAAACTCTGTTTAAAAAGAATGCCTCTTTTTAAACTCTGTTTAAAAAGAATGCCTCTTTTTAAACTCTGTTTAAAAAGAATGCCTCTTTTTAAACTCTGTTTAAAAAGAATGCCTCTTTTTAAACTCTGTTTAAAAAGAATGCCTCTTTTTAAACTCTGTTTAAAAAGAATAAGATTTTACTGCCTCTGGATATGAGAATGTGGGGATCTCCACTGCTATCAAAATGCTGCAAAAGCAAAGGTATCTAATTGCATTGACACATACCTGTAATGAACAGTTTAATGAAGCTAGTTGAATTCATTAATATAAAAAGCAGTTGCTATTAAAACAAAATCCTGGTTTTTTCTTTTCAAACTGATATATTGAACATTTTTGAATGCCTACTATGTACCAGATATTTACACATGATTTCATTTAATTCCCATACCAAATCCCCAAAGCAGGGATTATTACCTCCACTTAGTAAATGAGAAAAGTGAGGCCCAGAGAATAAAGAACAACCAAAATCATATCACCAGACAGAGTCAGGGTTTGAACGCAAGTCTTGTGATTTGAAATCCTAAGCTCTTCCTTCTAGAGAACATTTATGTCCTCATAAAATTACAATTTTAAAAGTACAGTATTGGAGAAAAATTTGATCCCAAAAATAAAAAATAAGATAATCATTCAGCCTAGTCACCTATGAAGTACTATTAGTAACATTTTTCTTTAAATCCTTGAAGGGGGCTGGGGGGAGACAGGTACGGAAGAGACGTGTCAGTAAACAAATAAATGAACACTAGGAAAAGAGACTGACCCAACCTTGGAATACTGATAGCAATAATAATGACAGTAATAATGGCAACAAACACTTGTACAGTGCTTAACTATGTACCTGGCACTATTCTAAGAGCCATACACACCCTATTCATTTAATCGTCACAGCAACCATTCAAGGCTGATATATTATCATATCCATTTTACAGATGAAGAAACTAGCACAGAGTTTAAGGGTCTTGCCCAAAGTAACTACTAATCAATGTCAAAGCTGGGATTCAAACTCAGGCAGTCTGGGTCTTAAGTCCATGCTCTTCACCTCTAAAAATGAACCTAGAGAATTATGAAGATTCGGAAATTTCAAGACATAAAAAGAGGTAAAGAAATTATAACAATTTAACCTGAGATTTTAAAAAAGCGACCCTAAATCAAAGGACGATACTTTGCAAAGCTGTTGATACTGTGTACTTCTGCAAAGTTAAAGAAAAATCAGCATTTCCTGATGAGTTGTGTTAAATACTAAAACAAGTTCATTAAAGTAATTGAGAAATCTACTTCTCTGAAGATCTTTAAAAATCAGATAGACCCACATTTGTCTAAAGGGAATTTAATGATAGGCAGGTTCTAATAAGGATGTGGGTTTAACTACCTGCCTAAAACTATCCTAACACAAGTTTAAGATTTTCTCTCAGTGTGCACCTGAATTACAGGTAGTTTGACACTGAGGCTTTGTGTGATGACACTGTGTTTCTCACACACACACACACACACACACACACACACACACACGGCAGTTACCAAGTCTAAAAGTATAGCGAGGTCAATTTCCACTCTTGCTCCTTCTTTTATCTGTACCCTTATAAAACTCCTTAAAGAGCTCACAGGGGAGGATTTTCCTAAAGTCAGAAATTGCTCTATTTTCTCATAAACATTTTATTTCTCTTCTCATTTAATAACTTTGTTAACATTCCCTGTGGTCCTTCACTTATATCTTTTTAGCATACTGTGTGCACATATGGCATCATAAAAATGGACCAATAAGACAATAACATTTTTATATTTATTATTATTATTATTATTATTTTTTTTTTTTTTTTTGAGACGGAGTCTCGCTCTGTCGCCCAGGCTGGAGTGCAGTGGCGCGATCTCGGCTCACTGCAAGCTCCGCCTCCCGGGTTCACGCCATTCTCCTGCCTCAGCCTCCCGAGTAGCTGGGACTACAGGCGCCCGCCACTACGCCCGGCTAATTTTTTGTATTTATTATTATTATTTTTTAGATAGAATCTCGCTCTGTCACTCAGGCTGGAGTGCAGTGGCATGATCTTGGCTCACTGCAGCCTCCGCCTCCCGGGTTCAAGTGATTCTACTGCCTCAGCCTCTTGAGTAGCTGGGACTATAGGCACCCGCCACCACACCCAGCTAATTTTTGTATTTTTAGTAGAGATGGGGTTTCACCACGTTGGCCAGGATGGTCTTGATCTCCTGACCTCAAGTGATCTGCCCACCTCGGCCTCCCAAAGCACTGGGAGTACAGGCGTGAGCCACCACGCCTGGCCATAACATTTTTATATTATTCTATAGAAATTAATTGTTAAAGTTAATATAATTTCAACTATTTTACTTTTGTTTTCTTATTTTTTCTCTTTCAAGGGAATGCATATATTATTTCACCCATCTATTACAACAGTAGCACAAAAGTCAATGAAACTATATTTCCATTTTAGAATAAGAAAAACTGAGTTGCAATAAACCTTCAAATATTGTTTATTTTTCTGATCCTTAAAAACAGAATCATCAGAAGAAAAAGAAAAATGACATAACAGCCAGAATGTAAGAGACGAGATACATATACAATATATGTTGACATTTTTTCCGAAAAGTAACTCACCGAAGTTTCCTGCCTTTGCTGGCTTTCCTATCTACTTTTTTGTGGATTTTGCTTCGTAACTTCTGGATTGCAAGCCACTGCCTGGAAAATTCACAAGCAATGTTATGCATCATCACTAACAGAAATAGTTATACATATTGACAAATTGGAATTATTCTAACAACCCTGCAGAAAGAAATCATCAACCTACATCAAGTTCCTCAAGCTAGTTTGGGGCCAAACTGACTAATCAATTGAACAGGATTTGTGCAATGGTAAAAAAACAAACGGCAGCTGGGAAATTCTACAGCAAATTTGGTTCACAATGCTCCTTAGTATTTGGAGTTGCTGTGACAAGCACTAAATCTACCAGTCTGCAGGCAAACCCATCAGATTTAGTAGAGCTACTTGGGTTTTCTTTTAATGTTTTAGCTATGCAGCATGTTCTGTTACTAATGTTGCAACTGCTGGTTGGTTTGAATGCATGAATTTTTAAAATCTAACTTTCCCTTTGGTAATCCTCCAGTGCTTTTTCTTGTGCTTTCCAATTTTTGCTAATTTTTAAATAATTATCCACTACTGATACTAGTTTTTAATTGTTTTAAATTGTTTAAATTGTTTAAATTGTTAATTTTCATTTCATCTATAAATATTTCAGTACGTGTTGCTATACAAGAGAAGCGATAAGGACTCTTCTCCCCTCAATATAATCTCAATACCATTACCACATCTAAAAAAAAAAGTCAACAATAATTCTTTATTATCAAATATTCAGTCAGTCTTCACATTTCCTGGAATGTCTCAATTTTACAGTTGGCTTGTTTGGATCAGAATCCAAACAAGATTCACATATTCTGCAGTCATTTTAGATAAGAAGGAATTAATTTTTCAATAAGGGATATTAGGCTAAGAAAATCTTCATAAATTGCTCATATGAACTAAAGTGAAAAAAAGAAAAAGAAGGAGAAACAGCAGCAGCAGCTAGTCATCCTACCTGATTTATACAACGAAAATTCAACACCAGAAAAAAAAAATCTAGGGAAATCCAATTACTGTAATCTTAATATAATCTTAATTACCATAATCTATTTTATTGTAAAGTCAGATAAATGTACAATATAATCACCACTTAAATGCAATTTGCTCTATCACATTAAATTTATAGCGAACAGCTCTCTATAACATTCCAGAGATAAACGAAATATCAACATCCTACCCTAAAATTCACATAATATTTTACTTAAATAAAATTATTTCATCAACACAAATTTTTCACTGCTTTCTCGAATGGCTGCTCTGCCTAGAATCCCATTCTGGCACTTGCAGCTTTTGTTTCCTTTCATGCTTTTGCAAATTATGGCTCATGGCTATTTAAATGTACACTATTCATTAGGTAGCATTCTAAATGCCCTTTTTATTTTCCAACCACAGGATGAAGCATACACACAAGGGCCTTCCTTCACTACTTTACATTCTGCCCTGACATCTGGGTAATGCTGCCACGTTCCACTTCTAATTGTGCTGAAGCTTTTACTGAAGAGGTGGAGGTCTAAATTAGGGCAGACTCTAACAAAGCAGATTCGACTGAGAGCAAAGAACCTGTTGTGCGCAGTGCCATGTTCTGACAGCTGAGAGCTCACATTTGGATGGCTGCTTTGTATCCACTGGTCAACAGATTGATATGGATACAATCACAATGCAAAACCAGGGAGCAAAGAGCATAAGAAAGACTTTGGAAAACAAACTCTAAAAACAAACACATAGGTGTTTTATAATTTCTTTACAAATTGCACTTTAGGCAATGTAGGGTAAACAATTAGTCACATTTTCTTTCTAGCTCTTACTTGCTTAACTTCAATAATTATAGGACCAATCATTGCTTTGCAGGTAGAATTAAAGGGACTCAAGGGGAGAAACTATTACATAGGCTGCTTGCATGAACAGAAAGCTGTATCTAAATTACCTTCCCATGGCCACCTGATCGTTGGGATCCAAGGAGCTGGTCTTCCGTTCTATGAGTTCTCGAAGGAGCTAGGGGAAAAAGGAAAGCAACGAATTTATTTATCATCTTCCAGTACAACTGACTTTAAAAGGGCAGAGAAGGAATTCTGAATGGCATAGTGACAGCTCTAAAACTACAATCAATAAGGGACAACCCAGTGGCAAGAGCATTACTGAATTCCCGTTAACGCTTTCATAGTTATATATCTTTAAAAAGGTGGCTATAGCAGTAGCTGAGAACAGAAGTCCATTTGGAAGACTTATTGTACCGCAGTTCATTTCAAATAGATCAATGAGTATGCAACATTCCCTTCATTATTTTTATGATTAGTTTTGTCCACTCCATTGATATCAATGGAGAATCTTTAAAAGGTCAGGTGGGAAGGGCCGTGTGGCAAAAAGGGAAATGCATCAGCTTCTCACCAACAGGATAATGGTGCAAGGTTAACTTCTGAACTATAACCTCCAACAGTCAGGAAGGTCTTCCTCAGGCAAAAAGCCTTTACTGTATGTAATTAAAAGTGTGGGCATCGGCCTCTTGTTTTCCACAGCTGCTACTCTACCATGCTTGCTATTAAGTGCTTTAGCCACACATGATACCAACACATTCATAGCCACACAAATTTTAAGAGGGAATCTAAAGAAAGTCATTTGCATACTGCAAATATACCACAGAGGATTAGTCTCTCATCCAATACAATTAACTCCATGGGAGTTATTCTAAATGACTCTCCTACTGTCATTTTAAGCCTGACTCCTCTGCACCCAGTTGAAATCTACATCTGTACCTTTCATACAGACTTAAGAATCTGCACTGAATCTTAAAGTCCTTGGGCGAAGAGAAGCAATGGTTTTAAAAGTTAAACACTAAGGGAGAAAAACCCTGAATTACGATAATAGAACTATAAGTGCTATATGCAGAGAAAGAGAAACAGAGATTAAAATTCCAAAAATCTTCTGAGAGAAATTTAAGAGAAGACGCTAAGATAAACTAGTTCTGCTAATCATCTGTCAATAATCCAGGTTTGGCCTTAAAACTTGTTTCTTCATAAAAATTAGCAATGATTTTGTAGGTGAGGCATGGTGGCAATAGAGATATTTCATCAAATCAAATAGCTGAAGCCTGTGGGCTTCAGTGGTTCAAATGAAGAAAGAGAAATAAATTCCTCTGAAAGCAGATCTCTTTCTAATTTCATATGTTTATGTAAGTAGGCACTGGAAGAAGTAAAACAAATTTATAAAAAATATTCACTTCCAAAAGATGAATCTTTATTGCAAAAGGGAAAAGGATATCTCAATTGCAATTAGAAAACCTCCCATGATGTTTTTTCATTTGCTTATTTTGGACATTATTACTACAGCAATTATGTTTAAGAATGCAGGGACCAGAAGCCGCTGGTTTTATTATCACTAGAAAACAGCAAGCTATTTCTCTACCCTGTTTATCTGATTGATTCCCAACATCTTTCTGGCAGCCAATCTATCAGTTTATCTCTCCTACTTCATCACAGTCACTTCTGGCAGCTAAATACAAGATCCAAATCCAGTGTTACACAGACATATGACACAGTAAACCTATGTAACACTGCTGCTGTGTAAACAGCTGCCCTTAAGGCTAAGCAGAAATGGGCTTCTGGTTCCTAGTCAATATTCTGTCAAAAGCAAGGAGTAGGGGGAGTGAGGGGGAGTGGTTAATAATAATAAAGAAGAAGAAATAAAAGAGAAAGAAAAATAAAAAGGAAGGAAAATAATGGAATAACTGCATTTCATTGCCCTTACCTCGTTCCAGCCATACAAAAGATTACAACAACCGTTCCTGGTTTTCCTAATTTTCTCAGATCCCTTGAGACTGGGCAATCAGGGTCACCGGGGTGCAAGTGCTCATGGAAGGCTGCCCCAGCACAACAGGGTGATCCTCGGGAAGAATATGCCCTTGCCAAAGGCTGGAAATTGGAGCTCCCCACTGCAGTGGTCTCTGCAATTCCAACACCAAGTTGGTGCAGCATTTACTTTCAAACACTTTGTGTACTATACATATTCTGAGCTGCATTTTCGCACACAAGTGCTTTGCATAACTATTTTTACTCATTCATGACTTGGAAGATTGTTTTATTGGTCTATCTAGCTAGGTCTAGTTTATTCAGTCCAATATTTCAGAAGATTCTGTTGTGTCCATGGTAAGAAAAAGAAAGCAACAACAACAAAAAATACAGTTAAACAAATGATTCCCGTGGCTATTACTATTTTCCCAAAGCTACCACTATCACTGGGTTTAAATTTAATTAGAAAATTGCTTTCAAAACAGTTGCTAAAAAAAAAAAAAGAGATTTGAGATATTGGCTGAAGAATTCAATTTTACTTCTGATTTTAATTTGTATAGCTTTAACTTTACAAATAAACCTTTCTACTAAAATTCAAGTTTCTGTTACAATTATTAGAGCTTTTTATTTCAACAATGATGATATAGTATTTGTAGTAATTTTCTATGTGATTTGGAAAATGGAGAGAGAGAAAATGTTTTTGCTCTAGTCTGTTAAAATTCCTCCAGATAATCAATTCGGAAAGGCTTGATTATACCTCTAGTTCTAAGGGAAAATCATAGATACAGTTAGGTTTTCAGGTTGGCCACAGAAACCTATTTAACCCATACCAATATACATGAGGAACAGGACTAATAGTACTATTAAGCATCTAATCAACATTTATAATACTTTCATTAGAAAAAATGCATGCTAGAAACAGTTAAAAATGGCAGATTGAACACATTAGTTTATCTCTTCTCAACCCCTCTAAGAGACAGTTGAGGAATAAAATAAATATTAACTCCTAAGAAAAAAGAGAAAAGGAGCACTAATGTGTGCATATTTTCATAAATTTTTCCAAGACAGTAAGGAGATGGAGAAGTTATCACCCAAATGCCCAGAGTGAATAAAGGTGAAGATGAAGCTAATTGTATTAGGCCGCAGAATTCCTGTGAGGATCAGCTCTCTGGCAGTTACCACGCAAGGTGGGAAAAAGAGAAGGAGCAGAACCACTTGGGCCTCCTCCATTATCCCACACAGCCAAGTGACTAACCACCTCTACCACCCACCTCCTCTCGTGAGAGAAAAGAAATTTTATTCTTTGGAAATATTGAACCACAGAAGCTCCAGAATAGAGGATACCAGGCAAAGAAGGCTGGAATGAGGTACAAGGGAAAGGCTCTATGTTAATCTCTGAAACCTCTCCCTTTCTCCCACCTCATTTGTAGAAAGCTAACATCCCATTCTATAATTTCCTAGGCAGGAAAGCAGAGGAGCCTTTTCTGGAAGAAACTGAATGGTGTCTGCCCTCCCACCCCCAAAATTAGATTTCAAAGTTGCTATGGTCTTCTGCATGTGTCTCCCAAAATCCGTATGTTGAACACTTAATCCCCAATGCAACAGTATTGGAAGGAATGGCCTTTGGGAGGTGACTGAGTCATGCAGGCTCTGCCCTCGTGGATGGGATTAGGCGTCCCTCTAAAAGGGCATGATGGAGGGAGTCTGTCCCTTTTGCCTTTCCACCTTCTGCCATGTGAATTCCCTCAGAAGAATTCAGCATCAAGGCACCATCTTGGAAGCAGACAGCAGCCCTCTCCAGACAACAGAAACTGCCACCTTCTTGTTCTTGGACTTTACAACCTCCAGAACTGTGAGAAATAAATTTCTGTTCTTTTAAGATTACCTAGTCTGTGGTATTTTACTATAGCAGCACAAACAAATAGATATATAGAAAACAAAGCAAACAAATACAAATTCTGACATCCAAGGCTACTCTAACAAAGAGGTCAGTTCACAGCATAATTATATTTAAAGAAGCCAAAAAGCTCTGCCCAGGTTTCAGAGATTCCGAATAATAAACTTTAATGCTTTACTCTTAAATATGAACAGACAGTTAAGGATCGCCTGCATCTGAGGAAATCCTCATGCACAAACCAAACAAATAGAAAAGAGACTCAAGGAAGCAATGCAGAGAACAAAATAAATAATTAAAAAGGAGAAAAAAACCCCCAAAACTTACAATGAATATCCCAAGAGTGGGAGAGGGTATACTTTGATAAGAGCAGGATGCTGTGAAAAAGACTAAAATGAGAAATTAAACACTAAACAGAAAATTTTAAAAAATCCAACAGAAGAACTTAAATGAATGAAAATCTCTGATATAAAACAAAAAGAAAGCCAAAAGGCAAAAAGATAATATCCCCTTGCTTATTTGCAAGACAAGACAAAAATTTAGAGGATAATCCAGAAAGTCAAACATCTAACTAACAAAGGCTGGGAGAAAATGTTTGAAGGAATACTGAAAATTTTCCCAAATCAAAGAAAGAACAGGAATACAACTGCAAAGACCTAGTGCAATGAATAAAAAAGGGCCTCTGTCAAGACACATCATCATGAAATGTAGAACACCAGAGGTAAAGAGAAGATCCTAAGCAGTTAAAGAAAAAACAGGTTACATATAAAGAGGTGATCATATGTCCCAGTTTACCAAGAAAGTCCTGGTTTACACCTGTTGTCCTAATATGCTGTCAGACTAGCACTTTACCTGTCCCAGTTTTGATAATAAATTATACAGTCGCCCTACATATTAAAGAATGGAAATCTGAATGGGAAAAGACGTCTCAATAGCAAGAGCAGATAGCAGAGGACAGCAAGGTACCTTCAAAATTCTATGGAAAATGACTTCCAGACTCAAATTCCATATACAGCCTTATTATTATTATTATTATTATTATTATTATTATTACTAAGACAGTCTTGCTCTGTCACCCAGGCTGGAGTGCAGTGGTGCAATCTCAGCGCATTGCAGCCTCTGCCTCCTCAGCCAAATTATTAACCAAGTATAATGAGAGTTACATAAATGCATTTTTCATACACGTAAGGACTCAACAATTTACTTTCTGTGTACTCTTTCACAGAAAGATGTACTTCAGTAAATGAGTATACTAAAATCAAGACATAAGATATTAGAAACGAGAGGTCTAACTCAGGGAAGAAGCAAAGGCAAGTCCCAGGAATACAGCCAGCAGGCCTGGTGTGCAGCCACGCCAGAAGAGTCCAGAGAGCTCTAGGATGAGGTCTCCAAGGGGAAAAAGTAGAAGGGAGGTGCAAAAGGATAGGTTATTTTATATATTCAAGGCATGTGGAGTATATAGGGAAAAACAGCAATAGTTACACAGAAAACTAGGCAAATCTTTTAAAAACAGGCATTATTAGCTCTAGGAAAAAACAAATTTGTAAGAAAAATGTAATCATAATATAGCGCTTGTTCCTATAGTTGGGATGTTTGTCCCCTCCAAACCTCATGCTGAAATTTGCTCTCAATGTTGGAGGGGCCTAATGGAAAGTGTCTGGGCCATGGAGGTAGATCCCTCATGCATAGATGAAGTCCTCCCTTGGTTGTGGGGAGTGAGTTCCCGCTCTATTAGAGCCCAGGAGCTGGCTGTTGAAAAGAGCCTGGCATGCCTCAGTCCTCTAGCCTCCTCTCTTGCCACGTGATCTCTGCACATGCCAGCTCCCCTCCGCCTTCCTTCATGAACAGAAGCAGCCTGAGGCTTCCACTAGAAGCCCAAAATTCCCAGCAGCAGAAGAGTGAACCAAAGAAACCTTTCTTCCTCAAAAATTACCCATTCTCAGGTATTCCTTCATAGCAATGCAGAACAGACTAAGACACTTGAGAACAACATTTACTTAGTAATAATAATGTAAACACTGACTGACAGCCATACTAGCAGGTATGATACATTCTCATTGCAGCTTTGATTTGCATTTCCCTAATGGCTAATGATGCAGAGCATCTTCCTGTGCTTACTGGCCATTTGTATATCTTCACTGGAGAAATGTCTATTCAGACCCTTTGCCCATTTTAAAATGAGGTTATTTGTCTTTTTGTTATTGAGCTGTAAGAGTTCTTTATATATTCTGGATACCAGTCCCTTATTCATTTTCCTTCTGTAATGTCTTTTTGCTTTCTTGAGAGTGTCATTTGAGGCAGGAAAGTTTTTAATTTTGATACAGTCCAATTTTTTCTTTTGTCATTTGTGTTTTTGATTTGTATCTAAGAAACCATTGCCTAACCCAAGGTCATGAAGCTCTACTCCTATGTTTTCTTCTAAAAGGTTTATAATTAATAGTGTAGCTCTTATATTTAGGTCTATGATCCATTTTGAGTTAATTTTTATATATAGTGTAAGGTAGGGGTCCAACTTCATTCTTTTACATGTGGATATCCCATTATACCATTTGTTGAAAAGACTACTTACCCCACTGAGCTGTCTTGGCACCCTTGTTGAAAAACCAAGTAACTTTAAAAGCATTTTGGCTTTATGACCACATATTCCTTGGCTTTCTGAATTTGTGACCCAGAGTTATTGATTCCTACTTTTTAGGCTTCCACAGTTCATAGCCACAGATGCTTGAGAAGGAAAAAGCTTGGGGCAACCCTCTATCAAACTTACTTAGCCTAGCTGAGTCAGGGTTCCTCAAACTTCCTCACTGGGAGATACAAAAGCAGACTCAAAGGATTGGGTTTACTCTTCCTGTGAATTCCCTCTCTCTCCCACAAGACTTCTTAGTGAAAATGTATCTATTTTTGCTCTACCTCCTGCCTTACCTCCTTTTTTGGTTCTCAGCTCCCTAGTCTTTCAAATTATCCCCAAAAGGGCCGGGTGTGGTGGCTCACGCCTATAATCCTAGCACTGGGAGGCCAAGGCAGGCGGATCACTTGAGGCCAGAAGTTCGAGACCAGCCTGGCCAAGATGGCGAACCCCGTCTCTAGTAAAAATACAAAAAAATTAACTGGGCATGGTGGCGCATGCCTGTAATCCCAGCTACTAGGGTGGCTGAGGCAGGAGAAATCGCTTGAACCCAGGAGACGGAAGTTGCAGTGAGCCAAGATTGCGCCATTGCACTCCAGCCTGAGCAACAGAGACCTCAACTTAAAAAAAAAAAAAATTATCCCCAAAAGAAGTCTCTTGCAATTTTTATATACCATATTTGAGGCATACAAAAAATAAATTGCATATACTATAATTTCAAATAGTTGGGAAGGAATTACTATACCTTCCTATAATACAAAATTGGCACAAAATGACCTATTCCCCAACTATATGTTCCCACTCCACATTGCCCATTCACTCCCGAACCAACAACTCCACCACCTAATATTTCTGCTTCCATTATTCTATTCAAACTACCTGTGCTAAGGTCTCAAGATCTCTATGTCTAATGGGCATCTAGCACTACTCATCCTATTAGACTTCTTGAAGCAGCAACTGACACTGGACTTTCTCACCTCACTGAAACACTCTTTTCTCGGTATCAGTGAGGCATCTCTCTGTCTTTACTCCACATTCAGCCAGCCCCTCTAGCCAGCCATTAAATACTGCCACTCCTCACGACTCAGTTCCAATCTTTATTTTCTTCTCACTCCACAGGGTTTCCCCCAAGAACTTCCTTCTGTTCTCAAGGCTTCAATGACCTAAGAGTTACCCCTGGAAATTCCTCTTCCCTTACACCCAATATCTCAACTATCTCAAGTCTTATATTCACGAATTTGTCCACTTTTCTCCATCTCCGCTGCCTCCACCCAGTACAGGCTACTATCATCTTCATTCACCCCATACTTTTTTTTTGTTTTTGAGGCAGAGTCTTGCTCTGTCGCCCAGGCTGGAGTGCCGTGGTGCTATCTCTGCTCACTGCAACCTCCACCTCCCGGTTTCAAGCAATTCTCCTGCCTCAGCCTCCCGAGTAGCTGGGATTACAGGCGTGCACCACCACGCCGGGCTAATTTTTGTATAAATTTTTAGTTGAGACGGGGTTTTTCCATGTTGGCCAGGCTGGTCTCGAACTCCTGAACTCAGGTAATCCACTCGTCTTGGCCTCCTGAAGTGCTGGGATTACAGGCGTAAGCCACAACACCCGGCCCTCATACATATTTTTTGAGCACACTGGAGAAACAAGAATAAAACAGACATGGTCTTGCCTGAGGCAGTGTAATGATTTCCTCTCATTTACTCTTGTCCCTCCATTTTTGTCTCCTCATTGTACTCAAGAGTAGTATTTTCAAAAAGCAAATGTGTCAGGACATTTAACAGGGTACCACTAGGGCCCTTGTCTACCTCTCCAACCTAACCCACCTTCCGCCTCTGTGCTGCAGGCCCACCAGGCTTCATTCTGTACGTGAAATGCTCCGTGGGCCCTCACACCAGAGGCTGCTTCTGCATATGCACTGCGGGAACAGGCTTCCCTAGCCACTGACCTCCCACGCCTCCTCCTCTACTCATTTGTTAAATCTCCACTTCATCTTCTCTTCCTGAGGGAAACCTTTCTTAACCACAGCTGCACTCACACACATGCACCATACCTTTGCTGTTCTTACTGTACACTGTACTCATGGACTCCTTGATAACGTCTACCTCCTCCCCTTGCTGACTGTATGCTGTGTGAGAGCAGAGACTCCATCTGAACACAATCACCACTCCATCCCCTTCAGGGGCCCCTTGAAGGAGCTCCATATATACACAGAGGGGAAAATAATAATAATAATAATTTTTTTGAGATGGAGTCTCGCTCTGTCGCCCAGGCTGGAGTGCAGTGGCACGATCTTGGCTCACTGCAAGCTCCGCCTTCTGGGTTCACGCCATTCTCCTGCCTCAGCCTCTCAAGTAGCTGGGACTACAGGCACCCACCACCACGCCCGGCTAATTTTGTTTTTGTATTTTTAGTAGGGACAGGGTTTCACCATGTTAGCCAGGATGGTCTGGAGCTCCTGACCTCGTGATCCGCCCGCCTCAGCCTCCCAAAGTGCTGGGATTATAGGCGTGAGCCACCGCGCCCGGCCAGAAAACAATTATTTCTGAGAGAAAATACCATATCTGTGTTTGCTTTATCATTTCCCCCACCACACACACATACCATTTCAGTGTTTTTACACAAAAGGAGTCAATATACAATAACCTGGCTCTAATCCAGGGCACCATTATCGACCTAGGAATAGAGAAACCTACCTGTTTTTTGTCAGTTGTTTTTGAACATATCTTTGTCATTGCCATTTTCAATGATATGACTTCCCCACACAATATTCTCCTTCTCACATGTCTTACATAGGCCAGATGACCTACACAACAAACACATAGACTGGTCTATTCAACAAATCTGCATGGTTTTTTTTTTTTTTTTTTTTTTTTTTTGAGACGGAGTCTCGCTCTGTCGCCCAGGCCAGACTGCGGACTGCAGTGGCGCAATCTCGGCTCACCGCAAGCTCCGCTTCCCGGATTCACGCCATTCTCCTGCCTCAGCCTCCCCAGTAGCTGGGACTACAGGCGCCCGCCACCGCGCCCGGCTAATTTTTTGTATTTTTAGTAGAGACGGGGTTTCACCTTGTTAGCCAGGATGGTCTCGATCTCCTGACCTCATGATCCACCCGCCTCGGCCTCCCAAAGTGCTGGGATTACAGGCGTGAGCCACCGCGCCCGGCCTGGATGGTTTTAAGCGGATGAGAATTATCCTTTTTTCCCCTCCCCATTCCAAGAGTACTTGAATTTAAAATAAAAAAAACCATTTAACTGGGGCCAGGCACGGTGGTTCACACCTGTAATCCTAGTGCTTGGGGAGGCCGAAAGAAAAGGATAACCTGAGGTCAGGAGTTTGAGACCAGCCTGGCCAACATGGTGAAACCCCATCTTTACTAAAAATACAAAAAAAAAAAAAAAAAATTAGCCGGGCATGGTGGCAGATGCCTGTAATCCCAGCTACTCGGGAGCCTGAGGCAGAAGAATCACTTGAACCCAGGAGGTGGAGGTTGCAGTGAGCCGAGATCGCGCCACTGCACTCCAGCCTGGGCAACAAGAGTGAAACTCCATCTCAAAAACCAAAACCCAAAAACCAAACCAAAACAAAAAAGCCATTTAACTATTTAAACTCATTCTTTGACTATTAAAATGATACAGATCTATACTCCCTCTTGTGTCTCATTTCCTAAAGGAAAAAGTTGGTTCTTCTCAGGAAATGAGAGCAAGCACATCTTTGGTGCTTCCTCTATACTCCCCACAAACCTTAACCTTTCCTGTAGTCTCTTTAAGTTGGTCCTTTTACTGCAAGACAGATGTCTTGACATCTTTGTAATAAAGGTCTGAATTAATTTCAGTTACAGTGTGTGTGGTTTTAGAGACAGGCCCTTGCTTTGTCGCTCACACTGGAGTGCAGTGGCATGATCATAGCTCACTGTGCCCCTGACCTCCAGAGCTCCCACCTTAGCCTTCTGAGCAGCTGGGACTACAGGCATGCATGCCCAGCTAATTTTTTCCAGTTCTTGTAGAGATGGGGTCTCTCTATGTTGCCGTGGCTGGTCTTGAACTCTTGACCTCAAGTGATCTTCCTGTGTCAGCCCCCCACACTGCTGGGATTACAGGGATAAGCCACCATGCCCAGCCTAGTTACAGGATTTTCTATTTAAATATCTTTTATCTATGAAATAGGCTTGTCAAATACCAGTTACAGGTTTCCATCTCCCACTCTCTAAGAGCTAATGCTTCTAGGTATGAATTTTCACTTATGTGAAGTGTGTACTGCACAGTTCAATCTAAGTGTAACTATCTGCCAAAGAGTCTGACTTACCTGTCTTGAATTCCAGCTCTGCCCTTTACTACCTGTGTAGTTTAAGACAAGTTCCTTGAGCTCCCTGAGATTCAGTTTCCTCATCTTATAAAGTGGTAATTATACCTCACAAAGTTGTTTTGGGACTTAAAAAGATGATAAAAGTAAAGCACTCAGCAAAACGTAAGTATTCAATAAACAGAAATACTGTGGAACATCAGATCATGCTCATAGATAGTCCCTAAACCCCATTTAGGTTAAAATAAATCATCTTCCACAGCTAAATCGCCACAGCTGCTAACAAGCAACAAGTACAGTAATTCAATTTTCCTTTCTACTGATTTTCAAACATAGGTAACAAATAAGATGTGTAACAAATAAGAGTGAAAGGATAAAAATGTAACAAGTATAGAAAACCCGCAAAAATGGTAAGTCATACATTTAAAAAGTATGCTATGGGTTAAAGGACTTTTCCAAACTAGATCATGAGAAACTGGAGCAGAAGTCATCCTCTCCTTTATCATTTATTCTGTTTGAACTATCTGCGATTCTCTTTTCCTGACCTTCAGCTCCCCCACAATACCCTGATTACACAATTCCTTTATGTAGAAGGCCTCCTTCCAACCTCAGAGTATCTAAAATCCTGGCCATCCTTCTTTGAAAGCCCAGATCAAATGCCATGTCCTCTTCGCTGGAGCCTTCTCTAATTCCCTGAAACTATTATTTTTCTCCCTTTTCTGAATTCTTCGATACACACTCACCAAGCGTTCTGGTTATTTATGTTTATGTCATCTTGCTTGCTTGACTATGAGCTTCTTGCAGGCAGGGGATACATCTGACTGAAACTCTTACCCCTAATACCTGGAACTCCACCACTGCCTTTGCATACAGTGATTATTCAATAATATTTCTAAGGGCTGGGCACAGTGGCTGATGCCTGTAATCACAACGCTTTGGAAGGCTGAGGCAGGGGGATCACCTGAGGCCAGTAGTTTGAGACCAGCCTAGGCAATGCAGTGAGAACCTGTCGCTAAAAAAAAAAAAAAAAAAAAAAAAAAATTAAATTAGCCAGGTGTGGTGGCATACACCCATAGTCCTAGCTACTTAGGAGGCTGAGGTGGAAAGATAGCTTGAACACAGCAGTGTGAGGTTGCAGTGCGCTATGACTGCACCACTATGGTCCAGCCTGGGTGACAGAGTGAGACCCTATTTCAAAATAATATTCCTAAAATCAAAGAGTCAAGTAGCAAGCAGTCTTCTAGATTTTGTCAACAAGCATGAAAAGCAGCCACCTTTTGCAAGGGGAAGTGCAATATTTACAGAATGACACAGGGAAGAATGAAAGGAAATCAGGTTATGCAAATAAGGTCTAAGAAGCATCTTAATACTAAAGTTACAAATAGTCCACCTTTGGTTACTCAAATAAGAGAATGTATAGCTAGAGGCTACCACTGAAAAAGTCAGCCTAATTCTGCCTCACTGCCCTTGGTCTTTAAGGATTTGATTAGTTTTTCCACTTTTTGATTCTGCGTTGCAGCATGCCTCCACTCCGGAGCTAGCGCTAAGGCCTATGATTTGGAAGAAATGATAAATTCATTCATTGAATAAAGCAGTACTATTTTCTCAGCACAAGCCCTAAAATACTTCAAAGGCCATAATATTTCACTAAGCTTGGCCATTGGGTTAAAATTTATTAGTCAACACAGAAAACTTTCTCATCAGACCCCATATATTTCCATTAGGCATGATATATCGTGTCTCCCAATGTCTAATTATTAACTAGAAGTGTAAGTAAATCACTATCAGTATTAGGCCCTGATGAGTGAAGACAGAGTAAGAATTAAAGCAATTCAAATGCTAAAAAACTTGCCAATTTGCTTTTCTGTTTCCAACAAATAAAAGGAATTTTACAAGGACTAAGTGACTGACTTATGCAATTCTTTTTTTTTGAGACGGAGTTTTGCTCTTGTTGCCCAGGCTGGAGTGCAATGGTGTGATCTCAGCTCACCGAAATCTCAGTCTCCTGGGTTCAAGCGATTCTCCTGCCTCAGTCTCCCTACTAGCTGGGATTACAGGCATGCACCACCAAGCCCAGTTAATTTTGTGTTTTTAGTAGAGATGAGGTTTCACCATGTTGGTCAGGCTGGTCTCGAACTCCTGACCTCAGCTGATCCACCCGCTTTGGCCTCCCAAAGTGCTGGGATTACAGGGAAGAGCCACCGCACCTGGCCCTCTTTTTTTCTTTTTTAAATTTAAGGAAACCTCTTTTTTTTCTTTTTTTAGAGACAGGGTCTTGCTCTGTCACTCAGGCTGGAGTATAGCGGCACAATCATAGTTCACTGTACAGCCCTGAGGTCCTGCGCTCAAGTGATCTTCCTACCTCAGCCTCCTGAGTAGCTGGGACCACAGGCGCAAGCCACCATGCCTGGTTACTTTTTTTACTGTTTATTTTTTATAGAGATAGGGTCTCACTATGTTGCCCAGGTTAGTCTCAAGCTCCTGGGTTCAAGCAATCTTCCCACCTTGACCTCCCAAAGTGTTGGGATTGCAGGAGTGAGCCACTGTACCCAGCAAGCCATGCTTTCTAATCCATACTAAAAGTAACAATGTACAGAAGGTGCTGTTTAGATTTTCCAAGAGTTCCCACTTCAAAAATTCTGCCCATTGGTCACTAGATGGATGTCTTGGTGTGTACCTCCCCCTCCATTTATAATAAAGGCAGGAAGAAGGGTTTTAGATCCTCTCAGATACCAGCTCAGTTACTATTTTTTAGCATTATTTAGCAGGGTTTCTTTTACTATATGTCATTTGTGTTTAAAGAATAAAAAGGAAGTCATTCTGAACTAGAGAACGATTCACAAGTAGGAAACTGAAAGGGTAGTACTAACTTGTATTCTGTGATTATGTCCCTTAAGAACCAAAAGCCCAGCTGAAATAAATCTCTCCCTATATTTCCAGCATTCTCCCTCTAGCCTTCAGATGCCAATAATTCTTCAGCCCCACCAGAATCAATAAACCATCAATCCTGCCACCTTTTCAGCATCCCTCTTCCTCTCCTCCTGTGCTTACTTCTCTCCTTACCCAGGTGAATGAGATTCCAAAATCCATCAGGATAATCACCCCTGATATACACCCTGAACTCCCCTGCAAGCTATCCTTTTGTCGTACAGACCCACAGTCCCTTAGGGATAGATGTATCTTGGAATTCAGAATGTTTCATATTTTAGAAAGGTAATACACTGCATATGTCATAAATGTGTCAGCGGAGTCTGGGGCAGCACCCCAAAGTCAAACACAAAATTTCTGTAGCAAAATATATATTCCCACATATATGTGATAAATAAAGCCTATAAATAGCTTCATGTTCATTCAGATCAGGTGCTGCCACCACAATAGTTTGCCAAACTTACCAAAACAAACAAAACTACGAGTTTTCAGATTTTTAATCTCGGAATTGTTGGCAAGGGATTATTTCCCTGTACTTCGGTGGCAAAACCCCAAGCCATGTTAAATCTCAGTACCTGCATCCACATGGATGAATGTAGTGAGAGAAAGACCAGATCTTGCAAACTGGCCTCACTTTCATATTACCAGTAACCTGTGGGTCTTTTAGGCTACCTGACAGTGCAGCTACGCTTTCCTAGTCCATTCACTCTCTGAGGTAACTTTTTCTTACCCTCTCTTTTCTCAAACCTCCATATCCTCCTACATCTTATCACTCTCGGCTCCTTCATTCATAAGAAATACCATAAAATAACATAGAAGCACTCACATGAGGACTCTGCACATGCTCTCACCCCTTACCTCCCTGCAACTGTACTCATAAGTCCTGCCTTCCCTCTATCCATCACACCAACCCCTCCCTACTTGTGTACTGACCAGCAATTCCTACCTTTTTCCTGCAACATCCATTTTTACCTCTCTACGGGATCATTTCCATCAACATACAAAATACATCTCCTATCTTAAAACTCTCTCTCAAACCTTCCAGCAGCTGTCCCATTTCTCTATTCCCATTACAGCAAACCTCCTCAAAGCTGTCTATACTCACTGTCTCCAATTTATTTCCTCTCACTCTCTCTCTTTTTTTTCAGAGTTTAGCTCTTGTTGCCTAGGCTGGAGTGCAATGGTGCGATCTCAGCTCACTGCAACCTCCGCCTCCTGAATTCAAGCAATTCTCCTGCCTCGGCCTCCCAAGTAGCTGGGATTACAGGCGTCCGCCACCACGCCTGGCTAATTTTTTGTATTTTTAGTAGAGATGGGGTTTCACCATGTTGGCCAGGCTGGTCTTGAACTCCTGACCTCAAGTGATCCACCTGCCTCGGCCTCCCAAAGTGCTAGGATTACAGGCGGGAGCCACCAAAAAAAAGTCTGCAACCTCTACCTCCTGGGTTCAAGCGATTCTCCTGCCTCGACCTCCTGAGCAGCTGGGAGTAGAGGCACATGCCACCATGCCCTGCTAATTTTTTGTATTTTTAGTAGAGATGGGGTTTTGCCATGTTGCCCAAGGCTGTTCTCAAGCTCCTGATCTCCAGTGAACTGCCCAACTTGGCCTCCCAGAGCACTGGGATTACAGGTGTGAGCCACCATGCCCGGCCTCCTCCCATTCTCTCTTGAACCCCCTCCACCACTCTACTAAAAGAGTTCTTGTTGGTCAGACATGGTGGCTCGCACCTGTAATCCCAGCACTTTGGGAGGCTGAGGCAGTCAGATCACTTGAGATCAGGAGTGTGAGACCAGCCTGGGCAACACGGCAAAACCCCATCTCTACTAAAAATACAAAAACCAGCCGGGTGTGGTGGTGCACGCCTTTAGTTCCAGCTACTTGGGAGGCTGAGGTGGGAGGATCACTTGAGCCTGGGAGGCAGAAGTTTCAGTGAGCCCCACTGCACTCCAGCCCTGGTGACATGAGACCCTGTCTCAAAAAAAAAAAAAAAAAAAAAAAAAGTTCTTGTCAAGGTCACCAATGACTTCCACATTGCTAAACCAAGATCAATTCTCTCTCAGCCCTCATCTTACTTAATCTACCTGCAGCATGAAGATTTACTCCTGTTTTTTTTCTAAAAGTTTAATAGTTTCAGCTCTTATGTTTGGGTCTGTGATTCACTATAGTTAACTTTTGTGTAGGTGTGAGGGAAGGCTCCATCTTCATTCTTTTGCATGTGGATATCCAGTTGCTCCAACACCATTTGTTAAAAAACAAAACAAAAAACTGTTCTTCTGCCCACTGAATCGTCTTGGTACTCCTGTTGAAAATCAATGAACTATAAATGTAAAGGTTAACTTCCGGACTCTCAATTATATTCCATTGATCTATATGCCTAGCCTTATGCCAGCACCACAATGTCTTGATTATTGGAGCTTTGTGGTAAGTTTTGAAACTGGAAAGTGTGAATGCTCCAACTTTGTTTTGTTTTGTTTCCAAGATAATTTTGGCTATTTTGGGTCCTTACATTTCCATATGAATTTTAGAATCAGCTTGTTAATTTCTGCAAAAAAAAAAAAAAAAAAAAAAACAGCAACAGGAATGTTGATAGGGATTGTTTTGAAGCTTTAGATCAATTTGGGGAGTACTGTCATCTTAATAATGTTAAGTCTTCTAATCCATGGACATGGGACAGCTTTCCATTTATTTAGGTCTTTAATTTCTTTCAGCAATATTTATAATGTTCAGTGTGTTAAATATTTCATCTTCTAGGTTAAGTTTATTCCTAGGTATTTTATTATTTTAGATGCTTTTTTTTTTTTGAGATGGAGTCTTGCTCTTTCACCCAGGCTGGACTGCAGTGGCGTTATCTTGGCTCACTGCAAGCTCCGCCTCCTGGGTTCACGTCATTCTCCTGCCTCAGCCTCCCAAGTAGCTGGGACTACAGGCGCCCACCACCACGGCTAATTTTTTTTTTTTTTTGTATTTTTAGTAGAGACAGGGTTTCACCGTGTTAGCCAGGATGGTCTCAATCTCCTGACCTTGTGATCTGCCCGCCTTGGCCTCCCAAAGTGCTGGGATTACAGGTGTGAGGCACCATGCCCAGCCAGATGCTATTTTAAATGGAATTATTTTTCTAATTTCCTTTTGAGGTCATTCATTGCTGGTATACAGAAACACAACTGATTTTTGTGCATTCATTTTGTATCCTACAACTTTGCTGAATTCATTTATTAATTAGCTCTAGTAGTTTTTTGGTGGCTTCTTTAGTATTTTTTTTTTTTTTTTTTTTGAGACGGAGTCTCCCTCTGTTGCCCAGACTGGAGTGCAGTGGTGCTATCATGGCTCACTGCAACCTCCACCTCCCAGGTTCAAGTGATTCTCCTGCCTCAGCCTTGCGAGTGGCTGGGATTACAGGCGTACACCACCACGCCTGGCTAATTTTTGTATTTTTAGTAGAGGCGGGGTTTCACCATGTTGGCCAGGCTGGTCTTGACTCCTGGCCTCAAGCTGATCTGACCCACTTGGCCTCCCAGTGTGCTGGGATTACAGACGTGAGCCACCGTGCCTAGCTGGTACTTTCTATATATAGGATCATATCATCTGCAAATAAAAGATAGTTTTACTTCATCCTTTCCAATTTGGATGTCTTTTCTTTTTCTTGCCTAACTGCCCTGGCTAGATAGTATGATGCTGAATAAGTGGCAAGAGCAGACATCCTTGTCTTGTTCCTAATCTCAGGAGAAAGCATTCAGTCTCTGGTCAGTGAGTATGACGTTATTTGTGGTTTTCACAGATGCTCTTTATCAGGTGAGGAAGTTTCCTTGTATCTCTAGTTTTAAAAATGTTTTTCTCATGAGAAGATGTTAAAGGCTTTTGCTGTCTCTATTGAGATGATCATGTGGTTTCTTTCCATATTCTATTGATATGTTATAATACATTAATTGATTCTTGATGTTAAACTAACCTTGCATTCCTGGGCTAAATCCTTCTTGGTCATGGTGTGTAATCCTTTTTATGTTCCTTTTTTTTTTTTTTCTTCCTTCCTTCCTTCCTTCCTTCCTTCCTTCCTTCTTCCTTCCTTCCTCCCTCCCTCCTCCCATACCTTTTTCTCTCTCTCCCCTCTCTCTCTTTCTCCTTCCTCCCTCCCTCTCTCCTTTCTCTCTCTCTCTCTTTTCTTGGTCTTGCTCTGTTGCCCAGGCTGGAGTACAGTGCCACAGTCACAGTTCACTGCAGCCTCAACCTCCCAACCTCAAGCAGATCCTCCCACCTCAGTCTCCTGAATAGCTGGGACTACAGGCATGGACCACCATGCCTGGATAGTTTTTTTGCTTTTTATAGAGACGGGGTCTCCCTATGTTGCCTAGACTGGTCTCAAACTCCTGGGCTCAAGCAATCCTCCCACCTTGGCCTCCCAAAGTATTGGGATAACAGGCCTAAGCCACTGTGCACAGCCTGTAATTTCTTCTTTGTGATGTTTTAGTCTGGTTTGGGTATCAGGATAATACTGAATTTACCTTTTTTTTGTGGGAGGTGGGTAAGAGACAGAGTTTCCTTCTGTTAGCCAGGCTGGAGTGCGGTGGTATGATCATAGCTCACTGCAGCTTCAAACTCCTGGGCTCAAGTGATCTCCTCCTTCTTGAAACACTTTCTTTACATGCAACCTGGAAAATCACTCTTCCTTTATTCTCTCTTACATCACTGGTTGCTCCTTCTTCATCACTTTTGTTGGTCCTTCCCATCTCCCCAATCTATAAATATTTGAATGTTCCAGGACGTGGGCTTCGAATCTCTTTTTCTCTCTGCCTTCATTTTCTAGGTAATCTCATTCAATCTCATGGTATTAAATACAACCTATATGCTGAAGGCTCACAAATTTATACCTTCAGCCTGGACCTTCCCATGAACTCCAAAAATATATATATAACTCTTCAACAACTCCACATGAATGTGGCAGAAGTATCATAAACAATATAACTAATCTGTAACCAAAATAAAGCCAACATAGGTCCTAGTAACAAAAATAAAGCCAACATAGGTCCACAGGGGTTGGGAGGAGGGGGCAATATAACCAAAACCGAGCTCCTGATTTATCTTCCAAACTAGCTTCTCTCACTGTTTTTTCCCAACTCCGTAAATAGCAACTTAATCCCTCCAACTGCTCAGGCCAAAATCTTAATGGTCATTCTTGACTACTCTCTTTTGATATACCACATACAACCCATCAGCAAATCCTGTGTCAGCTCAACCTTCAACATAAATCCAGAATCCAACCAGTTCTCTCTTCCAAAACCACCCTAGTTTAAGCCACTGCCATCGCTTGCCTGGATTATCACTAGAGTCTTTTAACTGGTCCCCTGTCTGCCACCTTGCCCCCCATTCTCTCATGTCTACTCTTAACACAGCCATCAGTGATCCTTTTAAAATATGAGTCCAATCATATTACTCCTCTATATTCAAAATCCTCTGGTAGTTTCCCATCTCAGCCACATCAAAGTGCTACAGTGGCCTACAAGGTCCCACAGGACCTGGCCTCCCATTACCTCTTGACTTCCTCTCCTACCATCCTCTTTCTTGCCTACTCCCCCACCGACCCCCATGACTCTGGCCTCCCTGATTTTCCTGGAACACGCTAGCCTCCCTTTTGCCTCAGAGTCTGTGCACTTGCCATCCCCTTTGTCCCTAATGCTCTTCCCCCAGACAACTGCATGGCTCTGTTTGTCATTTCCTCAGGTCTCTTCTCAAATATCTTTATCTCCTAAACATCCTAAATTAAAACAGTAACCATCACTTCCCTATCCTAGGGCTTGCTTTCACCATAACCAGTTTCATCATTCTCTACTGCATTTGTCACAATGTAGTTCCCTGTTTCATCCTACCTCTAAGCTAGAATGAACGCTCATGAGGGCAGGAACTTTGTTTTCTTCCAGCCTCTAACAGAGCTCCAAGAGAACTTTCTGTGGTAATGGAAATGTTCTACATTTGCACTATCCAATACAATAGCAACTAGCACATGTGGTTACTTAGCACTTGAAATATAACTAGTGTGACTGAGGAGCTGAACCATTTATTTTATACTATTTAAATTAATCAAAATTTAAATCTAAACAGCCACATGCAGTTACTACATTAGACAGCACAGCCTAGGACAGTAGTTACTCAATAAATACACAGTAGATACTCAAATATTTGTTGAATGAATGAAGGAAAAAAGAAATATGACTTTTTTCCTCTTTAACTTTTTATTACAGAAATTTTCAAACATCCACAAAAGTAGACAATAGCAAAATGAACCCTCTTCTACCTATCACCAATCTGAAGATTCTTCTACCCTGAAATAAGTAACAGTGGATACCAGCAACTCCATACGGCTTCCAACAATGATTACATTCTTGGAAAATATGGAATTTGTATTATCCAATGTTTATGTCAAATAGTGCCTCGTAAGGCCTTTTACAAGTTATAGAGAAATTACTGTAGAATTAGATCAGGTGTATGTTGAGGGGTAAACCAGTAGGCTAATGAATGCTTGAGGCATGTTTGTGAGAACCCTAGAGAACCACATGTACATTTTTGTATCAAATACCTGATTGCTCTTTTCAACATTTATTTTCTCCACCTTAATTTTATTAAAGTCACACTCTTAATTTTGTGACTGCATAGATATTCACTCTTCTTAGGTAACACAAATTCTTTGGGCAGGGATTTTGGTCTTACTAGCCTTTATAAAACTAGCATCTGGCATAATAAATGTTTTTGTTGTTGTTCTTAGAGACAGGGTCTCACTATATTGTCCAGGCTGGCCTTGAACTCCTGGACTCAGGCAATCCTCCTGCCTTGGCCTCCCAAAGAGCTGGGACCATAGATGTGAGCCACTGTGCCCAGACTAATAAATGTTAACTGAATAAAGTTTATAACTGTATAAAAATGATACTTGTGAATCATCAGAGTGCTAAAAGATACAGTAGATCTCCAATGTCCTAAACAGATATAGATTTGAAAATAAAATTCTCAAAGGATTTTCAAACTTGTCCAATCAGAAGGGAGTATAATGTGTCAGAAAGAAAATCAAACTGGGAGCAAGAACACAGGTTTCAATGTCCTATTTCACTAAGTGGGTAAATCTTACAACAGTCATGTACTTCCTTCAGGCTCCATTTTCTGCACTTGTGAAAAGAGAGTTTGGACTTGATGGTCTCCAAAGACGCTATCCAACTTTAAAATGATTATGTTTTTATCTAGATCAACAATACATATACATTTTTTTTTTCCATAAGTTACTGGGTTACAGGTGGTATTTGGTTACATGGCTAAGTTCTTTAGTGGTGATTTGTGAGATTTTGGTGCACCCACCACCCAAGCAGTAGATACTGCACCATATTTGTAGTCTTGTATCCCTTGCCCCTCTTCCACTCTTCCCCCACGAGTCCCCAAAGTCCATTGTATCATTCTTATGCCTTTGTGTCCTCATAGCTTAGCTCCCACATACCCATGGGAACATATGATGTTTGTTTTCCATTCCTGAGTTACTTCACTTAGAGTAATAGTCTCCAATCTCATCCAGGTCACTGCAAATGCTGTTAATTCATTCCTTTTTATGGTTCTGTAGTATTCCATCATATAGATATACCACAGTTTCTTTATCCACTCGTTGATTGATGGGCATTTGGGTTGGCTCCATGATTTTGCAATTGTGAATTGTTCTGCTATAAACATGTATCTGCAAGTATCTTTTTCAAATAATGACTTCTTTTCCTCTGGGTAGATACCCAGTAGTGAGATTGCTGGATCAAATGGTAGTTCTATTTTTAGTTCTTTAAGGAATCTCCACACTGTTTTCCACAGTGGCTGTACTAGTTAACATTCCCATCAGCAGTATGGAAGTGTTCCCTGTTCACTACATCCACACCAGCATCTACTGTTTTTTGATTTTTTTATTATGGCCATTCTTGCAGGAGTAAGGTGGTATCGCATTGTGCTTTCGATTTGCATTTCCCTGATCATTAGCGATGCTGAGTATGTTTTCATGTTTGTTGGCCATTTGTATATCTTCTTTGGAGAATTTTCTATTCATGTCCTTAGCCCACTTTTTGATGGGATTGTTTTTTTCTTACTGATTTGAGTTTGCAGTAGATGCTGGATATCAGTCCTTTGTCAGATGTATAGAGTGTGAAGATTTTCTCACAATACATATACATATTTGAAGATGCCTATAAACTTCCCCTTTCTTTGCTAAATCATTTTTCCGATATGTTACTTTTAAAGGAGCAACACATTAATACCAAGACCTCATGCCTACTTTAGTGAAGAGGTAATGTCTCCATTTCTTGAGGAGTGCCAAACTCTATACTTGAGGCTACTAAAATACTGCTGGGATCCTGTGTTTAATTTACACTCAGTTGGCTGACACTGGGCATATTAGTACAAAAAGGGTAATTTTGGCCACATATTTGCCTAGCAAACTCTCCAGGTACCATTTGTGTTTGAAAAAGTTTCTTCAACACTTCTAAGCCAATTCTTATCTCTTTCCCAGCTGGCCCTGTAAAATGTACTGTTTTAGGCTTCGTTCTGAGGTTTTACCTTTGTTTAAACGAAGTAGTAGTACTCAAGTCATGCTCTGATGTTTTTTAAAGCAAGAAACCTGAAAGAAATGAGGGCCAGTCATGTGCACCTTACCTTGACGCTCCTGTTTGATGAAATTTCTAGACTTCGCATTTAAAAATGTGGCTTTTGCTTCCTGTTCTGTGCAGCTTCCACAACAGTGAGCCCAAGCTAGCAACCAAATGCTAATATTGATGACATACCTGGGTCTAAACATTGACAGATATACAATGGCAGCACTTTTGGTGGAAAATGTCTTAAAGAAGCAGAAACTACCATGCAGTTCCAATAACATTCTTACACATGGTATACAAAATAATCTTGCAGTTATTAAAACTGAAATTTAATTGGGCCCTGGTATTTGCTTTGAGTTGTTTTTAATACCATTACTATGCCCCAAGAAACCTAATTCCATGCTATATCTTCAATCATAATTTCAATTTTTAATTTTTATTTCATTTGTTTATTTATTCTCTGTCGCCCAGGCTGGAGTGTAGTGATGCGATCTTGGCTCACCGTAGCTTCGACCTCCTGGTCTCAGATGATTTTCCCACCTCAGTCTCCAAGTAGCTGAGATTACAGGCAAGTGCCATCACATCTGACTCATTTTTTTTGCATTTTTTGTAGAGACGGAGTTTCGCCATGTTGCCCAGGCTAGTCTCAAACTCCTGGGCTCAAGTCATTCACCCACTTTGGCCTCCCAAAGTGCTGAGATTACAGGTGTGAGCCACCATGCCTGGCCAATTTTAAAATTTATGTACTTCATACATATGTTCTCTCTAAAATAACCGTAAATATCTATGCGTAATAAGTTTCATCAAACTTTTAAGAAACACTATCCAGATCTCAAATAACAGCAACATTTTAAAGTAAAACTAAAAACAAAATACTGCCCTGAACAGAAGACATGAGTCCAACAACTCATTCACAGAGGCAGGTTCAAATCAGACTTAAAAACATGTTATTAACCATCAGTTGAACCACTGGAAAGATATATGCCAATAGTAAGAATATCATCCTGCCAGGCTGGGTGCCGTGGCTCACACCTGTAATCTTAGCACTTTGGGAGGCTAAGGTGGGCAAACTGCTTGAGCCCAGGAGTTCAAGACCAGCCTGGGCAACACAGCAAAACCCCGTCTCTACAAAAAATATGAAAATTAGCTGGGTGTGATGGTACCTGTCTATAGTCCCAGCTACTTGGGAGGCTGAGGTGGGAGGATTGCTTGAGCCCAGGAGGTCGAGGTCACAGTGAGCTGAGATCGCACCACTGCACTCCAGCCTGGGCAACAGAGTGAGATCCTGTCTCAAAAACAAACAAACAAACAAAATAAATCGATAAATAAAAACAACAAATATATAAAAAATATCATATCACCATTAACATAAGGGTAGCTTGGGACACCTCTTATTCACACTAAGATCTAAATGCATACAATTCTACCACATCACCTGTCCATATTAATCGCTCACCAATTTAATTAAACTGTCATGTCAAAAAGCCTGCCTCTTCTCTATTTCTCAACATTATCGACTTTTAATAGTTCACTGAATTAGTAATTACCTGTTTATGGCATTATCAAATGTCTTAGACACAAAAATTCAGCATGTGGCAAGGTCAGTTATAGACATGTCCTGATGGCAAATGAAAGAAGAAATTTAACCCGTCAAAGTGGTCATCAAAAGAGCAAAACCTATTATGCCGTTCTCTAGATACTCTTGGCTAGAGTCAAAGTGACAGGACAAACCAGATCAAAACTAAACAGAGCTAGAAGCAACATACAAAACCCTAATGAACTCTTAGAAATCCAGGTATTGATCTGTCAACATCTAAGCTCAATTAGTCCTTTCAGAACAAAATATCGCATGAAGTGACAAGAAACTAGTTTGCGATCTGGGATATGAAAAGAAGAAAACCAGCCACTTTATATAGCTTATTGCTAAGTGCAGTTACATCACAATACGAGGATCTTGTGAGGATTAAATCAAGACACATGCCAAGTACCTATCTACTTAGTCCAGGGACTGGCACGCCACTAGTGTTTAGCAAATCCTGGTCCTTCCCTGATTCTTTAAAAACTTAGGCTTATCAAGTCAAAGATCATCTGATGGTTTAAAAAAATAAAACAAAACAAAAGCCTTAAATGGTGATACAGACAACAGATCTGAAGAGAACTGAATGTTATGAAGTAGCAGATAGGATCATGACATAACAAACAGACACTGAAAATATTTCTGAATGGCTCATCCTTCGTGGTCATTTACAACCTTCATGTTTTGTGAAACTGCCTTTAGGAATGCGCTTTGACAAGAAATAGGCCAACTGTAAAGTAATTCTGTTTGGAAGTAAAATCCTGCAATGCTTTTCTGAAGCAGATGAACAGTTTCTCTCATAAAACCTTCACCATTGGCTATACTTCATGCTTTCAGCAATTCCAGTTTCCAAACAAACCGGTAACAAAACTATAAAGCTAATTTTTTCATTAGAATTGTTTAAGTAACAAAAGCTCAATAAATCATTTGCCTTCTAAGGAAAAAAATTACTTTCTAACACAAAATACTTTTTCTGGTTCTATGAAAATAAAGCTTATTTATTTACAAAGTGAAAACTGTAATACTACAGTGAAATCTCTTTATGGCTCAAGAATGAAATATTTAAGAAATAAAGGTATGGACAGAGCAAGACTTGGTCTAAGAAGTCCTGACATTAACTACCAGTGTTGCCATTTACTATATGATGTCAGACGGTTACTTAACTTCTCAGGGTGTCAGTTTCTTCTAAGGTTCTTTTCAGCTCTAAAAATGATAAGATTATTTATGATATCAGATACTATCTTCTATGGCCCACACACATACATATGTATGTATGTACACACACATATACATACATATATACATGTACCTTTATTAAATAATACAAGTATATTTTGAAAGATATGGTAACTTAAAGCCCATTAAGAAACAAAGAATGAAAGTGTGAATGAGTATGTGTGTGTAGAGGGGGAGTGTTCTGAGCCCACACATCATTCTCAGTAGTTAGGGCATTCACACAGCTTCAAGACACCTGAATTAACCAAGTAAGCCTTTAAACCCTTACAATGGAACATTAAAATTCAATGTGGCTATAATCTCTTCCTTACAAAACATGAACCCAAAGAGTCTGGCTTCAAGTATGGTTTTAAAAAAGGGGGAATGTATTATATTCACCACCCAGCTCTTCCATATGACCATGTTAAAAAAAACCACACAAATGAAAACTCACAGGCCCATTGTAATATATTGAACCACTTCTGAATGCAACACTTAGCTCAGGCTTACTACTCTGACAAATAAAGGAAAGCACTTTATGAAGCCAATTTAATTGGGAAGTGACAGAAAACATACAGCCATTTTCTTTAGCCTTATCACTGAATTGGCTTCAGCTCCAATCTCTGGCAAATCCCACTCAACAGAAGAAATTAACCAGGTCAGCAGAACAGGTGCTACCTTGTGTCTGTCAAGGGCCTGGCATCACCACAATTACTTGCACACAATGAAGCAGTAATCTTTACAGATCATCTCTCCCAAGAAGCATATTTGGGAGGGGGAGGAAAACTGAAGGGTGAGGGGAGTGGGAAGAAGAAGGGGAATGGGAAGCAAAGAGAAAAGGCAAGAAAAGAAAATGAATGTGCAGCTGCCTTGCAGCTCAGCAGATGTCGGAATGTGATGTACGAGGCTAGGATAAGCTGTCGTAGCCCGCTGCCAAAGAGTGGTAAGTGATTAAAACCTGCACAGTTCTAAGCACCATATTTAGAATCTGCAGGGTTTCAAGACTTGCACCCATTCCTTGCTGTGCTGCCAGATGTTGGCAACTGGTCCAGTTCCTACTGACTGTGCATGGATGGCAGCAGTTGGTGTAGCAGCAAAGCAATCTGGAATGCTTCCGGAGATGCTGTACATTAACAAGTGTCACCCATCATTCACCTTTACAGAAGGCTGAAACAACTCCAATTTGCTGCCACTTCCCTCTTGGGAAACAGCCAAGATAAAGTTGTGCCTGGCAGCCCCATTTGTTTCACTCAGGTGTTTTAGCTGCCTTGCTGACCTCTATTAGTTTAAGTTTTAATTTAGATTAACCCCAGCACCCCAATTAACCAGCAAGGGGAAAAGCTAAGATGTGACTAGTCATAACTCTGAAATCAGAATTTATCGAAGTTAAAATTATTAATTGGGATGAAGGGCCAATCAAGTAATGCTATTTCTTTTTAAACAGACCTCCAGGCAAAAAAAAAAAAAAAAAATTCAGACTAAGGATTGCCAACAGAGGCAACTTCTCCCCAGTAATTTCACTTTATTTTATTAAGCCTATTTAATTTATGATGCACTTTTCATCGAACAATGTACACTTCAATTAATGAGGACTGGAACATTTTTGATTGTCTCCCGTGATCTCACACAATTATACAGCATTAATATCCCATATCAGGTACTTCCTTAGACACTCTAGAACAAAATAGAGTTCCTTACTCTTCTGACAAATGAATATAATAAGAGAAGAGGAAAAAAGAATCAGGACCTCTGACAGGGAACAGCTGCAGCCACACCAATCTTTTTTTCCTATACCCTCTAGTCATTACTTTTAAGACTTACTTATGGCAATAATTTTATCAAACATTATAGAATGAATAAAAAAAATTAATAGAAAGTCTCTTTCTCTTTTTAGGGCAAGACCAGAGGTATCCCCAATATAAAATCACTTGTTCTATATTGACTTTACATGTAATTTTCCTAAGAAGTTCTTCTTCATATCCATATACACAGTACAGCAGTCATGGCTAAACCCTCAACAAGCAGTCGCAAATTACTTGGCTAAAGCTAGCACATTAAAAATTTGACAGAGAAAAAAATTATCTTGATAAACAATGGCTCAACAATAACTGGTATATCACTGCTGAACAGCTTCCTCTATTCTCCACTAAGCTAGAAAGGGTACAGCCAAACACACACTCTATTAAGAAGTATAATTTGTCTGGCCGGGTGCAGTGGCTCAAGCCTGTAATCCCAGCACTTTGGGAGGCTGAGGCAGGGAGATCACGAGGTCAGGAAATTGAGACCCTCCTGGCTAACACGGTGAAACCCCGTCTCTACTAAAAATACAAAAAATTAGCCAGGCCTGGTGGCGGGCGCCTGTAGTCCCAGCTACTCGGGAGGCTGAGGCAGGAGAATGGCGTGAACCCAGAAGGCAGAGCTTGCAGTGAGCCGAGATTGCGCCACTGCACTCCAGCCTGGGTGACAGAGCGAGACTCCATCTCAAAAAAAAAAAAAAAAGTATAACTTATCAAGAGACTCAGGAATACAGGAAGTTATTTCAGTTCTCTAGAACAGCCCAAATGTTTAGTCTATCTTAACAGTCTCTGGCATCATTAAAAAGAACAGCATGCCAGCAGAGAGTAATGTCAGGGAAAGAAGTGGGGGAGTCTGAAAACATATTGAGAACTGGACTATATTTCAACTTCTACCAATTCTCTCTGTCTTCAAAAGCACTATGCTCTTATTATAATCAACAGTTGCAGACATTCTCAATACATACTTAACTGACTTCGACAGGCACAAAAAGACATTAAGAACAAGATTTAACAGATAATAGGATCAGTAGCGCAATTCAGGAACTCTGGGATCCCAGCCCTCCAGCTCCACGGCCCATTCTAATAGTAATGAGACAAGAAACCAAATAACTTAACAAATCCTCCATCATCAAAAATGGCTCAGAAAGAACCCACTTGACTCAGAGAAAAAAACCTGAAACTGTTTTACAGCTAATTTACACTCAAGCAACAACAAAGTAGCTATAGCTGTTTTCATTTCAAAAGGAAAACATAAAATAGAAGAAAAGCAACAAATCCACAATGACACTGTAAGTCAATTTTGAACGCGGGAGTTCTAACTCACTGTCTGACTCTATCCTTCCAAAATAAGCAACTTCTTTGTTCAGAGAATTCTATAAGCTGCTTTAAAATGCTAAAACATGATTTGTAACAAGAGAGTGTAAAAGTCTCACCTGGTGGTAAAAGTCATCATCATCAAAGATTTCTTCATCCAAGTCCTTCAGATGAGCATTAGCAGGGGCTTGAGGAAGGATCTCCTATGTTAACAATGAGTAAGAAAAGAGTGAATCCCAACAAGGCTATCTAACTAATGTAGCTACTATAAATAATATGTAGAACAGTCAAAGCACTGTTTTCCTTAAGATATAAAAAGTTCTTAAAATTAAAAAACAAAACAGTCCAATATGAAAACAGGCAAAAACATTAACAGGCAGTTGACCAAAAAAACCCATAAATAATCATATGAAAATATGTTTACCCTCATTCAAATTAAATATGTGTAAATTAGAATTAGAAGATACCATTTTTCACCTCTACGACTGAAATTAATGCAGCCTTTTTGGAGGCAATTTGGCAACATCTATCAGAATTTGGTGTATTTTCTTTAACACTTCCACTTCAAGAAATCTACCCATATATTTATACGAACACATAATACATGTACAGGAATCTTTCCTGTAGCAGTGTTTCTGAAACTGGAGACAACATAATATCCATTGTTTGCATAAATGATAGTGCATATCCATACAATGGAATACTTTGAGGTCATTAGGAAAAATGAGGTAGCTCTCTAGGTAATGAAATGGAAAGAGTATCTAGGACTTATTAGATTTTAAAAGTTGCAAGACTTTAAATACAGTTGTAATATTTTACATATTTATACTACATAAATGTCTCTCATTTAGTAAAAAAGGCAACCATATTTATACATATATATTTGTTATTTGCACACATATATAGTTACACAAATAGAAAAGACCCAAAAACTTGTTACAACTATTAATTATTAACTGTAAACTTGTTACAACTATTAAATACTGAAAATTTCACCTCAGGAGTTACGTTAACAGGCAATTGACAAAAAAAATAAAAAAATTTCACCTCAGGAGTGAAATTTTCAGAGTAGAGAATTTTGCTTTTCATTTTAAGTTGCTATAAACTAAAAAAGGATTAAGTATATATTTCTTCCATAATTAAAAAATTTTAAATGTTTCCTTTAAACAAAAGAATTTGACTATTCCACTTCTGCACCCTTTCTAAAGTACCTAAATGGCAAACGTTGAGCCTAAAGTACACACTTGTTTCAATACTGACATTTCTACAGAAGTAGCTTTAAAACTGAATTTTGAAAATTGGATTATGAATGCTTCTACTACCAGACTCCTGCATCAAACTCAAAATTAAGAGAAGATGACACACAGGAGTTAATAGAAGCCCCATTTTTAAAAACTCTCTCCTCTCACATACACTCAAGTTTCTCTCAGTAATCCAGTAAAGTAGTGTTGCTTTCCTTTCTCTCACTAACCTCTTATATAAACAGGTAATAGCTACAAGTTTTTCAGCTAATAAGCCTCATAGAAACTATTCCCCATAATCACTCTGCATTACAGAGTTCTTACCGGTTCCCCTGGCAAACTCTCTGGGACAGGCTGAGCTGCTGGCTCAGGTTTGCCAAGAACTCGATAGACAGAGCGCTTGGTCTGTGTCCTTCGAAGTAATCTCTCTTTGTCCATCAGAATATGGTCGATCTGAGTCAAGATTGAGCGTTCAAAGGCACCAAAACCCTGCAACAACATTAAGCAGTGTCAGATAATGCAGAAAATCAGTGCTGAAGGCAAGCTACATTGGTTTCTCTATCTTTCTGTGTCAGCAGAGAGATAGAAAATCATCTTTTCAGGAGGGACTTTCTGTAAAGGACTGAGTTTGTGAGTGGCTATAATTGTTCTTAAAAAAAAAAAGTTAGTCTTAAGCAGGTCATATCATTTTTCTACACACGGAGATTAGCTTCTGATACTTTAATAATTATTGCTTTGAAATCCACTCCTTTAAAGTATTTGGATTTTCAGCACTTGAACACTTACAAGGCCTCAATTTTAAGAATAAAACATTCTTTCTAATAAAGTTAAAATCCCAAGTCTGAATCGTATAAACCCCAGTGCCAGAAGTTCAGTAGATTTTGCTATAGAAATGAATGATTACCATTACATCGTGACAACATCCATATAAATGAGCTGTAGTTCCAATTTCTTAAAACTTCTTCAAGTTGCCACAACCTATCTTACACATACATGCGCGCATACACACACTTGCCTTCCCCAGTTTTCCAGAAGCCAGTTTGGTCTTATCGTGCCATTTCTGAAGTGTGCGGTTCCTGTAGACTGTAAAGTCGGCAAAGCGCTTTGCCATGAAGCTGGGATAGTCCTCCATCTCCAGCTTCCTCTTTGCAGGGACCCTTCTTCGTTGCTGCTTCTTCTCTTCTACCAGCTCATCATCTTCACTAGAAATCTCCTCACTAGAAAAGCAGTAAGAATATTATGTCCAGTGTAAACAAACATTACTTAGATTTTAAAAACTAGGCTCACATAAAGGACTGAGAATATTTAGGCCTTACCTGTTCTGTCTCCATTCAAAATAACACCAAAGATATAAGGATGGCTTTTGCTCTTTGAGAAGAATATTCATGAGATCAATCAAAAACTCGTGTAACTTTTTTTTTTGAGACAGTCTTGCTCTGTTGCCCAGGCTGGAGTGCAGTGGCGCGATCTTGGCTCACTGCAACCTCCACTTCTGGGTTCAAGCAATTCTCATGCCTCAGCCTCATGGGTAGCTGGGATTACAGGTGTGTGCAACCATGCCCGACTAATTTTTTTCATATTTTTAGTAAAGATGGTGTTTCACTATGTTGGCCAAGCTGGTTTCAAACTCCTGGCCTCCAGTGATCCACCTGCCTCGGCCTCCCAAAGTGCTGGGATTACAGGGCATGAGCCACCACACCCAGCCTCATGTAACTTTTAAAACAAATATAAAAAGAACTAGTTTCAAAATATTTTTTAAAAGGTAAGTAAACCATAAAAATAAATGAGGTTTTAAAAGAATTATTAGAAATGTGTATGAACCAGGCCTGCAGTATTATAGGACAGTATTTAAAAATTAAACACATAACCATATTTCTACGACCTTAATCCTCAAATCAATAAGGGAAATGTGTCTCTCTGTAACCAACTGTTAAGGAAAGATGAATAATATTAGTTGAACCAAATACAAGAGAAGCTGAATGTGAAGAAAACTCAAAGCGGTAGGCAACAATTAGCACTAACTAACCTGCAGTGCCATCTATGCAACTGCCATGGCAATGTAATACAACCTCCAACTATCTGCCAGTTGCACTCACTGGATTACTGACCTCAACATATAATAGGTGCTCAATAAATGTGAGTTTCCTTTTTGTCCTCCCAACTAGTTCAGTAGATAAAAAGTGAAACAAAAGATAAGCTCGAGGGAAAAAAAGCAAGCAGGTATATACAGCAGGTGTAAACAAAAGGGGGAAAAATCTTCATCAAATGTAATAATTTCAGGGGGAAAAAATAATTATTTTGCTGTTTTCTGAAATTTTTCCATCTTTCATAATAACAGCTTTTATTCAAAGGAGATGGCTGTGACCAGTGATTCCAATATATGGTATGGGCACAGAATGTTTCATAAACATTAATTAAGCATTAATATTTTAAAAATGTGCTTTTGGCCAGGTGAAGTGGCCCATGCTTATAATTCCAGCACTTTGGGAGGCTGAGGTGGAAGGATGGCTCGAGCCCAGGAGTTTGAGACCAGATAGGGAAACACAGCAAGACCCTGTCTCTACAAAAAAAAAAAAAAAAAATAGCCAGGCATGGTGGCAAGTGCCTGCAGTCCCAGCTATTTGGGAGGCTGAAGCAGGAGGACCGCTTAAGCCCAGGAGTTTGAGGCTGCAGTGAGCTGCGATCACATCACTGCACTCCAGCCTGGATGACAGTGTAAGACCCCATCTCTAAAAAACAAAGTGCTTTTATCTTCTAATTCCAATAGATCTAAAGAGAAGGCAAGCCTTTGTCTAAGACCGCAAAGCACATCAGGTACAACTAAATATAAAAATCTAAAATCTAATCACCAACTTATGTGCCATCCTGACCATCAGGTAAATATGAGACTCTATTTTACTAACATTAATATCTGCCTGAAGAGAACTTAGCTTTTCTTTCATAAATGATGGGAAACTATCCAAATGAAAAGAAAATAAGCAACTCCATGATTCTGTTCTCTTACCTTCCCGCATTGGGCTTTGTCCCATCTACTAGATATCTAGTGTCTGGGTACTGGAAAAGCAACTCTTCCTGAAGACCTACCAATGACCTCAACAATGCTTTAAGTGCCTTGTGACCTGGGAAATAAAGGACAGAGAAAGGACAATTAATTATCTACAATTCTCCAAAGTAGGTGATGCCTATAACTCATGACTCCTGAGCAGTTCTGGCTGTGGGGAGTGAAGGGGAGGCACAGGATACACACAGGAACTAAATACTCTCTGAAATATTCCCAAATGGAAATAACAACGTTGCCTACCTCACAGGATTGTTGTGAGGAACAAGCAAGATCATGCATGTAAGGTGCTTAGAAAAGTGTCTGCAAAGAGTAAGAGTCCAATACATTGTCAGCTCTTAAATGTATTAAGCTTGACAAACTCCTCCCCGGCCTCTCATTATAACCATTAATTTGTTCCGTTGGTGTTAAGTTTCTTAGGTATCTTCCTACAGGTTACCTGCTGACCTCCTGGACTATTCCTTATCAGTCAGCTCCTTGAGCACTTCCTTCTCTTCTCCTAAAGAGTAGGACTTTGTCTAGGCATCCCCACCACCAACACCTTCCACCTTGCCCCCAGGAGATCTCATGTGCCTCTGGTTTGAGCTGCCACATCCTTCACTCCATCTCTCAACACATATCCTTATGGAAAAGTTCCTGTTCACATACGAAAACCCAAGCTAATGAATCACTTTCTATTTGCAGTATTGAATTGTATATTAAAAATTTGGGCATTGAGAATATATTCTCACCTGGTTCTCCTTGGAGCCAATAAGATGCATATGTAATAGAGCTGGTCAAGATGATGTATATAGTCTACGGATAAAAACTTTCAGAATAAAAACTGGTCGGCCGGGCGCTGTGGCTCACGCCTGTAATCCCAACACTTTGGGAGGCCGAGACGGGTGGATCACAAGGTCAGGAGTTTGAGACCAGCCTAGCCAACATGGTGAAACCCCATCTCTACTAAAAAAAAAATACAAAAAAATTAGCTGAGGGTGGTGGTGGGTGGCTGTAATCCCAGCTACTTGGGAGGCTGAGGCTGGAGAATTGCTTAAACCCAGGAGGCGGAGGTTGCAGTGAGTCAAGATCATGCCACTGCACTCTGGCCTGGACGACAGAGCAAGATTCTGTCTGGAAAAAACAAAACAAAAAAAACTGGTCCTCGGGGAGGACTGCTTGAGTCCAGGAGTTTCAAGACCAGCCTCAGCAACACAGTGAGACCCCGGCTCTAACCAAAAAAAAAAAAAAAAAAATTTAGCCAGGCATGGTGGTGCGTACCTGTAGTTCCAGCTACTTGGTGGAGGGGCCCTGAGGTGGGAGGATGGCTTGAGCCCAGGAGGCTGAGGCTGCGGTGAGCAGTGATCACTCCACGGCACTCCAGCCTGAGCAATAGAGTGAAGGTGAGACCCTGTCTCCAAAAAAAACCACACACACTGAACAAACCTCATCCTCAGCCAGGGGCAGTGCTTATGCCTATAATCTCAGAACTTTGGAGGCCAGGTGCAGTGGCTCATGCCTGTAATCCCAGCACTTTGGGAGGCGGAGGCGGGTGGATCATCTAAGGTCAGGAGATCGAGACCAGCCTGGCCAACATGGCGAAACCCCGTCTGTACTAAAAGTATAAAAATTAGCCGCGCACGGTGGTGTGCACCTGTAATCCCAGCTACTCAGGAGGCTGAGGCAGGAGAATTGCTTGAACCTGGGAGGCAGAGGTTGCAGTGAGCTGAGACTGTGCCACTTTACTCCAGCCCGGGCGACAGAGTGAGACTCTGTCTCAAAAAAAAAAAAAAAAAACTGTGGGAGGCCAGGACGGGATGATTGCTTGGGCACAGGAGTTTGAGTCCAGCCTGCTGAACACAGTAAGACCCCAGCTCTACAAAATTTTTTTTAAAAACTAGCCGGTTTTGATGGTGCGCACTATAGTCCCAACTACTTGGGAGGCTGAGATGGGAGGATTGCTGGAGCCCAGGAGTTTGAAGTTACAGTGAACTACAATTATGCCACTACACTCCAGCCTGGGCAACAGAGCGAGACGCTGTCTCCAAAATCTCCCCGCAAAAAACAAAACTGGTCCTCTGACAACAGAATTCTTACCTTCTCTATTAGAATAACCCTACTCAAGGGGCTAACTAGACACTGAGAGTCACCATTTATGTGTTGAAAGTACTCAGACACCTCTCCTATAATCAAACTCTCACATTTCCAGTGACTGCCAGAAAATCTTCATGTGGTTGTTCCATCACTCCTTCACACATACTGTGTCAGAAACAGAACTTTTTTCTTCCTGCTTAATACCTCTCCCTGTCTGAACCTCTCTGCATTGTTCAATGTGTTTTCATAGATCACTCACATTTGGGTGCTCTTATTCTAGATGTTTAACTGGTTGCTGAATTCTGTGTTTTCCATTCTTACTGTCACTAATAATTGCCCATTTATCTCTGGCCATGCTTCTATCACTCCTTCCATTTTTCACTTAGTAACTGTAGTCTCACAAGCATCCCTACTTCCGTTCAACAATCCCGACATTCATATATTTACATTTCACACAAACTGTAGCCCACACAAACTTAGGTTAAATGATTTTTATGTCTTATTCTTTCTTTTCTGCTTCTGCTTCTACCCTGTCCAGCATGAGCAGACTTCTCACTAGTTTATATCCCAACTTTTTCCATCAGTAGGACACCAATACATGAGTTAGACAAGTTCTCCATATATTTCATACTATAGCATTCTATTTCAATGTCAGGCCTGAGAGCCAACCTACCTGAGAGAGCCATCTCAGACTAGTCAGAAAGAACTCAATGGTCCAATAACTACTTTGCATTCCTTCAAATAATCTGCATATCAAACTATATAAATACAACTTCCTTGTTTAAAATAAGGTCTTTGATTACATCATTTCTAAATTCTGTAATCCTTTATAATCTGCATATCATACCACTTGGGAGAATTTGTAATACATAACTATCACCAAAAAAACTCAAAATGCCTTTGTTCCAAACCAAGATTCTTAACCAGTTGCTCTCTGTCTTAAGAAAAAAATCAGTCTGGGCACAGTGGCTCACACCTGTAATCCCAGCACTTTGGGAGGACGAGGTCGGCAAATCACTTGAGGTCAGGAGTTCAAGACCTGCCTGGCCAACATGGTGAAACCCTGTCTCTACTAAAAATACAAAAAAAATCAGCCGGGTATGGTGGCGCATGCCTGTAGTCTCAGCTACTCGGGAGGCTGAGGCAGGAGAATCACTTGGACCCGTGAGGTGGAGGTTGCAGTGAGCCAAGACTGCACCACTGCACTCCAGTCTGGGCGACAGAGTGAGACTCCATCTCAAAAACAAAAACAAAAAAACTAAGGCCTGATGTGGTGGCTCACACCTGTAATCACAGCACTCTGGGAGGCTGAGGTGGATAAACTGCTTGAGACCAGGAGTTCAAGACCAGCCCGGACAATGTAGGAAGACCCTGTCTCTACAAAAAAATACAAAAATTAGCCAGGTATGGCAGCGTACACCAGTAGTCCTAGCTACTTGGGAGGCTGAGGTGGGAGGATCCCTTAAGCCTAGGTGGTTGAGGCTGCAGTGAGCTGTGATCACGCCACTGTACTCCAGCTTGGGTGATAGAACAACATGCTGTCTCTAACAATAAAATTTTTAAAAATTAAAAAAAAAGAAACACTAAAAAAAATTTTCCCAGAAGGGACTTTAAAATAATTAGGCTAAGTGAAATAAGCCAGTTGCAAAAGGAAAAATATTGTATAATTCCAGTTACATGAGGTACCTAAAATCATTAAATTCATAGAGACAGAAAGTCCAATAGTAGTTACCAGGGGCTGAGAAGAGGGAAATGGAGAATTACTGTTTAATGATACAGAGTTTCAGTTTGGGATCATGAAAAGGTTCTGGAGGTGGATGGTGGTGACGGTTGCACAACAATGTGAATGTCCTTAATGACAATGAACTGTCCACTTAAAATGATAAGCTTTATGTCATGTATATTTTACCACCATTAAAACAAACAAACAAAAAAAACAACAAAAAAACACTGGGCTGGGCGCGGTGGCTCACGCCTGTAATCCCAGTACTTTGGGAGGCTGAGACGGGTGGTCACGAGGTCAGGAGATGGAGACCATCATGGCTAACACCATGAAACCCCATCTCTACTAAAAATACAAAAAATTAGCTGGGCGTGGTGGCACGTGCCTGTAGTCCCAGCTGCTCGGGCAGCTGAGGTGGAAGGATTTCCTGAACCCGGGACGGGGAGGTTGCAGTGAGCCAAGATTGTACCACTGTACTCCAGCCTGGGCAACAGAGCAAGGGTCCATCTCAAGGAAAAATAAAAATAAAAATAAAAAAATCCCAAAACCAGAGTATAATAAATAATCCCACCATCACAGTTCATCGTTGTATAGAAAAGAGTCATCTATAATGCTTCAAACTGAGCCTACTCAAAAAAAAAAAAAAAACAAAACAAAAAACAAACAGGAAAAAGCAATGGAGTATTAGTCAGACTTAAAAAGGAAGAAAATTCTGACATGCTGCAACATGGATAAACCTTGGGGACATCATGCTAAGTAAAATAAGCCAGTTAGAAAAAAGACAAATACTATTTCCAATATATGAAGTACCTACAGTAGTCAAAATCACAGAGAGAAAAGCAGAATGGTGGCTACCAGGGGTTGGAGAAAGAGGGAAATGGGGAGCTGTTGTTTAATGGGTTGAGTTTCAGTTTTGCAAGATGAAAAAGTTCTGGAGATTGGTTGTACAACAATGTGAATATATTTAACACTACTAAACTGTACACTTAAAAATGGTTAGGATAGTAAATTTTGTTATATGTTGTGTACCACAATGAAAAATTTAGGCTAGTTACCGTGGCTCATGCCTGTAAACCCAACACTTTGGGAGGCCAAAGGAGAGGATCATTTGAGCCCAGGAGTTTGAGACCTGCCTATATAACACAGTGAGACACTGACTGTCAAAAAAAAAAAAAAAAAGAAAAGAAAGAAGAAGAAGAAGAAAGAAGAAAGAAGAAAGAGGAAGAAAGAAGAAGAAGAAGAAAAAAGAAAGAAGAAAGAAGAAGAAGAAATCAGCCAGGCGTGGTGGCACACGCCTATAGTCCCTGATACTTGGGAGGCTGAGGTGGGAGGATCACTTGAGCCCAGGAGTTCGAGGCTGCAGTGACCCATGATCATCCCACTGCACTCAAGTCCGGGTAACGAAGCAAGACCCTGTCTCAAAAAAAAAAAAGAAAGAAAAGTTAAAAGAACAAGAAGAGCAAAGTGTCTGACCCTTAATTCCTGTAAGTACCATGTGTCCACGATCTAAAAAATAAAATCAACAACCACCCAGAGAATAAGCTGCAAAGCAGTCTATATTATTTATAGCTACTTGTCCTCAACATGCATGTCAGAATTTGACTCTAACATATCGCATACCCAAGAATTGTGAAAATATCCAACAAAAGACTACAACTTTTAAGGGCCATTTTCAAGTAGCTATGCGAGCCTTTTTATGTTGTTCAAGTCAGTTTTTAAAAAATCCATTGCAGATATATTAGGCAGCATATCAATCCAACAAGAAAGCAGAGAGCCAATATCAGTAAATCAAAGTGTGCCTTTCTGTTAATACTCTCTCATATGTTCTCATTTTATACACCCCTTCACCCAGTCAGAAAGTGGCCCTGGAGTATTTAGGCTCCATTCAGGGATAGCACTACCATGCATCAAAGTGTCAAGAGACCTACCAGAGATGAAATCTGCAAATCTGTACTTCTAACCACCAAAAAAAAAAAAAAAAAAGTTTATCAAAGTAAATGTCACCAGTGGCCCAATACATGGACAACTTCCTATAAAGAGATTTAGAACACAATTCTTATTTCTTTGCAATATTAGGGCTGCATTTCCTTCTAGATGGCATGTAAAATCTGAGACAATGGGACAATCCTTTGCTGCAAATGGTAAGCCTCCTCCAAGCCAGAGCTGACAAGAGTGAGGGAAAGACTCTCTCCCGGAAACTCAAATCCAACAGTGAATTCTTCCCAGCCAAAACAAACAAATAAACACATTTAAAAAAAAACCACTCTCTATTATTCATACAGGACTGAATTCTAGCTGTTCAACCCTGTGAATAATAAATAGAATGAATCAACAGTTTCTAATTCACCTCTAATTTTTCTCCCAATTATTACAAGAGTTAAAAGTTAAGAAAAGCAGCAAAGATTCATATACTTTCTTCCCTCTCCCTCTTGGCACATGGCCACAAAACAAACGGATACTGTCAAGAATATATATGTTTATTTTACCCTACATGGTCCATTTCCAAAGGTCTTTCCCTTAAGAGGAGATTAAGAAGGACATATGCCTCATCATATTACCAAGATTCAACCTTAGCATCTGGCCACCAGCTTTAGGAATAATTTTCAGTAGAGGATAAATGTAAACAGTACTTTACTGGGGGTTAGGGGCCCTGTATTTCAACTGACACTGTCACTAACTAGTCATGTTATGCTGAATGGACCAATTTAATCTCTTTGAGTCTCAATTTTCTCGTTTATAAAATGTGGACAAGCCTTTGCTTGTCCTTACAAAATAAGGTAAAAATAGTAACTGTGTTATTATATATTAAGGCATTTTAGAATTTTTTTAATGCTGTAAAAATAGAAGGCATATTACTATCAAAAATCATATTTCACATGGTAAAAATCTTAAGCTCTGCTTGTACTAGGATTGGACAGTATTCACAGACTCCTATATTAGGTATTCATTTATATGCTACCCATATGCAAGCATTCTATATATAAAATGTCACCAATCTAAAAACCATTTTCACCTAACAGCTTTATTTTTTTCCCTGATTCATCTAGGCTGTCCAACATAAACAAAACTGTAAGCGAGGAATAAGTTTGGGCATGGACACACAGTTCATTAATTAGATTATAAACCAGTAAGTACAATTTCTGGCAATGGCGTGAAGCGAGAACAGGAAGAGTGAGTGTATAAAGTAAATAAAGCTTATCAGTTTTTAAATATCTATACAGTTGTTTTTAAATAAATACGCAAACATTACAATTATTTATGTACAAGTACACATAAACTCCCCCATTCATATTACCCCAGATAAATACATTGAATTGGAATTTACAGATTACAAGAGCATTTTTTTCTCCTTCAAAAGTAACTCTAGAACTAGAGCTAAACTATAGGTCAAAATGACACACGATATATTGGCCTGAGAACAATACTTTTCATTCAAATCCACACAAGCCTGCCACTTGCACTAGTCATCCCCAGCAATTAATCCCCCAAGAAAGACGTTTGATTAAATCTTTTCAAGCAAATCCTTTGCTTTGCTTTTGTTAGTTCACTTCTTGTCAACATCTATTAAAATATGCCTTTAATTCTCCCACAATCTTAAAAAACACCGATTCCACTGTCTTCAACTTTAATCAACTGTATGGCCGGCATTTTTCATTTCATAATAATGTGCTGCTTGGAATTCAAGAGGCAGGCTCAGCATCAATCATCTGGTAAGAATTTTTCCACTGCAATAAATATGCAAATGAGGAGAGCCAGTCAGTCGTATTTCAGGCCCGACTTGCTAGTGTTTTAAAAAAGACACAAATTTATTAATTGCCGGTGGCCAGAGGAATCCTATTACTTTGGGCATTGATTACAAAGCTGTGTGAGTGATTATTGTGCAACTCGCGGGCTACCCAGGCATGAGGAAAAATTATTAAAGCAAGGCAGAGATTATCAACTCAGAATAACAATAAGCCTTAACATTTAGGCCCTAACTTCTTCAACAAAGAATTGCGTGAAGGCTCCACTGTATCATAATTCCGAATTCTGTCAGTATTACTGTTTGGGCTTGTTCTATATTCCCCAAGCAGAATGGCGTTACCAGTAAGACAGAGGACTGCAGGTTACAAATTCCTCAACATCAACCATTTGGATAAGTTGCTATCATTTCCAACATATGGCCAACTAGAATTTCTAGATATCCAAGTGTATATACACATATACAGGTATATGTGTATATATATTCAGATTTAGATAAATGTGTGTGCTATTATGAGGACCATGGTTTTAACTGGAATAGTGTGAGGACTTCTGTCCCAGTTTGTTGGTGAGCTCTGCGGACTAAAAGTAGAATTTTTTTTTTATGGTACAAAATAACCACAAGGAGAACTTTTCAAAGCAGAATGTAGAGACTTATATTCTAAAATCATGAAGGCTAAGCCAAAAGCAGACGTGGGTTTTCATATCTCAGAGGGCACCACAGTAGAAGGCGTGCGATCTATGCAGGAGTGTATGGAGGAAACAACTTGATAGGCTAATTCTGAATGCAAAGTGTTTTTGTGAGAAACGTTCAACTCAAGATATATTAAATCAAATAAGAAAGAGGATTCAGTGGACAAAACTTATTTTTTTCTTTTAAGAGAATGATGTGGGGAATTGGGGGAGTAAGTACAAGTTGAAATAAGGGAATGCTGAAGAGACATATGATAAAATATATGTTGGGTGAGTCTCCTCATAGAAAGAAACAAAAAGAAAAAAAAATTCTTACCATTTTACATTACTGCCACACTAAGTAACATGATAGATAGTGTGCATTTGAGTTCTGTGGAGGGACATCCCACTCAAGCTGTAATTTCTGACCAGGCATGAATTTATAAGGAAGGGAAAAGAACTGCAGAATTTCTTAGGTTTCCCTGAATACTCTCTCAAATACCTTGATGAAGTATGTCAATAAATCCTTAAAAAGCCCTATAGGACACAGCAATCTAGCTGATCAATGTACTTCCTGAAATCTACTACAGTTACCTTCCACTTCACAGTTCCTAGACAACCTGCATCGCTACTGAGCACTTTGCCAAAAAGGAAAATTTACTCTCCCCCTTTAAACAGAAAAGAGTAAATGTTCAGAATATGAGATACTTAAAAACCAAGTTTATTTACAAGTACTGTAATTGTTTAAACTGTCTTACAGTAGTTACTCAGGGAGAGTGCGGATACTTTCATTTTTATTTGATATACTTTTGAACTGTTTGAATATTTTATAAGCATATATTACTTTTACAATTTAAAATTTTATTAAAATTTAAAATAAACTGTGAAGAAAGGAAACTTATTAAAAATAAAATTAGAACCACAATCCAAGTAACCCCTCTGATTTTTAAGAAGTCTCACTCTTTCATATTATAACGTCTTTAAAAAAAAAAACAGCCTCTGCTGTGGTGAAACTGTCTCTAAGCAAATGCCCAAATTCTCTCTATAGTATGGGTCTGGAAAAAACTGATGAAAATGGAGATTCAGAAAATACCTTTCTAAAACAGGGATTCCATGCAGAATTAATCACTCCTCTCTCAGGATTCTTCATATCGTTACAACACTTAACCATTTTGTGCTGTGTCTGATTTCACCACCTTAAAGCTGCTTCAGGGCAGCTTCAGCCTGTCATCCAGCATCCAACACATCACCTGGGCCATAAAAGGTATGCTACAAATGTTTTCTTCATTTAGAGAGATGTTGCCTAAGTCGCATGGCAGAATATGATCACACTACCACTTCCAAATCTAAATGCTGACAAACAAAATGTAGACTACATACTTCCTAACTTTAATATCAACTATGTATCTTCAACAAACTGACCTTTTGTTAAGCAAGTAGTCAAACAACATTTTCTTTATTTTAATATACCAACTATAAGATAATCGGGCTACTCCCGATTATCTTAGAGTGTCTCAAAACCATTTTGCCAGACAGAAATTTAAAAACAAAAACAATTAACAACTTTTGCTAGGCACATTACAATGCATTCTCCTGAAAATTTAGTAATTACCATCGCTTAAATTGAAACACTGAGACTCAGAAAATAAAAGATTGTTTTAATTGTGTTTCTTTTAATACTAGTAAGACTAAGGTTTGTTTATTCTCCAACTCAAAATGAAACACTTTGAGAGGTTGTGTTTACGTAAAAACACTTAAATGATGCTTTAAAAGCAGCTTCACCTTACTATGAGCTCCTTGAGAGCAGAAACTGTAAACTACTCACTTGGGTATGTTTGGTGTTGGCAAATGGTATTGAATGAATAACTGAAAAAGAAATAATAACATCCTAATATCTTCCTTGGTATGTACTTTTTACATGTGCATTTCAAGTCTTCAAAGAACTAGCTGTATGTATAGTACTGTCTTTATTCACCTAATCCTTTCAAGAAGAGGAAAACAAATACTGTGGCCCAAGAGCTATATCCTTAAAAGATTGTACCATCACTATTCAGATTAATAGTTAATACTCAGTAAGGACCTGCTAAGTACCACACACTCGCCTAAGCACTTTATATGTACTAATTCATTTAAGTCCTCTAACAATCCTTTGAGGTAGATACTATTATTGCATCACCATTTTACAGATACAGAAATTGAAACACTACTATAAGCTTAAAAAACAATTGCACAGTTTTCATTTTCTAGATCAATGTACCCTTGAGGGTTATGTATCAAAACTATCTGGGAAACAGAGTGTAATGAAATTTTCAATTACTAAAAAAATGACAAAACTTCCCTCCCCAATACCATCACATGATAAAAAACACAAGTGAGATTCTGTTAAAATGTCATGTCCAAACTTGATTCCCACACTTGAAAAAACAGTGGAGACACTAAAGGAAGCCCACATCACATGGATGGAAAGCAGGTCCAGTAAGGCAAGATAAAGCAATACTTGCTGAATTTGAAAGAAGAATGTTAACAAATGGATTAATAGTCTCCAAAATTCAAAAGCCCATGTACATCAGAGAAGATGCTTAGCTTTACTAATAAAAATAATTTTTTAAAGAAAAACTTAAAACAGTGGGATATTTTTCTGATAATGCTTGATGCTGGCAAAAACGTGCCGAAAGGGGCACTCTGCGTACACAACTGATGAGTTTAGTTAGCATGACATAGCCAGAAAGCAATCTGGCAAAACGTATCAAAGTTTTATATATGCCTAGCTCCTGACCTACTGTTCTTCTAGAAACTAACCCTCAGGAAATACTTTTAAAGCAAAGAGGTAGGTACAAAAATGTTATTTGCAGCATTGTTTATAATAGGTAGAAACTGCAAACATCTTAAGTGTCCATTTATAGGGGACTACTTAATTTTAGTTTAGCCAGGTAACTTTTTGTGCAGCTGTTGAAAAGGATTAGTATAAAATGGAACTTGGCTTAAGTAAACCAAACTATAAAAAACTTTTTGGGATAAACGAAGTAAAGTGAATATGAAGTACGCATACAGTATTAGGAATATTAATTTAGTTAGGTGAGATGACAATGTTACTAAGAAACATCCTCATTTTTTAGAGCTATAAACAGAAATATTTAGAGGCAAATGGCATGATTGTAATTTACTTTAAAACGCTTCAAAAAGAAAAAAAAGCAAATATAACAAACATTAATTTTAACGAAAAAAAAGACCTGCAGGCATTGACATGGGAAGATGTAAAGCATAATTTCATTTATGTTTTGAAAAAAGTTTATATTGACACAAAGTATCTGGAAGTCAGATAAATTATTTAAAATGGTTATCTCTAGAGGACACTTTTACGAGTGGGAAAAATAATACTTTCACAATCTACGTTACATATTTCACTAAGTATTGTTGGGCAGGAAGAAACAGACTCAGTACTGTCTGAAAGAAAATAACATCTCACAACAAACAAGTTTTACTTTTATTATTTTTTAAGGCAATTAAGATTAAACTTCAACAATACAAAGAGGTCTTCTGAGGTAGATATAATTCCAGAAAACCAAACAAGAAGAAACAGATTAAAGCAAAAAAAAGGAGAATTAGAGTGGCATTAAGGTTGACTGACAAGAAGATCATCTATCCCTAGAACCAGTTCAAAATTTTCCCTGTTTGATTCACAAAAGAAATAGCAAGGACCAATAAATGTAAGGGAGCAAAAATGTTTATCTTCATTAAACATTGGGAAATGTAAATTAAAATAACAGATACCATTTCCCAGATACCACTTGTCAAAGTGACAAAGATGAAACAAAATTATTGTATCCGATGTTGACAAGGATAAGGAAAACTGACACTCATATAAAAAGGTGAGCATGTACAAATACAACTTTTCTGGAAGGCAACTTGGCCATATAGATAAAAAGCCTTAAAATTTTGCATATTCTTAGAAAATATACTAATTCCACATTTAGAGATTTATGCAACAAAGTAAGTATGCATATGAGTAAAGATTTACTAATAATGATGTTTACTACATCATTTATAAAAATGAAAACCTGGAAACAATCCAAATGTCCAACAATAAAGAACTGGTTAAACTATCCACACAATGGAAACTCTATGCTATCATTAAAAATAATGCTATAGAACAATATTTAATGACAAGGAAAAATATTCATAATTTCTGTTAAGTAGAAAGAAATGGACTGCAAAACAAATTACAGAATAGAGTCCCATTTTTGTTCTAAGTACATAGCCACTGAGAAGAAAAACCTAGAAAAGATATTTACCATGTACCAAAATATTAAAAATACTTAACTCTTAGCTGCTAGGATTAGGGAAGAAATATTTCCTTAATTTTGCTTGGCTATTTTCTGTCTTTTCCTTTTTTTTTTTTTGAGATGGACTCTCGCTCTGTCGCCCAGGCTGGAGTGCAGTGGCACGATTTTGGCTCACTGCAACCTCCACCTCCCAGGTTCAAGCGATTCTTCTGCCTCAGCCTCCCGAGGCAGGGATTACAGGCGTATGCCACCACGCCCAGCTAATTTCTGTATTTTTAGTAGAGACAGGGTTTCACCACGTTGGCCAGGCTGGTCTTGAACTCTTAACCTCTAGTGATCCACCTGCCTCGGCCTCCCAAAGGTCTGGGATTATAGGCGTAAGCCACCGTCCCCAGCCTGCTTGGCTATTTTCTAAATTTTATATAAGGAATACATATTGTATTTTTATAATTTATCATGAGAAAAAAACATTATTTATCACCTAAAAAATGGTCTTACCTGCCTAAAGGAGAAGGAACTAGATCAGCTGACCCCCTGAAAGTCTAACTCTTAGTGAATGAAACAGTATCCAGGAAATAGCATCTTTAGAAAAACTGAAGGACATGTCTACTTCTTGTGCTCTAAGCCTTCTGTTCTATAACAAATTCATCTCCATATTTCTCCTGCCTTCATTGCTTTAAGCTGTGACATTTATTCCATATCTATGTTTCTTCATACTCTCTTTGAAAAGGGGAGAAAACCCTCAGATGAAAAGAGTTAAGTTAAACCATATGCATAGTGAGTGGGCAGTGTGGCCAAGAGCAACGTTTGTGAGGCACAGCAGACCTCAGTTTCTACACTGGCTTTGCCTCTCACCAATTGTGTGACTGTGTTGTACACAGTCCTTTAAAAAAAGGATAAATCCTTTAAAATCCTTTAAAAAAAGGATTTACTTTCTACTTTTTCACCATAGCCCCCTCTTTTGAATAATTTGTTCCTATTTTGGTACAATGTATCCTTAAGGAGTTTCAATGAGTTGTGAAATAATTGTTACTCACAAGCAAAAAGAAAGGAAAAAAGAAAGAAAGAAGAAAAGAAAAAGCAGGATTAACTGCAATTGCCCTTACAACTGAGAAACTTGCATCTTGCACTTTCACCATGTAAATAATGCACAGATCCTGCGGGAACATGCCAAACACCAAGATTCTTAATTAATGGAGCTCTTTAATGTGCAAATCAGGAACAAATTGCAAGTTCTGACTTGCATTGATTATGAAAACATTAATTGAATGAGCAAGACCCTAAAAAAGACAGAATCCCGAGTCTTCCAAGAGACAGAAAGAATACAAAGCTCTGGAAACCAGACAAGTCTGACCAATGTCTAAAATGTAAACCTAAAACTGAGTGTTCTCACTAGTAAACAATGAATTAAAAAACAAGAAACAAACAAAAAACCCCAACAGTTTCATCAGACAGCAATCATGATAAATGCATCTATTACACTATCATCTTGCATTAGGAAAAAAAAAAAAAAATGTTTACTCCAGAAGCTTACAGACACTGCTTTAAGAGGGGGAAAAAAACACTTTCTATACACACACACTTACATGTATATAGGTGTAACAAAACAATGCTGTCTCTTTAAAAAAAAATTCATCCTATATAAATTATAGCCATAAACTTTTCCTGCAGTGCAGCCTAATTAATTCTTGTTCTATACACAAAGGGAAATGCTGGGTGACAAATGGGTGTGAAGCCAGAAAGCTGCCAGGTCTGCAAAACATTTTCTACTTCAATTTATAAGCAATTTTGCAGTAAATCATCAACCAGAACCTGGAATCTCAGGAATCTCTGAGTGTCCAAACCACATTATATCACTTATCAAAGAGAGAAGGAAAAAGAGTTTAAAGACATCTCATTTTTCAGTTCTAACCCACATCAAAATCTAGAAGCTCTGTGTAATCTATTATTCTCTTCTGGGTAAGGTTTCAGTACCAAGGATATATATTTCAAGCAAAAATGACACTATAGGTTGATGTGGCCCATTCCTCTATCCCTAGAAGTACTGTATCATGTATCCATTACCATAAGAAATATTCCCAGAGTTATCTGGGAATAAGCACACATATACCCCCTCCCTCAATCCAAGCAAAACGTACACAACAATCAAGCCAGGCTGAAGGGTTCAACAGAGAGCCACTGTGGAAAACAGGTGGAAAATACTCCAAGGAAACAAGATTAGTGGAGAGGAAAATAGAAACTCATAGAAAACAAAGAAGAAAGCTGGGCTGCCTCTTTGCACTCGGACCTTTCTCCCATTCCTAATCCATGGTAGCCACTGATCTGTCCCAATAATTTTACCTTTTCCAGAATGTCATATAAATGGAATTTCCAAGTATAAAATCTTTTGAGGCTGGCATATTTCACTTAGTATAATACCCTTGAGGTTCATCCACGTTTTTGCATGTATCAATAGTTTATTCCTTTTTATTGCTGACTAATGTACAATTTGTTGCACATTTGGACATTTGGGCTGTTTCCAGTTTTTGGTGATTATAAATAATGCTGCTATGAACGTGCATGTACAAGACTTTGTGTGAATGTATGTCTTCATTTTTCTAGGGCAGATATCTAAGACAGAGACTACTGGATCAGGCTCGTATGATGAATATATGTTTAGCTTTATTTAAAAACTGCCAGACTGTTTTTCCAAAGTGGCTGTACTATTTTGCATTCCCATCAGCAATGTATGAAAGCTCCAGTTGCTCTACATTCTTCCCAGCACTTGGTGTTGTCAGGTGTGTATTTGTGTTTGGCCTAATAGGTATGTAGAGGTATCTCCTTGTGGTTTTAATTTGCATCTTGCTAAACATTAATGATTAAGTTAAATCTCTTTTCATGTGCTTATTTGCTATCATATATTGTCTTTGGTAAAGTGTCCAATCTTTTGCCCATTTTTTTTTGAATGGGTATTTTTTATTGTTGAGTTTTGAGAGTTCTTTATACACTCTGGACACAAGCTGATTGTTAATTATGTGATCTGCAAACATTTCCTCTTGGTCTATAGCTTATCTTTTCATTATTTTAACATATCTTTCACAGAGCAAAAGATTTTAATTCTGATTTGGCCCAATTATCAATTTGTTCTTTTATGGATTCTGTTTTTGATATTGTATTTAAAAACTCTTTGCCTAACCCAATGACATAGAGTTTTCTCCCATATGTTTTTCAAAACACTTTATGATTTATATTTAAGTTAATATAAATTGACTGTCTTGTGTTAATTTTTATATCAAGTATGAGGTACAGGTTGAAGTTTTTTTTTTGCAAATGAGTGCACAATTGTCCCAGCACCATTTGTTGAAAAGACTATCCAGGCCGGGAATGGTGGCTCATGCCTGTAATCTCAGCACTTTGGGAGGCCGAGGCAGGAGGGCAGGAGTTCGAGACCAGCCTGGGAAACGTAACAAGACCTCATCTCTAAGAAAAATAAAGAAAATTTAGCAGGCCATGATGGCATACACCTGCAGTCCCAGCTACTCAGGAGGTTAGGGTGGGAAGACTGCATGAGCCAGGAGCTCAGTGCTGCAGTGAGCCATGATCGTCACTGCATTTCAGCCTCCACAAAAGAGGAAGACACTGTCTCTTAAAAAAAAAAAAAAAAAGAAAAAAGAAAGAAAGAAACTATCCATTCTCCACTGACTTGACTGACTTGACTTTGCACCTTTAAAAGTCAACTGCCCATTATTTGTATGAATTTGTTTCAGAACTCTCTATTCTATTCCACTGATTAAGGTAACTTTTTTAAAAAGTAACTTTTAAAAGGAGTAAACCCACAAAAGAAAGGCAAAGAATGAGAGACAGGATAGCAACTCAGTTCTGTAACCTACCTATACAATTATTAGAATGTTTAAAATTAAGAACATACCAAATGTTCTGAGGAAGTGGAGCAACTAGAAATCTCATACACTGCTGGTGGGACTGCAAAATGGTATAACCACTTTGGAAAATAGCTTGGCAGTTTCCGAAGTTAAACATGCATTTACCATGCGACTCAGCCATTCTATTCTTAGCTACCCAAGAGAAATGAAAGTCTATGTCCATATAAAAACATCTATACAAATGTTTGTAGCAGATTTATTTGTAATAGCCAAAAACTGGAAACAAAACAAATTGTGGTATATCCATACAATGGGATACTACTCAGCAACAAAAGGCAATGAACTACTGACACAAGAAAAAATATGGAGGATGCTCAAAATAATTATGCTGAGCAAAAGCCAGACTAAAAAGGATACAAACTGTATAATTCCACTTATATAGATTTCTAGAAAATGCAAACTAACCCATAGTGACAGCAGATTTAGTGGTTGCCTAGGGACAAATAGGGAAGGCCAGGAGGGAAAGATTATAAAGAGGCTGAGGAAACTTCTGGGGATGAGGAATATGTTCATTATCTTGACTGGTGATGGTTTCCCGGGTGTATATAAATGTCAAATTACACACTGGACATATGGGCAATTTATTATGTCAATTATATCTCAACAAACCAGTTTTTGAAAAAGCAAATGGACAAATAATAACTGACTTAGCTAACCTAAGCAAGATGACTGGGGTGCTAGCAATGAAGAATCAGATGCAACCTCACTTACAGTCCAGAAACAGAATGCAGAGGACTCAGGAACTGGCAGTGCCCAGCACCTCTAGAAAAGGAGATCAAAGCAGGCCTAAAAACAAGTGGAGCAGTTAAAATATCATATCTTCTTATTTAGACAAAATTTAGAGGTTTATCCTTGAAGAGAGCTAAAGAGAGGGTCTCTGGACAGGGAGATTCCAGATCATAGTTGAGGGCAAAGGCATAATATTGAAAACAGGGGGACTAAGCTGAAGTTTACAGACTGAATGCCTAGATCCCCAAGCCTACCCACCTCCTAGAATGTTGGCCACCAGGCAGGAAACTGGAAGTCCTCTAGATTTTGATCTCATAAAGAGCAAAGATCTAAAGACACTGCCATTGGGAGTTCTTCCAAAATGGTGCAGATAGATTGCTTTACAATGGAAACCATAGACAAAAAGCCCCATCCAACATACAAAGTTCCCAATCAACTTTTTGGTATGATACACTTAAAAATCAACAGAGACCGCAGAGGATCACCAAAAATCCAAGAAAAACATGTAACATGTTACACAGGAGTTAAAGCGAAAGCAAAAAAACAACAACAAAAAAAGCAGCTTAGAGGAAACAGACTATGCAGGAAGAACACATACAAAAATACATAGGCCAGGCGCTAAAGTTCACATCTGTAATGTCAGCGCTTTGGGAGGCTGAGGCAGAAGGATCGCTTGATCACTCGAAGCCAGGAGTTCAAGACCAGCCTGGGCAACACAGCAAGACCTCATCTCTACTAAAAATAAAAAATAGCCAGATGGGATGGCATGCACCTGTAGTCCTAGCTACTCAGGAGGCTAAGGCAGGAAGATAACCTGAGCCCAGGAGTCTGAGGCTGCAGTGAGCTATGATCACACCACTGTACTCCGGTCTAGGTGACAGAGTGGGACCTTCTCTTGAAAAAAGAAAAAAGAAAAAAACCCAAACAATAAAATAAAATAAAATAAAAATATGATAGAAGAGGCCATCCACGGTAGCTTACGCCTATAATCCCAGTGCTTTGAGAAGTCAAGGCAGGTAGATCACCTAAGCTCAGGAATTTAAGACAAGCCTGGCCAACACAGCAAAACCTCATCTCTACAAAAACTACAAAGAATTAGTTAGGCGTGGTGGCGTGCACCTGTAGTCCCAGCTACTTGTGGGGCTGATGCAGGTGGATTGCTTGAGCCCAGGAGGCCAAGGCTGCAGTGAGCCGAGATCAAGATCAAGCCTGGGTGACAAAGTGAGAGCCTATCTCAAAAAAAAAAAAAAAAAAAAAAAAAAAAAGAAAGAAGGAAAGAAAGAAAAAGAAAAAAGAAAAAAATAGAAGAAAATTTTAAAAACTCAATAGAAAGTACTGAAAATAAAGCTGAGGAAATGTCTTAGAAGAGAGAGGGAGGGATGAAAAATTGAAGAGAAAAAGAATCACAGAAACAGTCTGATGCCAAGTAATAGGCCTTCCAGAAAGAGAGAGGACAGAGAGAAAGGAAACACAGGGGAGATAGTAAAAAACAAAATAATTTCAAGAGGATTTTCCAGGACTGAAAGATATGAATTTCTAGATTGAAAAGGCCCTCCAAGTGCTCCAGACAACAGACAAAAACAGATCTACGCTACGGTGCATCATTATGAAATTTCAGAATTCTGTGGACAAAGAAAAGTCTGCAGTTTCCAAAAAGAAAAAAAAAAAAAAAAAGGCAAGGTCTGGAATCAGAACAGCTTCTGACTTACCAATTGCAACTTTAGAAGCTGAAATACAATGTAACATTCTATAGAATTCTATATACAAACCATCAATTGTGATGATAGAATAAAGGTATTTTAAGACAACTGAAGTCTAAAAAAATTTACCTCCCACACACCCCTTCTCAGCAAGCTATGAGAGGATGTGCAACAAAAATTGGAAGTAGCCAAGAAAGACTCTGGAATAGGAGATCCACAGAAGCAAGAAGCTAAGGTAACACCCAGGATGACGGTGAAGGCACATCCCAGCATGACAGCTGGACACCTGAGAAGGTGAACAGGCCAGATGACAGCAGGTCGAAAAGCTCTGGGAGAGACTTAAGGAACATCAACTGGCACAATATTTGATGCAACTTTAGACTTGAGAAGAGATTTAGCTAACTGGAGAAAAGTTTGGGCTTGAATTACTACACAGAAAACTCAAACAAAAATGTAACAATCAACTCTAGAAAACAAAACAATGTGTGGGAAAGGAAAATAATCATAGTGTATTTATTACATGGCTCAGCTGTGAAAAGTGTTTACAGACATAATAATGTAAATACTGAACACTGATCTAACCAAACTACAATATAACCACAAAGGGACAAATTAATAACATAACCAGAAAGTATGCATGAGTGTAGTAGGAATAAGAGCTAAATCTTCATTTTTATAAAGGGGAGTCAACAAGTAATGCCTAAAACTGAAAAGTCAAGTAGAAACAAACCATGTTAATTAGAGAAACCCATGGATTCAAAACAAAAAACAAAAAAAGATATAACAAAATAACTTAAAATTGTTGCTTCAGGAGAAAGGGTTATGGCACAGAAGTGATACACCCAAGCAGCAGACTACTGGTTTTCATAACAAGCTTCCTAGAATTATCTGACTCTTTAAATTGTATATAGGTATTGGATACAAATTTTAAAATGAGGGCACAGTGGCTCATGCCTGTAATCCCAGCACTTTGGGAGGCCAGGGCAGGAGGATCACTTGAGGCCAGGAGTTTGAGATCAGCCTGGGCAACATGGTGGGCAACCCCATCTCTACCTCCTCCCCTCCCCTGCCAAGAAAGGAAAATGTCCAAGATAAACAAAACATCTGGTTGAGACAGGAACAATTCCAGGAATTAAAATGACTTTACCACAACAACAACAAAACTTTAAATTTACATCCTATACTCTTATTAATTATACAGAAAAGGAACACTCAGGAATCAAAAGACCCCTTAAAGATTAAAAATATGATTTAAAATGAAAACTTCAGGGTGGGCATGGCGGTTCACACCTGTAATCCCAGCATTTTGGGAGGCTGAGGCGGGAGGATCACTTGAGCCCAGGAGCTCAAGACCAGCTTGGGCAACACAGTGAGACCTCATCTCTACCAGAAATTTTTTTTAAATTAGCCAGGCACAGTGGCACACACATGTAGTCCCAGCTACTTGGGAGGCTGAGGCAGGAGCATCACTTGAGCCCAGGAGTCTGAGCCTGCAGTGAGTTATGATCACATCACTACACTCCAGCCTGGGCAACACAGCAAGACCCTGTCTTACAATAAAATAAAATATGTACTCAGCAGCTTAAAAATAACAACTTAAAAAATTGATTTTTTTAAAAAAAATCTGGAAATCAGCTTCAAAAATCTTTCGGAACATAAACATGGTAAAATCACAAAAAGATGGAAAATGTTAAATAACACATAAGAGACACAACACTAATTCAGGCTTAAAATCTAGGAGAACAGAGAAAATGGAAGGAAGAAAATTATTAAAGAAATATTAGAAAAGATTTTCCCAAAACTGAAGGACCCCAGTCTTCATACTTACTAAGGTAAATGTTTAGCATAATAAATAAAAAATGACCCATACTTAGACATCTCTTCAGGCAATTTCAGAAAATCAAGAATAAAGACAGCCTGGGGAACACTGCAAGACCCCATCTCTATAAAAAAGAAAAAAGAAAAAAATTAGCTGGACGTGGTGGCACGCACCTGAGGCCCAGCTACTTGGGAGGCTGAAGTGGAAGGGTCACTTGAGCCCAGGAGTTCGAGGCTGCAGTGAGCCATGATTGCACCACCACACTCCAGCGTGGGCAAGAGATGAAGGCCCTCTCTCAATAAAAAATAAAAATACAAGAAAAAATAATGAAGAGAAGATCCCAAACATGTCCAGAGACCAAAAATAAGTCATCTACAAAGGAATGAGATTCATACCTTGTCACTGGAAAACACTGGGATGGTAGAAGACAATAAGGCACATAGTAGGCTGAATAATGGTCCCCCAAAGATATCTACATCCTAAACCCCAGACATGTGAATGTGGCTTTGTCAGTAACATATTAAAAAGTCAAAAGGACTTTGCAGATATAATTAAGGATCTTGAGATTATCCTGGATAAGCCAGGTGGTCCAATGTGATCTCAAGGGTCCTTATAAGAGGAAGGCAATAGGGTCAGAGTCAGGAAAGGAGAGGTTGGAGAGATGGAATTGCTGGTTTTAAAGATGGAAGAGGACCATGAGCAAAGAATGTGGCCGCCTATAAAAGCTGGAAAAGGCAAGCAAACAGATTTCTCCCCTAGAGCCTCCAGGAACAAAGCCCTGCTGACACCTTGATTTTAGGACTTGTGACCTCCAGAACGATACGATAATCAATGTGTGCTGTTAAGTCACCAAGCTTGCGGTAATTTGTTACAGCAGCAAGAGGAAACCAGTAACAGGCAATACTTTCTAATTCTGAGGGAAAGTAATTTTCAATCTAGAAAGGTCTACCCAATCAAACAAGAATACATCAATGAGGAATGAGGGCACAGTATTTTCAAACCTACAAGAACTCAGATAACTTACTCTGGATGCATGTTTGGCAGCAAACTGACAGTAAACTGAGATAACAAAAGAGAGCCTGAAAACCCGAAAGCGGTAGCTCTCCCCAGAAGAGCAATGAAAGGCCCAAGAGCACAGCTGTGCACTACTCCTAGAGAACAACCAGCTCAAAATGGAAAATTTAACACAAGAGATGGCATGATGTAAAGTTTAGGAAAAAAAGGATTGAGATGATAAAACTGAGCTACAGTGGGGGGGAGGGGGGCAAAAGGGAAAAAATAAATAAATAGGAAGCGAACTGAAAATAGCATGATTTTAAGCAGGTAATGGAGAGCAACTAAAAACTTGAACTAAACTAGGAATATTCTCCTTTGAGTGGCCTAGGAGCCATGACTGAAAAAACAGGGAAGAAAACACAATTTTCCAATTCTTCCCTGTCCTAGTAGTCTACCTTATTTACATGGTAATACACTGTAAATGCAGTTTATTGGTTTTTGTTTTGTTTTGTTTTAAAGACAGTCTTGCTCTTTCACCCAGGCTGGAGTGCGGTGGCGCAATCTTGGCCCACCGCAACCTCCACCTTCTGGGTTCAGGTGATTTTCCTACCTCAGCCTCCTGAGTAGCTAGGATTACAGGCACCCGCCACCATGAGATGGTCCACATTGCTATCTAAGGCACTCCTGTGCACTGGCCCATCTCCACTCCATCCCCACTCACCCACTATAGGACACTGTGACAACAGATGTCCCCCTCTCCTGCATCATCAATTTCCCCCTCTCTGCTGGGTCACTCCTATCAACATGCAAACACGCTGATACTTCACCTTAAAAAAAAAAAAAAAAAAAAGCAAAACACCCCTCTTTTGACCACATCCTTCACCATCCAATGCCCCATTTCTCTGCTCCCCTTTAAAGCAACAACCCTTCAAAGAGTTGCCTATACTTTACTATTTCATTTTCCCCATTCTCTTTTTTTGTTTCTTTTTTAAAATTAATTTTTAAAAATTGAGACAGGGTCTCACTGTGTTGCCCAGGCTGGTCCTGAACTCCTGGGCTCAAGTGATCTGCCCATCTTGGCCTCCCAAAGTGCTAGGGTTACAGGCGTGAGCCACTGTGCCCAGCCACTCCATTCTCTCTTAAACCCATTCCAGTCAAGCCTGTAAGCCTACTAGCCTGCCAAACTCCATCAAGGTCAAGGATGCCCACCATGTTGCTAGATAAGTCAGTTCTCAATCCCCATCTTACTTCCATTAGCAGCAGTCTCACCTTTCATATCAGAGAATAAATAAATCAAGACAGAGATATAAAGAAATTATCTAAAGTTACAGAAGTAAAACAAATAAAATGAGACTGAATGTCAGTCAAAGGAGTACTGTCTTCCTGAAGGCTTCTGTATATTTATCTTACTCCTGTGTGATTTTAAAAAAACAATTTAAGAACAGGTTTTAAGACATAAACAATAGAGTATCATCTTATGCAGCAGTTGGGTTCTAAAGTCTAAGCATAAAGCAAAAAATCAAGTTTTGACAAAACCACTTTGAAAATCCCTTATATTGTACATAATGTGTGGCATTGTGCTATCTTTCAATAAGTTCAACACAGCCAGTCTTTCCCCTCTAACATTAGCCCATACAGCACTTTGTCAATTAAACACAGATGATTCAATTTAGGGACCGTCCTGTACAAAGACTGCATGTTGTAACTTTAAGCACTAGATTGATATTCTGTTGATCGATGCTCACTAAAGAGGTACCCAAGAACAAAAAATAACCAAGGCAATAAAAGAATCCACCTGCCATCTCATGCATACCCTACGCTCACTGAATAAAGTGGCAGGCAGAATTATTGGCACTATATAAACAGTTTCTCTCTCCTTGGTTTTTGTTTTGTTTTGTTTTGTTTGAGACAGAGTTTTGCTCTTGTCAGGCTGGAGTGCAATGGTGCGATCTTGGCTCACTGCAATCTCCACCTCCCGGGTTCAAGCGATTCTCCTGCCTCAGCCTCCCGAGTAGCTGGGATTACAAGCATCCGCCACCACTCCCGGCTCATTTTTTGTATTTTTAATAGAGAGGGGATTTCACCATGTTGAACTGGTCTCGAACACCTGACCTCAGGTGATTCGCCTGCCTCGGCCTCCCAAAGTACTGGGATTACAGGCATGAGCCACAGTGCCCAGCCTCTCCCTCTTTTTCTTTTGGCCAGGCACATATAGTTACGTTTGAGTTAATTAAATGTACATATAAAGAGGTTCCATTGTGCAATGATATGTACAACTTCACCATGAATATAGTGACACAGTGATCCTACTATGGAGCTACTAGCTACTCCAAGTCAGGGCTACTTTCTTATCTAACTCATTACTATTAAAAATTATTTTTCTGAGCTACTCTGGGCCACTCTGCCTATGGGATAGCCCTGCTCTGTCTATGGAGCAGTCAAAAAAAAAAAAAAATTGTTTCTGATGCTGAAGACAACTCTCACTCCTAAGAAACCCAACCCCAAAACAGTGAAATGCATTTTCTAGCTAGATTGGTATCAGTAGTTTTTAAGCTGCCCTTAGCTCACACAGGTCTGTGACCCATTTAGGGCTTATACTCTTAGGGTAGGTAGAATCAGTGCATAAGAATCTGACACTCCCCTCCTCATTCCACCACTTGGTGACTTTGGAAAAGTTCTTGCTCTGTGATCCAGCTTTACTCTCTACATTATATAAATGCCTAATTAACTAAGTTGGACAAAGTAGTAGCTCAAAAGGGACAAAAAGTCTTCCTACACAGAACTCACTCTCTAATAAATAGATAAAACACTGCATATGTTATTTCAGTGCTAACAGGTATTATGTAAATACCAAACAGAAACTTATCAAGAAATGATTGCCTTCATTTCCCACCTACAGTTTAGCAAAAAGAAGATCAATAATACCTAGTGGAGGCAGGAGTGTAGGAAAACAACTGTTACAGATGAGAATTTAAATTGTTACAATTCTTCCAGGGGCTAGTTAGGCAATATATTCCAAAAGCCTTTTTAAAAAAACAATGTACAAGGCCCAGCACCGTGGCTCACGCCTGTAATCCCAGCACTTTGGGAGGCTGAGACAGGCAGATTACCTGAGGTCAGGAGTTCAAAACCAGCCTGGCCAACACAGTGAAACCCAGTCTCTACCAAAAACACAAAAATTAGCCAGGCACGGTGGTGGATGCCTGTAATCCCAGCTACTCAGGAGGCTGAGGCAGGAGAATTGCTTAAACCCGGCGGGGCAGAGGTTGCAGTGAGCCGAGATCCTGCCATTGCACTCCAGCCTGGGCGACAAGAGTGAAAACTCTGTCTCCAAAAAAAAAAAAAATCAATGTACAAGTCCTTTGTCCCAGCAACTACATTTCCAGGGAATATAGATCTGGGCAATATGATACAGTATCCACTAGCTACACGTGGCTACTAAGCACTCAAAATGTGTCTAGTCCCAATTGAGATGAACTGTGATTATAGAATATACTCTGGATTTCAAAGACTTAACATGAAAAAAGGAATGTAAAATATCTCATTAAGATTTTTATATTGATCACATATTGAAATTATAATATCTTTGATATATTGGGTTCAATATGTCTAAAATTAATTTTAACTGTTTCTTTTTTAAAATGTGGTTATTAAAAAATTTTAAATTACATGTGGCTTGCATTATATTTCTACTGGACAGTGCTATTTTTAGACAAACTGCACAAATATGTATGTACAAGGATGTTTATTAAAGCATGTTTTATACAAGTGAATAGCTAGAATAAACCTAAGCACCCATCAATACAGATTGGTTAACTAAATTGCAGTAAATCTATAAAAAGGAATACTTCAACTCCTAAAAATGCTGATGTACATCTAAATATACTGACATGAAATATTAAGTAGGAAAAATAAGCTTGAAAATAGTACATACTTATATGATTCCATTTTCTGTTTTAAAAAGTGTGTGGTGTGTGTGTGTGTGCACGCGAAAAGGTCTGGAAGGATATTCATCAAAATGACAACTATGGTTATCTCTGGGCAGTAGGATTACAGCTAATCCTTATTTTCTTCTTTATGCTTCTATGTATTTTCCGATCTTTGAAATAAGCATGACATACTTTTATAATTAGAACACTGAAGCTATTTTAAAAAATGATAGCCATCAGCTGAAGCAAAAAGATCAATCTTACTCACATCATCTTGGCTAGATGAAGTCTGCAGCAATAAGGGTCCTTAAGCCTACACAATGTTACAATTAGAGGGGGTTGCAAGTGCCTTTATCCCAAGCAATACTTAAACCCATCCCAAGTAATTAAAAATATTTCAAGGTTCTACAGAACATTGTGAGAACTTTGCCAAGAACCCATAAAGTGTTAACTGAGAGAACTCCGAAATAATCATTTATGGATTTGTCACCTAAGGCAACTAAGTAATTTAAAAGGGGGGGATTTCAGTGATAAAATTGGTTGCCTGTGGGACAGGGTACTGGGCGGCAGGGGTACAGGATTATCACTGTATATATAGTCTTTAGTATTTTTGAATTTTGAACTATGTGAATGTACTGCCTACTTAAAAATAAGTAAAACTTTAAAAACAAAACATTATCAAGACTCCATGATTTCCCACAGCTTACGCAAAATTTAAAACATTATTATTTAAGGTATCTATTATTGCTGAGGACAAATTACCATTAAAAATTTTAGTCTAGCCGGGTGCAGTGGCTCATGCCTGTAATCCCAGCACTTTGGGAGGCCGAGGCGGGTGGATCTTGAGGTCAGGAGTTCAAGACCGGCCTGGCCAATATGGTGAAACCTCGTCTCTACTACAAATACAAAAATTAGCTGGGCGTGGTGCTGCATGCCTGTACTCCCTGCTACTCCGGAGGCTGAGGCAGGAGAATCACTTAAACCCGGGAGGCAGAGGTTGCAGTGAGCCAAGGTCGCACCACTGCACTCCAGCCTCGGCGACAGAGCAAGACTCCATCTCGGGGGGGGAAAAAAATTTTAGTCTAGTCAAGTCAAAATAATTGGGGCTTTTGGGCAAGGACCACAAAGATATGAGAGTGTAAGTATGAAATGGGAAGATAACAGGGTGCAAACAAAATATAATTTATTAATAGTGAAATCTGTTTTCATACTCTTAGGAAAGTAAAAAATCTTAATACTTTCTCTGTATTTATATTACATTATGCTGTGTTCTTGGATGTTTTGCTTACGGGAAATATCAAAATGACAACCATTGTTTCTATTAAAGGTCTTTAATGATATTGCATTTTAGACCTGTAATGAAACATGGTGCTCACTGCAGTTTGTAATGCATCTCATTAAATACATTAATAACATGCATTGCACTAAAAGGTCAACTTATTATGACTGAAGTTTAGCTTTCCTTTAATCACTTCATTTAAAGCTATAGAGCAAACTCTGAAAAAGACAGTAGAGTACCCGTTACAGAAATACTCTCTAGGACCTTTTGCCTTAAAGAAAAGAAAAAAAACAAAAAAGACATTTACTTACAATTTTCCCACCCATCCAAATCAGTCATGTTTTTTGTTTGTTGGTTTGTTTGTTTTCTTGAGACAGACTCTCGCTCTGTCACCCAGGCTGGAGTGCAATGGCATGATCTCTGCTCACTGTAACCTCTGCCTCCTGGGTTCAAGCAATTCTCCCACCTCAGCCTCCTGAGTAGATGGGATTACAGGAACCCACCATCATGCCTGGCTAATTTTTGTACTTTTGTAGAGACGGTGTTTCATTATGTTGGCCAGGCTGGTCTTGAACTCCGGACCTCAGGTGATCTGCCCACCTTGGCCTCCCAAAGTGCTGGGATTACAGGCATGAGCCACCACACCCAGTCTGTATGTTTGTTTTTTTTGAGACGGAGTTTTGCTCGTTGCCCAGGCTGGAGTGCAGTGGCGCAATCTCGCCTCACTGCGACCTCCACCTCCCGAGTTTAAGAGATTTTCCTGTTTGGCCTCCTGAATAGCTGGAATTACAGGTGCCCGCCACCACACCCAGCTAATTTTTTGTATTTTCAGTAGAGACGGGGTTTCATAATGTTGGTCAGGTTGGCCTCGAACTCCTGACCTCAGGTGATCCACCTGTCTTGGCCTCCCAAAGTGCTAGGATTACAGGCATGAGCCACCACACCAGGCCAGTTATGTTTATTAAGAAATTACTGTTAATGTTTTTACATGAGATTATGGTATAATTTTTTAAAATCCTTATCTTTTGAACATACATGCTGAAAATTTTACTGATGAGAGAATGTGTATTATTTGCTTCAAAATAATCCAGAAGGTGAGCAGAGTTGGTACAACTACAGATGAAATAAGATTGACCATGAATTGATTATTGCTTAAGCTGGTGAAGGCATGTGGGGGTTCACTGTGCTATTTCTCTACTTTTATATAAGTTTGATATATCCCATAATGAAAAGTTTTAAATAACTCATGGTGAGATTTCCTTAAGTAACTTCCCTTCTTCCTTACATATCATTGCCACCAACATAAAAGATGTATTTCCTAATACAGTAGAAATTCTAAAAGAGAGAAGGCCAGGCACAGTGGCTCATACCTGTAAGCCCAGCACTTTGAGAGGCCAAGGTGGGTGGATCACAAGATCAGGAGTTTAGGACCAGCCTGGCCAACATGGTGAAACCCCATCTCTACTAAAAAAAATTACAAAAATTAGCCGGGTGTGGTGGCATGCGCCTGTAGTCCCAGCTACCCAGGAGGCAGAGACAGGAGAATCGCTTGAACCTGGGAGGCAGAAGTTGCAGTGAGTTGAGATCGCACCACTGCACTCCAGCCTGGGTGACAGAGAGAGACTCCATCTCAAAAAAAAAAGAAAAAAAAGAAAGAGAGAAAAAGCAAACCCTTTTAGAGAAATGGTTTTGTGCACAGAAAATCCCTTAATTTTGTTAAGATTACTCCATGACTTACCACTTATGCAGCCACTAAAATATCAGACGATGTCTTTGAAATCACTTCCACAGTTCAAGTTTAAATTACCAACATGTAACACCAAGGTGACTGGGGACTAAGTTTACGTGTTTGGGGTGGTGTGTGGAGAGGAAGGAGATATTCATTTAGTTTCTGAAAAGTAGAGTTTAGGGTGCTGAAGCTACAAAGGCATGGTACTCAGGAGTTTACTGGAGCTAGAATACAGCTGGAAGTCTGTTATTTTAGAGGCAATAGTTAGGGTTATCAGAGTAAGTGACAGTGCCAAGGAGAGACTATATTGAGAAAACGCAACCTGAGGACAGGATTCTAAACGGAATGAAATTTACATTGAGAGGATACAAAAGGAACCAGAGAAGAGATCAGAAAGGTAGGAGAACCCAAACAGCACAGGTAGTGTCACCAAGCCAAAGAAAAGTATTTCAAGGAAAAGTTAAACGCTTCAAGGAGGTAGTAGCTGGGTATAGCAATAAGGAAATCTGTAGCCATCTTTCCATAGCGTCGTAAGAGGCCAACACTGCATTGTAAGTATTAGTAAACTATAACACTTTCCAGAACAATTAGTTAATTTAAATTATATAAAGAATCCAAATACTAATAAAAAAGTAAAAAACACTGAAGACTAGTGAGGCTCAGTTACACTGATAACTATTGAGTGATTGCTCACATGGTCGAACACTGCCAAATGCCTCTTTGAGCAGAAAAAGATAATATTAGTACCTAACATTCATGGTGAGATGTGTGCCAGACACTGTGCTAATGCTTTCTATTGATTATGTCCTTTAATCCTCACAACCATATTATCCCCATTTTACTGTGAAGTTAAGTAACTTGCCCAAGGTCACATGGCTAATCCATTGCTGAGATGAAATCTAAACCAAGCCGGTCTGACTTTAACTACTCTGTAAGACCAAGCAAATTGAAAAGAGATTTAATTAAAGACAGTAAGTTCCAGTGGTTGTTCTGGGGTTGGTACAAATTCAGCCTATGTTCCACACCAGCTATACAGCACAGTAATAAATTGGTCATCCAGAGTAATGTGCTCAAGAATTTTCTCTCTCTCTCTCTTTTTTTTTTCGGGGGGGACAGTTTCGCTCTTGTCGCTCAGGCTAGAGTGCACTAGCACGATCTCAGCTCACTACAACCTTTGCTCCCGGGTTCAAGTGATTCTCCTGCCTCAACCTCCCAAGTAGCTGGGACTACAAGTGTGTACCACCATACCTGGCTAATATTTTTATTTTTATTAAAGATGGGATTTCACCACGTTGGCTAGGCTGGTCTCAAACTCTTGACCTAAAGTGATCCGCCTGCCTCAGCCTCCCAAAGTGCTGGGATTATAAGCGGGAGCCACCGTGCCCGGCCAAGAACTTTTTTTTTTTTTTTGAGACGGAGTTTCACTCTTGTTGCCCAGGCTGGAGTGCAATGGCACAATCTTGGCTCGCTGCAGCCTCCGCCTCACAGGTTCAAGCAATTCTCCTGCCTCAGCCTCCCGAGTAGCTGAGATTACAGGCACCTGCCACCACACTTGGCTAATTTTTGTATTTTCAGTAGAGACGGGGTTTCACCACATTGGCCAGGCTGGGCTCAAACTTCTGACCTCAGGTGATCAGCCCACCTCGGCCTCCCAAAGTGCTGGCATTACAGGCGTGAGCCACTGCACCCGGCCAAGAATTTTTTTCTTAAAGTCTGTTTATCAAGACAGGGGAGTATACAACATATTATGTCATATTGCCACAAGAAAAATTAGCTACTCTTCAAATGCACAGCTCATTACTTGAAAACTCCCTACCCTCCCACCTTAGAATATGTGATACCAAACTTCCTTTCTTCTCCCTCCTCCACCACAACCCACCCTGTCAGATTAATAGATGCTGTCAGATTAATTGAGGTTCATCAATGAGGTAAAGGCAATTGGTTAAGTACAAAAAAGAGTAAAAAGATCAGAACAAAATAAAAGTTAAATAACACTGCAGTGATTAAAGACACTAAATGAGTTGAGTATGGTGGCTCACACCTGTAATCCCAGCATTTTGGGGAGGCTGACACGGAAGGATCATTTGAAACCAGGAGTTTTGAGACCAGCCTGGTCAACATAGTGAGACCCTATTTCCACAAAAAAAGAAAAAATTAGTCGGGCATGGTGGCTCATGCCTGTAGTACCAGCTACTCAGGAGGCTGAGGCGGGAAGATCACTTGAACCCAAGAGTTCGAAGCTGCAACGAGCTATGATCACGCTACTGCACTCCAGCCTGGGCAACAGAGCAAGACCCTGTCTCATAACAAAAAGAAATTAAATCGTATCCAAGAATATGTGTCCATTATACTGGACACTGACTAACCCCTAAAATATCTATATTTAAATATGAATTTTTTAAAATGAAAAAGGCTCAAGCAAAAAGAATAATGAGTAACAAAATGAAAACAGGCCTTATCGTGAAACATTTAAAACATTTAATCTAGAGCAGTCTAGGTCTCATTCCAAAGGCATACCAGGAATTAGGGTACTAGGACACTAAAAATAGCAGAGAAGTGCTCCAAAAATCTCAAAAAACTTGAAAACCATCAATCTGTCATCTATTTGAGAGAGAAAGGAGGCAAAGACAGGGGCGGGGATATAAATGGCCCACCTCACCCACACAGGCCACGTAAGGCTCCTGGGAAGGACTGCCCAGACTTCCCACAGGGGAAGAAGCAGACTTTAAGTGTGGCGGGACACAAAACCCAAAAACTGGACTCTAGGAAGCCATTCCTAATTACATCAGGTATTCACCTACAAGAAACGTTCACTGAACTCCCTACCTGGGAAATCCTACACATTGATCTTGAATGTCTTAAGGCGGTTCTACCTACAGGCAGATGCCAAATTAGATATCCTCCTCAGGTCCCTTCCAACTCTAACTCCATGATACTAAAAAAATAAGTTTTAAAGAGCAAATGAAAACATGAAGTCTCAGCATGCAAGTAAGACATATTGATCTCAGCTGAGCGCAGAGGCTCATGCCTGTAATCCCAACACTTTGGGAGGCCAAGGCCTCCCAAATATATATATAGAGAGATAGATACATAATCTATACATATATATCTATATCTATGGATATAGATATCTCTTTCATGAGGACTCTGAATATCTAGATATAGATATATACAGATCCCAAACACAGCACACTCACCCTAAATCTCCCTCTGCCCCAGTCCTTCAGTGCCACTGGGCACACAGGCAAGCAGCACACAGGAGGCAGTGTGGTGCAGAGGGAAGATTCCTACATCATAAGGTAGAAAAGTTGGAGCCTCATCTCCGCCATACACAAATAAGCTCTGCAACTTTGGGCAAGTCATTCTGGGTCTTAATTCTCTCATGTGTAAAATGAAGACATTGGGAACCAAATAGTCTCTCAATTCCTTTTCCTCTTCTAGAATTCTTTATAGCTCAGTAATTCTCCTCTAAAATGTGTTTCTCCCTCGGCATATCATCTTTCCTCACTCTATGTCACTCAAAGAAAGATATAAATAAGATCATCTTAGCACATTGTTCTAAAAACCTCTCAAACATAGGAAGCATCTTTTAAACACATGATACAACCAAGTTTAATGAGCTGAATTAGACATTCTTTTTCTCCCTTTCTACATCAGTGGGTTTTCAACCAGTGTCCCCTGAGCTTTAAAGAATTAACTCAGGGCCAGGCTCAGTAGGTCACATCTGTAATCCTAGCACTTTGGGAAGCAAAGGTGGGAGGATTGCTTGAGGCCAGGAGTTTGAGACCAGCCTGGACAACACAGTGAGACCCTGTCTCTACAAAATATCCCTCTCTACAGGCAGGGTGGTGCACGCTTGTGGTCCCTGCTACTCGGAAGGCTAAGGTGGGAGGATCACTGAGGTGGGAGGATTGCTTGAGCCCAGGAGGACGAGGCTGCAGTAACCTGTGATCGCGCCACTGTACTTGAGACTCAGCAACAGAGCGAGACTCTGTCTCAAAAAAAAAAAAAAAAAAAAGCAACTTGGAAAGCCAAGGGGGATGGGGAGGGGAGAGCAAGGGCAGATGAGAAGAAAGCACAATAAACATGGCTCAAGCTCCCAGTCCACTTCAATCAAAGCTGTCTTCATTTGACAAAGTGGTTCTAAGTATTCCAACAGGACATAAGTATTCTTACTATTTTTCAGGGCACTGGAAAATTCTGGGCCACCTTTGTCCTTGAACAATGGGAAAACATCTGGTTGAGGAAGCTGGTTGGTGGTCAACAGAGCTTTTTGTAGTTTGATCCTTCCTTCCAAGAGCTGGTCCCACAGTGCTGAAAAGAAGAAAAGAGAATCCCATTCCTCAATAATAAAATATTCTGGGGGTGAGGTGGCAGGGGTGGGGAAGAACAGGAAACCACACCAGTCTCTAAGCACCACAGCTTTAGCAGTTTAATGCCATGGAAACAAATATTCTCTATTAGAGAAAATAAATTCAGTATCCATGAAGCAAGTATTTGCTACAGCAGAGTGGGAATGCTAAAACCCAAGGAGAGGAGAAAACACTCTTCTCTTCAATCTTCCCCAGTTGCAGGAAGTACTAGAGCAGAACCAGCTAAGCAGATCAGTGCAGAAATGGCTGGCTAAGCATACAGGAATAGGGCTTTAGGCTTCTGGGTAAGTGGGGCATGTCACAAACTAATTGAAAGGACACAGGAGATAGAGAATAGCCAAAAACAAACAAATGAAAAGTAGACCAAATGCAGATACTTTGAAAAACAGGCAATCAGCAAAACCATGTACAAACCTATCTGGTTCTTCACGGCTCTTCCTTTCTCCACTTCCTCAGAAACTTTGACACTAGAGAAGGTCATCACCACACCATCATCCTCACTGTTTCTATCTCCAGCCCTGTCTTCCTCACTCTCGCCTTGGGAGTCTTCCGCGTCATCCCCTTCTTCCATGCCACTCTCTTCGTCTTCCTCCTCCTCACTGCTCCCAAGGTCATCCATTCCCTTGGTAAATTTCTCAAAGTCACTGATACTCTGGACACTGAAGCCCGGTGTTTTTGCAGAGTGGCTTCTGCTCTTCTTGCTCTCCCTGTGATCACCACACTCCTGTTCCTCAGCAGCACCCAGGTCGTCCTCATCATATTCCTCCAGACCCAGTCCCTCTGAATCTTCATCTCCAGACCCTTCCTCATCAGATATTTCCTCATCTACAAAGAAGAGAGGGAAGAAAGAGAAAAATGGGTATTACCTGGAGAAAATACCAAGCCATAGACTTCATTTCAACTTAAGCACTGTGGCATCAGGGGGAAAATCTCTTACTGCACTCAATTCAACAATATATTTATTACACATCTACAATCTCCAAAATGCTAAGGGAGAAGCAAAGATGAATAGAACACGGGTCCTACCCTAACAAAAGGAGCTAGTGGGAAAGACAGACTCACAACATTACAACTCAAGGAAGCATCAGAAGTGCTTTGACAAAATTTCAATAACCCAGAAGAGTGAGAAATTTTAACTGTGGGGCAAGTGAATTTAAGCTAATCTCTAAGGAAGAGCTAGCATTTGCTCTGGCCCTTGAAGAACAGTAAGATTTCAACTGGTGTTAGAGAATTACCAGTTTTCCCAAACCTGATCTGAAAAAATGTACAATCTATCACATCCGTCTGCCCTATTTACTAAATACTTATTAAGCACTCATTATGAGCCAGGGGCTAAGGAAAGGCAAATAGAATTTAATACTTGCTGGGAGGAGTTCATGGTCTGGTGGGAGTGGTAGATATGCATGCCAATAATTATATTACAAGGTCATTAGTACACAGTGTATGGAGATGGAACCACCTAACTCTCCTGGAAAGGTGGGGGATGGTATCATGTGGAGAAGGAGACATTATAATTTTACTTATGAAGCATAAGGCAACAGCTCATAGATAATGAAGGGAAAACGCACTGGAGTGCAGGATGCACAAGGAAGTGATGGGAGATGAGACTAATCAGGAAAGGTCTCGTCTTTCATGAGGACTCTGAACTTGATCCTATAGTAGACAGAGTGCTAGTTAAGGCTCTTTGTTTGACTTATGCTTAGAGTATCATCTGATATGTAGAGGTTTTTACAGTTTATCCAATCTGTTCCATGGTAGAACATAAAAGCCCCATGTGTTTCAAGTATGATTCTAAGATAGAGGGACCAGTTTCCAAAAACTTTCTTCAATAAAATAAAGATTTTAGGAAAGCGTGACAGGTCTTCAGCGCTTCTTTAAAAAGGTATATATAAACTTAAGACACAAAGCTGCCAAAAATATAAATACAAAAACTAAGTGCCAAAACAGTAAACAGAAATTATTATTTAAATTCTTTGAATGTACGCCATTTCTCAGATTAAGAAACATTCATACAGAGTTTACTAGAGTGTACATCTTGGAGTCAGACAGCCTACATTTGAATCATGTTTCTTCCACTTACTAACTATATGACCTTGAGCAAACTTATGTAACCAATTTGCCCCTCGATTTCCTTATCTGTAAAATGGGGCTAAGTAGTAATAACTTCCTGCGCAATTGGGAGGATTAAATTAGGTGACACATGTAGTGATAATGGTGATAATTTTTTATAAAAATCTGTCTAATTCCAGGTAATTTTATAATTTTTTTTTTGAGGACTTACTGTGTCCCAGGCTCTTAGAACTTAAATTATAGAGCTAAACTCAGTGCCTGACGCATGGTAAGAACTCAATAAATATTATCATATTTGTCTCATGATTGGTCCCTTTATCAGTCTCTAGGCAAAGAATATGAAATGAGCTTATCAGGAGCTCCCAGAACTACATCAAGGACTAAATCATAGATATCATAACCTAAATGATAGTTCCTTTTATATTATCTGTGGATTCTCAACATGACACCCCTGACCTTTCTAAAGGAAAACAAATGACATTCTCCCAATAATCACCATATCTAGCCCCTTCTTCCACTCTGAGAAATTTACAATTCTTTAAAACTATAAGCGCACAGACTCCTAACTCTTTTGCAGGGAAGAGAAGGATTATGTGATTTTTTAGAATGGCAAAAAATGAGTTTCACAAATAACTAATATCACACAGTGCTTCAATGCAAGTCCTGGAAAACCAAAGGTCAGGGGTCACAATTCAAGGATAACATGTTCATCAGACACAGTGGTTTTTCAGCTCATAACCCTCTCCAGTAGCCAAAATGCACTGCCTTCTCTGTCACTCCACTGTAGGGTGAGCCATTAGTCCGAACATAAGGAGTATAGCAACTTAATCACTCTGGGCTTTAGATTCCTTATGAAGTGAAATGAAGTAACCTCTAAGACCCTTTCTAATACCAAATCAATGGTCTCTCCTAAGATAACAGATAGGGGTGCCTGACCAACATGGACAAACCCCGTCTCTACTAAAAATACAAAATTAGCCGGGCGTGGTGGTGCATGCCTGTAATCCCAGCTACTCGGGAGGCTGAGGCAGGAGCCTCGCTTGAACTCCAGAGGTGGAGGTTGCGGTGAGCCGAGATGGCGCCATCACACTCCAGCCTGGGCAACAAGAGCCAAACTCTGTCTCAAAAAAAAGATCCGCAGACTACTCTTGCAAAGATCATGGGGGATGACCGGAGGATTTTAACCCTGAAAAAATTAGGGAAGAGAAGAGTTCCATTCAAAAATGTCTACTCACCAGACGATCCTGGCAGAGTCTGCTCCCAATGGTCTTCATTCCATGCTTTTCTAGAGGTGGTTTTGCCGCAATACCTTTTGTCCGTGTCCAAGAGGGAGGCTGATGCCAGTTTTCTAATGCTACCCACTACTAGGAAATCACCTTCCCCATCTTCCCCTTCATCAAACCTGTCAATCACCCTGGCAGCAGTGGCTGTCGGGGGAGAGGGAAAAGTAAACAGAATCTCCAGGTTAGCAGAAACTTTAACGGGAACCCTGGTCGACCCATTTATCTCATAGTTGAACGTCCTTTACGAAATCCCCACCAACTTCCAGGAATAGGAAATTCACTCTCTCCCAAAGTAGAACACTGTCTTACTGCTGTTTCTAAACAGAAAGTTGACTCCTGGCATCTACTAGTGGGATCTATTTCTATGACTTGGATCCTATCAAACTAGTTGAATTCCTCTTCAATGTGTGACAGTCGCTCCAATATCTTAAATCAGTCATCACGTTCTCCCCTCACTCTGTCCCATTCTTTGGGGAGTTTTCTTTGCTTATTCTGGCTAAACAGTCCCGAGTTTCTTCAACTGATCTTCCTAAGATACGGTTCAGCACTCGCATTTATCCCTCCTTATTATCCCTTTCTCACACTTCCGACTCAAGTCTAAAGCGGGATTACTCCCAGCTAGACTCTGAACATCAGCTTACAGAACAGGAGTCTCAGTCGTCAGCCACTGAACAAGTGTCTTGAGACTTCAAGAGACTTAAACAGCACCAGAAAATCCTTCCATCAGTCTCCAACTTAGTTTTGAAGGGCAACCTGAATTAAAAACATGCGACTTTCTTCTCCTCCTTTCTAACGCAATACCAGAAAGGGCATCCTCAAAGCTAACTTCCAACTTGCTAGCAGACTCTCTGGCTCCCTCCAACAGGCCTGGAGCAAGTAAACCTGAAGACCAGCTCCTCTCGGCCTGAGCCCTCGATCTGTTCCGCCCATCCAGCCGAGCACCAAGTTTCGAGTGCGTGTGAAAAGAAGCCGAAGCCCTCCTCCCGAGGCCGGGACCACCCTCGCGGGAGGCGACGTTCCTCTGCGCCAAGCGAAGGAGCGCAGGCCCGGCGGCCTCGCGCACGCCCCTCCCACGCCGCCCCCTTGCCCCACAGGGCCTGGCCCACCGCTCCGCACGTGGCCTGCCCCAGTCCGGCCTCACCTTCCTCGGGGTCCGCTTCAGGGTCCGCCTCGCTTGGTCGCGGGTTCAACAACTGTTCCAGTTGCAGCGCCAGGGGCTGCGGCCCCGCCATCGTCACCAGCTCCCGGTCCACTCCGCTTCGCGCACGTAAATGTGCGGCCCAACCCCCGGCCCCGAAGCTCCTTCCCTGCCGGATCCTCTCGCCTTGATCCGATTCCCCGACTCCGCCAGAGACCGCGCGGAGGCCACCCCACAGCTCTGGACCGGCCACTTCCGGGAGGCGCGCGGGAGGGGGCGGGGCCTGCGCGTCACTGCGGGCGTTGCTAGCATGAAGGCGGAAGCGCGCAGAAGGTTGAAGGGATTGGAGCCGTATGGGCGCGTGTGCGCGTGCGCGTGCGAGTGCGCGGGAAGGGGCGGTGCGGAAGCGCGCCAAGGCACGTGACCGCTTCTGTCGCTGAGATGCGATTGCGATGCGCGCGGCCAGTGTCCCCTTGTACAAAATATGCCTCGAGATTTGTGCGAGATTCGCTTAGGAATAAAGCATAGCGTAGCCGTGGCCCACGGTGGCTGATTTGGGAAGGAGGAGGGAGTAGGGCTTAAGCTGCTCGAATCGCGGGTGCGCACTCGGGCACGCAGAGACTGGGACCCAAAGCAGGTTTGTCATTTCGCAATTTATAGTAGTCTGAGGCCGGGCACACGCCTCCCGCCCTTCAGCGGCCAGGATTTGGGAATCCTATGTCAGGGATACGCACGTGTAAGTGTGTGGCGGACTGCTGGCGTCTTTCTTAATGGGAATACTTAGGAATCGCTGTGGCTAAAGATAGTTTCAGTAGCGTCTCTAAGTACCCTTGCCTGAGCAAGGGAAAGGGGGTGGGGTGTGGATTACTCCACTGCATACCCCTCGGTATTGATTATCTTTGCTGTTCAGAGATGAGGGCATGCTCAGGCAGCTTAAGCAGGTGCACAAATGCAGAAAAATACAGGTCTACCGTTAGAGGGACAGACTCAAAATATAAAGACTTAATAGTATAAATGTAATTGCACCCCGCACACGGAAAGACACAATCGCTTTACATCCTCTTTCCTTCATCAAGCATTCCCTGACTGCCCACTATGTGGCAGGCACTGCTAGATAAGATACAAGATAAGTAAGTTGGATTCTCCCCCCAACGGTAATCAGCCTAGGAGGGTAGACAAACATGTAAACAGAAACTGCAATAAGGGATGATAAGTGTGACTACAAAGTGGTCTATTCTTATGGTATCTGTTGGAGGTTGCCTGTAGAGACCTAGACCCCTCTAAACAGAATCTGCCTCAAAAGGATCCAGAAAAGAGATGTTAGTGGTGCACTGTGGCAGTGCCCCTTGGGTACAGCCCGGGCCAGTTGGATCCCACAGCTGAACAACTGGGGAACCCTCAGCTCTCTACTGTCTCCCATGAAAACCAAGGGAAGAGAGGATCTCTGACTTTCACAATCTTCATATGTCCTCAGGGCCAAGAGCAATAAGAGGACACCACTTTAGTGGAGCCTGTTCCATGTCCCTGTAAAGTGGCCCTTGAAGAATGAAGACAACCAGGGCTGCAGAGGGGAAGGAGAACCTGTCTGAGGGTAAACCCCCTCAGACATGGAAGGAAAAGAATGCCAGGCTAGGCAGGGCACTCAGGAGAAGAAAATGGCTTTTTACCATCCATAAGAGAGCTTAGCCTAAGAGAACAGTTTTTCGTTTATCCTCTATAATTGCAGTCTTGTGCCTGTGTCCGGGCCTCCCAAGCAAAAGTGTGTTCCTTGCTCCTTGACAAGGTGCCATGGGGCTTCAAAGGACAAAAATGTTTCTCCCACCCCACATTTAAGAAACTACCTCCTGCAATCCTATCCCCTTGCTATGTTGGGTACTTACAATGCTTAGAAACCTGGCCTTTGAGGTAAAGAGAAGGAAGAAAAGAGAAAGGGAGGTGAGTCACTGCAGAGACCACCTCTAAGCTGTCATGCAAACAGGACACTGCTGGTCAATTTGGGGGCTGTGCTGGGCAAACACTCAGCAGAAAATGCCATAGACCTGTTTACTTACTCTCCCTTCTCTGTCCTGGTCCCTACTGACTTGGGAAGCCATTTTAGCAAGGAATCAAGACCGTTCTACTGTCACACACATCCCAGGGCCCCCCAAAATGTTTGCCTGACCTTATACTGAAGGTAGAAAGAGGACTCCAGGAGTGGAGGGAAGAGGAAGTAATTCTAGGAATTAAGATGCAACTGAGAGTAGTTGAGGCAAGGGACAGGGGAGCAAATTCTCAAATACTCCCTCTGGGGGCCTCTCCCTACCTGCATTCCAGTGTCTTGAGATGGTGGGGGAAGGGCTTATTGATGGGGTAGGGATGGAGATGGAGAGTGGACTGTGGCGAGGAGTTTCAACCTCTGACTGATGTAGAGATGAGAGCAGATGAGAGGAACAGGGAGAGGAGAATAAGGGTGAGCAGTTCCCTAACAGAATGGCCTTCTCCAGAGAAGGCGGAGGGGCGCCCAGTCCACAATCCCTCTCCCTGCCCTCCAAGGGCTGCAAAGTGGCAGGCGATTAGGCACAGCAGAGGATGGGCAAGGGGTGACACTTTCCAATTGTCCCAAACAACTGTCTGCTCACTTGACAAGGAGTTTCAAGAGTTTGGGAAAACCAAGTTCCCACTTGCCTCTCTTCAGATGCTGTCCACCCTCAGGTGCCAGCCCTGGCAATGCCTATCCTGGCTCTCCACAGGTAATACTTCCCCAAGTGCCTCACCTAGAGCAGCTTACCAGCGGCAGCCAGCCCGGAGAAGTTGGGTGGGTGAGCTTCAGCTCCCTCGCCAGAGCAGATGGTGGCTCCCTGCTGCTGGAACCCTGAAGGCAGGTGGCGAGAGGCACAGAGGTGGTGGCTTTAAGATGGCCACAGGGAGAAACCAGGCTGCCCTCCCAGGCGAGAGGGGACTGCAGTGGCGCTTCCCTCCTGCTGCGCCTCCTGCGGGAGCTCCGCCTAGGTATGGTGCCGCACGTCCCCGCACCTCGGGGCCAGAGGTGGGCGGCACAGCACTGATGGGAAGGAGAACAGGCCCTGACATTTCCAGGCCTCCTCCTTGGGGCCTTCGGCTCCAAATTTGACTGCTGAGCGTTGCCACCTGTTCGGGTTTTCGCCAGGATTCTGAATCCCGCGACGAGGGGAGAGACTGCGCCACAACCACGTTGTTAGAAGAATCGAATCCACATCGTGTGCCCAACTCGAAAACGCTTCTTATCAAATACCCCGATTCCACAATAAAGCTGCTAAATAATTCAGCAGCCTTGATAGGAAAATGCAGCTTCCCAGTGAGCGCAGTTCATTTAAATGAATGTCTTTAAAGGGGGCTAGGGAGTAGAGGCTATAATGAATAAGTTAGCTAGGATTTAATGTGTATAAATGCTAAAAAGGTAAAAACAAGCCGATCCAGTGATTGCATATAAAGCAAATAAAGAAATGTGCTGCATGCAGAGGCTGGGAGTTTCAAAAGTCTCCTCTGTATTTCATACATTTTTATTTCTGAAAGAACACTGCCAGATTCCTCCCGGATAGCCTCCTCCCCCATTAGATAAGCCATCATATGGATGCAGTGAAATATTGCTTATTTTAAAGCCTTCTCTGCAGGAAAGATAAACTTGGCTGTGTCTTAACAAAATTTGAAAACAGCACTGGAAATTATATACCATTTAATGTCAAACCTTTGACTTTTTAAATAAGGAAATAAATAATCCAGAGTGAAATCTAGGTGATATGGAAAAGAAATCCTGGAACTCTAATAGCATCTGATACTGAAACACACACACATCCACAAGAATATTTCATAGTAGATAAAATATTCAAATTTCTTCCAAGTCTAATGAAGGACTGGAAAGAATCGAGCTACTTTTAGAACCTTTTGAGTTGAAATTTGATTTTGATATTAGTTATTTTTGTTCATCTTTCAGAGAAACTTAATATGTATCTTGTGCCAGGCAAAATAGTTTTCCTTCTGGGGAACTTCAAAGGTAACAAATACTATAAAACAACAATTTCATATCAGTTCTGTGAAAGGGATTAAAGTATTTCATTTCTAGCTGTACTATACATTCATTTTACATTATCTTTCAAACCACCAAATTAGAAAGCCTTTACATTATCTTTCAAACTACCAAATTAGAAAGCCGGATTATCTATAGGAAATGAATTGAAACTGAAAAGGACCACCTCTAACTATGTATTACAAGTATCTGATACAAGCCCAGTTTTGCATGTGCAGGGAGAGTGAAAGAGGGAATGCCTTGGATCTTATGCCTAATCACAGACCTGGACCACTCATTTTTTAGCCATGGATTTGATTTCTATTTCAAATTCTATATTAACTTATCAGCAAACATCTCTTCAACGGTATCAGTTAAATCCACAGGATGTAAATCTGTAGCTAATAACAGCAGGAAGCCACAGAGAAAAGCTTGGCTGGCATTAGCAAAAGGTTTCAGCCATAGCCAAGGCAAAAACAGATATATCATCCCAATCCTGCCTCTCTTTTCCACCTGGCTTCTGAGGACCCATTCAGCTCCCCATCAGGGTTCCCCTTTGAAAACATCAAATAACACACCAATTATCTAAACATCAGATTTTCTATTTTTATTAAAAACTCACAAATTTATTCAACATGTTTTCTTTCATACAGTGAATGGTCTAATATGCACTGGAGGTCACACAAGCTTAGGTTTATTAGAACAATAAAAGACATATGAGAAATTTAATATATAAAGAAAAAGTAGCAGCTGTTGACTGCATATTTGACCATAAAATTTAAATATTTTGGACTTTTATTTTAAAGACACAAAAATAAAACCTGTGTGGGTCTATATAAGTCATATTAACAATTCCATGAATGTTCAACAGGACAAAAAAATTAGCAAAGATGTTTTTTTTTAAATCTTGTAACACTTTTTTTTTTTTTTTTTTAACACTTTCTCAGGTTGCTGGTGCCAGGCACCTTTACAGTATTTGTGCTATAATTATTCTATTTGGCAACTGTCTGAATAGCATGTTTTCTCTTTGCCTCGTGTAAACAACACCTTTTTACATACTAGCACAGTGAGCCGAAAGCCCTGCAAATCTGTCAGAACATCTACAGGAAAAGAAAAGGAACAATTTTGGTTGATTGCTCAAAACATTTTGTTTTCGAACAAGAGGTTTCAAAACAGGATATATTAGTAAAACACTGAACTCCTGAATTTAACATTATACGTAAACAGTTGACTGTTTTTAGTTCAATAGTCTTTTTTTTTTTTTTTTAACTTTTTGTGTGTGAAGGTAGAATACTTTTCTTGTACAGCTGATGTTCAAGTCATTTTACTGAGCGGTCTGGCTGGAGACCATCTTACCGAGTGTGTCCGTGTACGTGTGTATGTGTGTATGTGTAGTTTTGCGAAGGTAGAAGAGTTGATACGGAGGGCTTTACATTTAGAATTTTGCAATTTTGGCAAAAACAAAAACCAAAAATCCAGATAGACAAAAAATATATATATAGTCCCACCTGATGCACGGCAGGTCGGCGTTTCTGAAGCTATAAGAGTTTTTTGTCGCTGTTGTTGAACTCTGAGACAACACTAATAAGGGATATCCCAGAGCTAGAACCCTCCTGGCTGGCCCGGGAGCGCCCTGGGCCGCTTCACTTCCTTCACCCGGCTGTGCTCACGGCCTCCCTCCCCACGGCTCCTGGCATCGCCAACGGCTGTGCGCACCCGCGGCTGCCCTGGACGTCTTTTCGCCGCCCGCCTGCCAGGCGCACACGCCCGCGGGGTCTGTCTACGGATCCGGGTCCAGGTGGGAGTTGGGGAGAGGTCTGCGTTTCCTTTGGGGAGCCCCAGTTCTGCACGTCGACAGCCAGTGCGCGGATCCCAGTCCCACCTCGAGGCCGATTTGGATCCTATTTCGTGTCCCCCTTTTCCATCCGGTCTCCCCAGAAGGAGAATGGTTCTCGAGGCTGGAGGAAGGGGGTGGGGACTTGCTTTTTATGTTTTTTTTTTTTTCTATTTTTCTTAAATAAAGGTTCATTTCTGTACAACCACGAACTCCGCAGACCGTGCGAGACCCCGCTACCACACGGCCGCCTCGTTCATTTCGGGGGGGTGGGACAGGTGGTTTCCGTAGCTCGCCCCACCGTTGACCGACAGCGACGAGAAGGGCGGGCTGGGTCCGAAGACCTCGGCCGACATGGAGTGCAGAGGCCCGGGCAGGCTGGGCTCGGGGCTGGGCGAGTCCCCGGGTGGGTGCGCCAGGATGTCGGTAAACCGCTGCGCCTCGCTCGACGGGTGGTGGCCCGGCAGCGGGTGCTCCAGGCCACCCAGGGGCGTCCCGGACGGCCCAGATGACGGCACGAAGGGTAGGTCCACTGGTGTCTGGGCCTGCGAGGACGGGGGGCCTTGCGGGAAGAAGTCGTAGTTGCCCCCGGGCCCGTAGTACTCGCTCTGGTAATCTGCGGAGCGGCGGGGAGGGCGCAGGACGTCAGGGCCCGGCCGGGGGCCGGCGGGACCGAAAGGGAGGGAAGACGCGACCTCGGCGGGCTGAGGAAGGCCACGCGGGGAACTCGCGGATCGCGGGGAGCCCTCGCGGGCCTGGGTGCAGGGAGGAGGCTGGGCGCAAGCCCGGGAGCTGCCCCTTACCAGCTACCCCCGTTATTCAGGGCCGTGAATTGGGTCCTCGGTCTCGCCGCCTCCCCTTGATTTACTCCCAGCCTTCTCCCTACTCGCCCCAACTCTCCAGTGGCTTACAGAGAGCGAGGCGTGCCCCCCCGCGCTGCCACCCGCTTCCAACGAAGCCCGCCCCGACCTGGCCGTGCCCCGCCATTCGGCGCGCACCCACCTCCGTAGAAGGAGAAGGGACCATTGGGGATGAGCTCGCCCGGCTCCAGGCGGTCCACCAGCGGCCGCATCCGGCGCGGACTGCGGAAGAAGGCGTGGCGCCGGGCGCCCAGGGCGCTCAGCTGCTTCATCCTCCGCTCCTTGGAGCGCCGGTTCTGGAACCAGACCTGCAGCACATGGCGGCGGGGTGAGGCCACCGAGACTCCACCCCCGACCCCGGGGTGCTCCGGGCCTAGCCAGCACCCCTTCACCGCCTGGCTAGCCGACACCGCGCGCGCGCGCTTGTGTGTGTGTGTAGGGTAGTGGTGACGGTGCGATCTCTGACTAGGACCACTCAGGGCGGACCCTGAGCCAATGGTGAGCAGGAATCCCACAGGAGGACCTGGACAGGCCGCCGTGTCTGGAGGGGGAGAGTTGTGGTATAGCTGGAGTTTTTCTAACAGTCACACTATCACAGTTACCGCTTCTCTGGGGCTGTACACACATAGAGACTACGCCTCTCCAAAATAATGTCAGACACACACCGCGTTTCCATTTCACGGTCTCTTGCAGCAACCCTCCCCCCAACCATGACAGAGACACAGAAACAGCCTATGATACCAAAACCTACAATCTCCTTTTCACACCCATGTACAATCTCACAGTGCCAAACATACTTATCCACAGCCTCTTGCCAATAGTGACACAGACACACGACTTCTCATTCATGTACACAGGTTCTCACAGTCTCCTGTAGGCCTCAGGGCCTTCCGTGTTGCACACATGTGCACATGCACAGCCAGCCTCCCAGGCAGGTACATCCACCCACAGCCACGCAGGGCATCAGGCCCGGTGAACCGGACACCTAGCACTGAGCCAGAGACTCCCCCTGGCCTGGAGCTTCAGCAGTCTCACCTCCTTTCCGCCCACAGGCCCAGCTGCCTCCAGGTAGGCTCCCATACCCAAATTTCACTCCAACCCGCTGGAAGCAGAGCTGACTCCCGGCGGAACCACCTCTCTTTGGAGGGGAAGTCCCTGATCTGGGGCTTGTCTAATTGGAGCAAGCGATCACAAAGTTGGAGTTGCAGACTTAGGAAGAGTTCACTTTGTGCAGAAGGCAGAGGGACTGATTGACTCTGGGGGACACTGAGACTTCTCTGACCCTTCCGAACCCGAGGTGGGGTGGGGTATGTGCAGAAAGAGGGCTCCCCACTCTCTCCAGAGTGTTCAACAGTTCTCCTCCTCCAGCCTCTGGCTGAACTCCCGTCCCTCCCCCTCCACTGCCACGATCACCTCTGTTGGGCTGGGAAGAGGACTTTCTAGATGCTCGAAGGCATCAGGCATTTCATAGGTCCCGCAGGCTCGGGATGTGTCTAGGCACCCCACCTCTGGACTCCATCTCTCACTTCTCTCTGGATTCTGGGCTCTCCTGGCTCGGCCTGGGTGCCCAAAGTGGCAGTGTGGGCCTCTGTGGGATGGAGAGGCGCGCCGGGGCCTGACCTGAATGACGCGCATGTTGAGGCCGGTCTCCTGCGCCAGCTGCTCGCGGATGTGGCGGGTGGGCTTGGGTGTAGCAGCGAAGGCGGCCTTCAGCGTCTCCAGCTGCTTGGCTTTGATGGTGGTGCGCGGTCCCCGCCGCTTGGCGCCCAGGTTCTGGTCGTCATTCTCGTTGCTACCCGCTTCCTTGTCCGACACGTTGGCGCTCTCCGAGTCCTTGGCGTCGTCCTGCGACGGGTCTTGGGAATCCGGAGACAAACTGGGGTCACTGCCCGTGGTGGCTAAGAGGGAAAGGACAGATGAGCCGGGGCCTTGGCGAGCCTTCCTCCCCCAGGACCCGCTTGCACCTAGCCAGCCAGGAATTGGGGCCTCACCCGAGTGAAGGCTGTTCTCTTTGGCAACACTGCTGTTACTTAGGTAATCCTCTTTGCAGACGAACTTATTCTCGTCGATGATGTAGAGTTCCTCGCCAGTGGAGAGCTGCTTGTTACACATCATGCAGGTGAAGCAGTTCAGGTGAAACACTTTGCTCCGCGCTCTCCGCACCAGGTCGCTAGGGGAGATGCCCTGAGCGCAGCCTGCGCATTTGGTACCGAAACACCTGCGGGGGGGTGGGGGTGGGGGGCGGGGGCGGGGATGGGTCAGCCAGGGGCAAGGGGAGACAGGCGGAGAGAAAGATGACAGCGAGAAAGAGGGAAGATGTAAAAAGTGGAGGAAGTAGGAGAGGAGGAATGGAGCACAGAAAGAAGGGAAGAGAGAGATAAAGAGAGGCAGAATTCCGGTTAAGCAGGTGAGGAGGCAGCAGGAGAGAGAGCGCGGCACCAGGGAAGAGTTAGGGAGGGGATACACGCGGTTAGAGCCAGGGGCCCAAGCTACCCGCCAAGCCCCAGCCTCACTCCCAGCGTTATCCCAGAGGAAAGATGCATCGTCTAAAGAAGGTGGCAAGGCAGTGACCTGTGTGGGCGGGGGGAACGGGGCACTTATTTTCCGATTAGATTCAGAAAAGTCGAATTACAATTAGAACTCTATATAAACGTGCGCGGAGCGCCGCTTTTCTCTCCTTCATCGCAAAAGGACCCGCACATAGGCATGGGGTTGGCGATGTCTAGCCCCGCTGTTGGTAAACAAACATAGCCGCGGAGAGCCCCCCTCCGTAGCCTTAGCGGGGCCGCCGCCACGCTCTTGCCTAAAGCGGGACAGGTTGGCAAAAGCGGGAGCTGCGGGAGCTGGCTCTGGGCGCTCTGCCGCGGGTTGTGGAAGCCAGGCTCAGGGACCCACTGGCAGCGGGTACGAGTACGGTTTGCCACCCTCCCGCTATGATCCAGTCCTTGAGGAAAACCGGGCAGCCCGCGGAGGCTCAGAGGCTCAGCCTGCGCGTTCTCCCGAAATACCAGCGAGCACGGAGCTTTGCTTCATGGTTCCACGCAACCCAACCCCAGCCACGAGTCCTGGAGCGGCACTGGGGACAGCGCGTCTTGGCCCTCTGAGTGGCTTTGAATCCCTCTTCCTCCTGCTCCCTGGTTTGAACTATGACCACAAACTCAGAAAAGCAGAGACCAAGTCAGCCGAGTAAATTGCGATATTTCACATCCGTAGGGTGGAATTACAATTCGCATTTGTGCCCGTTCTTCTCTGTTGACTTGTGTGTTTGTGTGAATGGAGCGGCAAAATTGTGAGTGTACGATAATATAATTAAAATGCTAAACGAATAAGGGGGGTAGGGAGAAGTCTCCCCACCAGCAAGCTGGAGGTCTCGGCTTTCCCCCAGGTTTCATCAAGGAGGTTGCTGGCTGTGGCTGGCAGTTTCCTAGGAGGACTACTGAGCGGAGCCCGTGGGAGTCGGAGTCACCTGGGGCTGAAGCCGAACCACCAGACAACTTCGGCAGCCAGGGAAGCAGGAAAAAGCTCCGGGCACTTCGCAGGCTACAGTGCAGCAGTTTGTCCAGGTCTGCACTCGGAGGCATGTCCGGGTTTGGGGAAGACCCCCGGGCGTGCAGGATCGGCTTTAAGGCCGAGTTCTTTCCTGCCGCTGACAGGGCAGTTGGCCCAGACACTCTACGCAAAAGGCTCGGAGCTTACCGCCAAGACCGCTCGGGGTCGGAAAAGGTAGTGGCCGGGAGGGAGCCTGGGCTCTGCCTGGAGGGCAAACAACCCCGAAGGCCTGGAGAATGCAGTTGCTGCAGAGCTTGGCTCCGGGAAAGACAGCAGTCCGGGCTACAACGCCCGAGGCTGCCCTGTCTCTTCCAAGCTTGAAGGGGCTTCTGGGCCGAGTCAGGCTCAGACCCTTTCTTCCCAGGCACATGCAGCCAAACCCAGACCCATAGTTTCCAGGATGCAAGCAGGGCCGCGTCCCGGGCTCCCAGCGCGCCAGCTGGCGGAGAGGCGGGCGCCCGCGGGACTTGGCTGCCCTCTCTAGAAGCAGTTCCTAACTGGGCAGCGAGGCCACGCTAACCTCTGATCCGAAGCTGGCCGGGAAGGGCCCGCGGGGAGGTAGCAGCAGAGGCGTGGGAGGAAAGTACTCACCGGAAGAAGTCGTTCTTGCAGTAGAGTTTGCCTTCCCTGGAGAAGCACTTCTCGGTCAGGTTGCATTTACATTCACAGCACTGGACGCACTTGACGTGCCAGGCCCTGTCCAGCACGTTCAAGAGAAAGCGGTCCAGGATGGGCCTTTTGCAGCCGGCACAGTGAACCATGGTCTTTGGTTTGGTCTGATGAGGCCCAGAGAGAGAGAGGGGCAAAGTAGAGCCCAGGGGATGACTCCTGAAGACAATCGGCACGAGCTCCCCAGTCTCTCCAAAAAGAGGACACACACTCGGCCGTGCAAGCCAAAACTCGCACCAGGAAATCAAAGTAGGGTGGAGGAAACGAGGCTGATCGGGGCCTGGGGGGGCGTCTCAGTGAAGTGTGCAGCCGGGGAGTCCCGGGGCCCCGGGCTGGAGCGGCGCCGCCTGAGCTCCCGGGGCGAGGAAAAGAAGTCTCAGGCGGGAGAGAATGCGACCCTTCTGCTCAGAGCCCGCGGAGGAGTGAAGGTCAGCGAGAACGGCGGCGGGAACGGAAATAAATAAATAAAAACGGAGAAGAAGAAGACGACGACTCGCCGAGCTCGGGTTGCGAGGAAAGCGCCGCTGAGTTCTCCGGGGCTTGAGGTAGAGCTGTCAGAAGTCAAAGTGCATCTGCTTTTGTCGGGGTATGAGGGCGACTGTGTGCGTGCCAGGCTGCCCACCACTGGGATTTCCCCCCTCTTTTTTTAAAAAAGGGAAGGAAAGAACAAAAGGAGCAGAGAAGCTTTGGATCCTAAACTGCCGGCATCGCGCCGCGGGTCTGGACGCGCCGAGCGCCCGCGCTGGGCCTGGGGGAGGGGGCGAGGGCCGACCGCGGGAGAAGGGAAAGAGGGGAGGGTAGGAGGAAGATCTTGGTGTTGATTGCTGTTGTTGCTTAGGTTTCCCCGCTTTTGGAGAAGTGTTTGTGTCAATCGAAAACAGAGAGGGACAACTCCGTGCGGAGGCAGCCAGGCGCACTCGCTCCTTCCCTACCGCCCCAGCCCAGTCACCTCGGCCCTTGGCCTGCCTGGCGGCCTCCGTGTCCTCAGGGCGACCCTCCCTGCGCCCGGGCTCCTTCGGGAGGCACTACGGGCTGGCTTCTCACCGCGCCTGGCCGTGCATCGTGGCTCCAGTCACAACTCGCGGCCGCCTGGGCGCACAGCCCCGCATCGCTCGGCCCACGCTCTGTCTGCCTCCGTCTAACCCCACAGTCGCTCGACTTTCTCTCCTTTTCCTTTTCCCCTTCTTTTTTTCGTTGTGGTGGCAAATCTGGGTTTCCTTTCTAGCCTCCTTCCTTTTTTTTTTTTGTTTTTCTTTTGCAGCGGGAGGAGTCGGGGAGGAGGGGGGCAGCTTGGAGAGCTTTAAAAAAAAATGTCCTGGCGCAGCGGCTACAGTAGGCCGGCGGCTGGAACGGCTCGGCGCGGACCGCCGCTGTCGCGCCCGGGCCGCGGCTTGTTGCTGGCCCTCCCCGGGCGCGTCCCTCAGTCCCTGGTCTCCTGGCCCAGTCGCCGCCCCGGTGCGTCTCTCCCCAGCTCCGGCGGCTTGGTCACTGCTCCTGGCTGTTGGCTGAGCTCTGGAAGCCCCCTCGCCTTAATGCAGCGCCCGCCGACGTCACTGCGGCCTGCGACCAATCAGCGCCTCGCGGTCCCTCTGTAAACCATTCTGCATCCCCCGGCCCGGGAGAGTGCGGGGAGACCGCGTTTAGAGGATCAGTGGCGGCGGCACCCGCGGCCCCGCGCGGCGCGGACGGCGGGCAGCACCGTGCCTGGGCCCCCTCCTGCTCCGGTAAGGCGTGGGTTTCGATGGGAGGGACAGAGAGAGAGCGGGAATAGGCGCAGGCGGAGGCCAGAGTTCTGCTGTAGAGTGGGGGTAGTCCAAGACCGAGCCTTGTGGAAGGTTGGGGTGCAGCCGGGTCCGGAATCCCAGGCGGCTCCCCTGCACTGCTGGGCTTTGCAATTCAGCGGCTGTTGCCATTGTCCCCCCGTACTTTCTTGACCTGGAAGTTTGTCCCAAGCGCAGCGCACATCTTTGGAGGGGGAGGAGGCTCTTAGCAGCAGAATCTCCCTCCTCCCGTCCCTCTTTCTGTGCCCCCTCCCCCAATCCATCCAAAGTCCACAGGGTCCGGGTCCTGGGCGAGCTGAGTGTCTGTCTCCCGCAGAGCACTCTTGCAAAGTTGATTCGGGCGGTTTCCTGATGGGGGCGGGGAGACCGGAGGCGCGGCGCCGGCGCGGGGGAAGGAGTGGACCGGGAAGCGCCTCGGGTGAGGAGTTGCAACCCTGGCGAGAAAGTTGTGAGAAAACTGTGATCCGGAGACACCTTTTACGTACAAAAACAAACGACTAGGCGGGAAACCGGGGGCTCCAGCGGCGGCTGGGGGTGGTGGTCGTGGCGTTGGGAAGAGGGAAGGAGGAGGGGGGGTGCCGGGACGCCACGAAGAGGCTGCAGTAGATGGGCGTGCAGTGCATGGGCAGCGTGTGCCGGGATTCCAGTCCTCCCCTGTCCAGGCTTCGGGTTGGCACCGGCTTCCCCAGACAACAGCAAACCACACCCTCCATAGTTCACTCCTCAGGGAACCCGTAACTCCCTAATCCCGCTCTGGCTAGGAACTCGGGACCGCCGCCCCCAGGGGCCTATTTTCCCACACGTGGGGGACAGATCCTGGTCTAGAGTGCCTTCGCCTGGAAGAGTTACTGTAGTTTTTCGGAGCACTCAAGTCAAACCCTAAATTCCGTTTCGACCACACCTGTTCTGGGTGGGCTTAACCAGGATTTCTCCTGAAGTGGAGTCTGAAGGTGGTTGGGCTGGGCGGTCCCACTTTTGCTCCCCGTTTTTGTGCTTCGGGGGAGGGGGTGCTAGGAAGGCTCATTTGGCCCGAGCATGGAAGGCAGTGATAGTGGGCGTCCCTCCGGAGCTGGCTGGTATTGTGGAATTGGCCTTTGGACCCCACTCGCGATGCGCAGACCAGACGGAAGCTGAAACGGGGGAAATGCTCGGGGAAGCGGAGTCGCAGTGAACCTGGGCTGGCAGGGAATCCCGCTGTGCAGATGGAATACCCTCTTCGGACGAACGGGGAAGCTGCTTCAGAGAATCTGGCTTGCGCTCCGTGGAACCGTGGGGTTTTAGGGCTTTGCCAACGCCCCTTTGCTGACTCCGCCCGCACCGCCCAGCAACCTCAAGGCCCACAGGCAGCCCCCCGCCTTGCCGCCGGCGTCACCATGTCATGGAAACCGAAGCCGCGGAGACCCGCAGTGCGACTCGTTGGCGTTCTGCCCTGACCCGTGGGTGCCGGGACCCTAACGCCTTCTCCACACCTTCTTGCACATACACATGTGGGCTCCCCGCTGCGGGCCGGAGGAGCGTAGGGGACTAGTCAGCTCCGGCGCGCCGCCGGCCTCCGCCGGTCGCTCCCAGACCCCGACGCGGGGCAGGGCAGAGGATGGAGAAGGCGGTTCTGCGATCTAGGGGGCGGGCTCCGCGGGCTCGGACTCGGCTTCGCGCTCCTCCTGCGGACCCGGCACTTCCCGGCGGAAGACGACCGGTACTCGGTAGGCTTCTGGCACCCCCGCAAGCGCCAAAAGCCGTGTGGCATGGGGTCCCCACTTCTTCCACCCGGACCCCCAGGCGCCTCCCAGCCTGCTGCGCTGCGTGAGGCCTGCGGGGAGGGGGCCAGTCCAGCCCTGCTGTCCTCACACTCCTCCCCTCCCCGCAGCTGTCCCGGTTCTCGCCGCCAGCGCCCTCGACCCAACCGCCCCTTTCTGGAATCTATAGTGGCCCCAGTCCCGGGTGGCTTGCCTCCGCCCCCGTCCCAGCTGGGCTCCTTCTCATGCAAAGCAGAGGGGTCACGGTGGAGTGTGGGGCGGTCAGTGGGACCTACCGGACGACAGCTGGACCTAGCTGTCGGCCCTTCCCCAACCCAGGGCCTGTCACCTCCCTCTGGTGGGCAGGAGGAGGTTGCTCCATCCATTTAGGGGTGTAAGAACCTTGGGACCTAGGTATAGGGGAAAGAAGGCCCCTCCCCACAGACGGACCAGCGAGGCAGGAGAGTTGAGGATGAGGACAGGACGCTCGCTCTAGGGCGTCAGGCTCCGCTCGTCCTGGTGTCCAGATGGCTCAGTAAACAGGTCCGCAGGAGCCAACCCTGGCGTCTCTGCAAGGGGGGCCAGGAGCGCAACTCAAAGTGCGCCTCTTGGCTCCAGATTCTAGGTTTGGAGTCCAGATTTAACTCCTCCACGGGGACAGCACATTAGACAAATGGTGGGTTTTGTTTTGTTTTCGTTTCCATTGAGCTTTTGTTTTAAAACATAATCGGTCGCAGGGACATGGAGAGAAAATTGACCAGGCTTTCTAAATTCGCCTTCTCCGAAGCCGCTCAGCTCAGCTCTGCATTTAAGCCAGTTCCGTTCAGCGAAGAGCACCAACCTTCCCTCCTCACCTTCCCGGCCACATTTATTGTCTGCATCCTCAACTACGCAAGCGTTTTCCTACCCAATGTCCTCCACAGACCCACAGCCACTTACACCGCCCAGGACCTGTACATTCTGGACCAGGGTCCGCGGGGATCATTTTCGCCCATAGCTCGGTGACTGCAGAATCCTTTCCACCCTCCTCCCAGGCACCCCCGGATACGGCCCCAGAGGGCCTAGGAGGTGACTTTCACAGTCCAGGTTTCTTTTCTTGAGAAGCTCCTTGACGATCAGCCCCAGAGGGACCCTGGTCAGAACCCGGGTTGGAGAGGGTTCTGTCAGCCCTCTCCAGCTGCCATGCAGTTTGGGGAGCCTGAAGGTGCCCCTCTCAAACTTCCACTTCCCTTCCTTCCCCCGCCCCCGCCCCCTCCAGGTTCCAGAATGACGCTCGGCCCATGGACAGAGCCTGCCCAGTCACTCTCGGCTGCTATTGATCCCGAGGATGATGGCCGCCCCTAGCCATTTCCCTCCTCTCTCTTCGGTTCCAGAACAGCCCAAGGAGCAGAAAAGAGTGACAAGGCCGTGAAAGGAGGCGCCTGGGGCGTAGCCGGCTCTAGGAGGTTACCCCATGCGGAGTACACACCCTGCTACACCCATCCCGGAGGAGGGAGGAAATAGCCAGCCCGGAGCACCCCTGGACTCTGCCGGTCCCAGAGGCCACGCAAACTCCGCCCAGACTCGGTGAGGCCGCAGTAATGCCACGCAGGGAACTGCGTGGATAAGGTCGCTCGGATCTGAGCGCCAAGGTCTCCCGCCTCTCCTTCCCGTCTAGTTCTCTCCGGACTCAAATTGCCTTAATCTCACCCATCACTCTCTCATGGAAATGATCTACTCGTGTGCAGTACTTCACAGCTTGTATCACGGTCTCCCCTGAACCGTATAGCAAGAGGGTGGTGGGGGGTGGAAGAGAAGGGTACTATCTCCACTTTCCCGGCCAGGAGGCCCAAGTTAGGAGGCTTGTCCGAGATCCCTAGGTCAGAGCACTATTTAAGGTGAGAAGTTGGGTGGGGAGCTTGGCACCTTGCTCCAGTGTGCACTTTGCGCCTGGCCATGTTTTATAAGCAAGGGGGGCTTGGGCTGGTTAAGGGGGAGCAGGGACCGCAGGGCCAGGAAAGGGCAGCATCCGGCAGGCCGGGGCGTCACGGTATGTGCCTGGCCTGGGTAAACAACTCTGGCTTCCCACGAGCGCTGGAGGGACCCTGGGCATGGGGCAGGGGCGTGGGGGAGGGGGGGCAGGGGCGTGGGGTGGGGCAGGGAGCGGGTGGAACAGCGAGGTCAAGCGTGGAGATTCCAGTTGCGAGTCAGCTCCGCACCGCGGAGCAAAGACAGGACGTGGATAATCTTGGGAGGGAGACGCTGAGCTGAAGAACAGAAAAGAGAGATAGAGGCAGAAGTGAGGAGAGAGGGACAGGAAAAGAAAATAAAGGCAGAAAACCACAGAAAAGATGAGACGGAGTGCGGAAAAGCAGGCGGGGATAAAGAAAGGAAAGATCTGTCGGGGAAATGCGGGGAGAAGTGGAGGAAAAGAAACAGAAATTAGACCCAGAGAGAGACCCTGCCACGAAGAAGGCCGCGGGGACGGGCGCGGAGCCGAGGGCCCTGCAGGCACGGAGGGGGCGTCCCGCGGGTCTGGGGGTGTGCGGCTTTGGGACAGGCGAGTGCGTGCTGAGAGAAAGAGGCAGCGTGTTTGGTGGGAGACTCTGCGCCCGTGGAAAAGCGGCTCTGGGCAGGAATCCAACAAATAAATAAAACGTCTAAGACGGCGTGACAACAATGTGTATTTGGGTGCGTGCCCGTGTTCCTCTGTCTGAACACCCAGTAAGGAAGACAAACGGGGCTCGTGCCTCACAGTAATTAATCCTCTCACTAATTGACTCTCTCCCCTTACCTAATGGCGGCGGTCACTGCCGATATCTGGAGAGACATCAAGTTGGGGGAGACAGAGAGAGAGAACCCCAAAGCTAACGACCTTTGGGACTGAGATTGAGTTTTTTCTGGACTTGGCAGCTCTAAGCCCTGCCCCCACCTCCACTTTTGGGCAGAGTTCCATAGATATTGCTGCCTTCCTTCCCCCTCCAGGTTTTGGGCAGCATTAATAAAGATCTCCTCAGATTAGGGTGATGTGGTTACACACACTGAAGCCCTTCTACCGCCCTCCACCTTGGGAGATCAGTTTCAGAGGCTGAAAGCCACCCCTGTCCCTGGGACATTTCTTACCTCCCTGCAATACCAGCTCCCCCTCCCATGTTGTTCCCCCAGGGGCCCAGACCCTGCACCCTCTTCTTTCAGGCAGTACTAACTCTTCCAAGGACCTGGGCGGTGTCCCGCAGTCCCCTAAGGCAGGTGAGGTTTTGAACGGGCTGAGAAGCAGTCTGGGGTTGATGGAAGGAGAGTGGTGGGAGGTCAGGGCAAGGATGGGGAGAGGCTTCCAGAGACAACCTTCCTCAGACTTGGGTTGAGAGACACAGAGGCGCAGAGAGGCGCAGTTGCCACCAGGCAAGAGAGAGGCCTCTAGGGACAAAGGAGGGAAAGGTGGGCTCTATGCACTGTGGGAAGGAGCGCCAAGTGTGTGAGAGGCAGGAAGGTGGTCATGTCTCTGTGACTGTGAGGGTGACAGTTCTGGTCTCTCTGTGTGAGCATGGGGAAGCCCCCTATGTTCCCTCACAGCACCCTCAGTTCTTAGACTGGGGAGAAGAGGCAGGGGACTGGTCTGGGACTTGATGGTCCCCTTGGTAGCTGAGTTGGCTGGAAGGGGTCCAACGCCCACAGTCTGTCTGGTAATGCAGCTTTGAGGCTTAGGTTTGGGAGGTGAATGTCAACTCTCACCCCTGTGAGGTGGCAGCTTTGCTCTGTTGGCCTCCTCAGAGGCTAAATAAAGAAATGCTGAGATCTATAAACCACCCAGCCCAGAGAGAAAAAGGAGGGAGGAAGGGCAGCTCCCTAGAAAAAAATCCACCCCCTCCCCACCACTAAACACATTTTTAATTGTCCCTTGGGAACATTTGTACATTTGACCAAAGCAAATCTCAAAGCAGCAGCAGCAAAATGAGTCAGAGGGGCTGGTGGTCCAGAGAGAGCTGGGGATCGGAGATGGGGAGGTGAGGAGAGGTGGCAGGCATGTTTGGGAAGGTGAGAAACTTGGTTCCTTTCCCACCATCTCTGTCAAGCTATAGAAAGAAAGTGAGCAGGAGAAATAAAGTTCCAGGGGAAAGAAAGAGAAGGGCATATAAAAGGCAAATCCAACCCAGAAAGGAAAGAAAGTGAAGAAGAAAGAAAAAGGCAGGGAGGGGGGAGAGACTATAATAAAAGAGGGTGAAGGCGGCCCCAGGAGGCTGGGCCTCGTCCCAAACCATCCGTCTTCATTGTCTCCGTGTGTGCAAAGGCAACTCTGGCATAAGGAAAACCCACTATTGGAGCCGAGGCTTTATTTTATATCCTATACATCAGGAGGGAGGCAAAGCTTTATTTTCGCCAAGAGACAGATATTTTATTTCTCTCTTACGGTTTTATGTGTGAGAGATGTCAGGTTGCCACAATGGATGGCTAATGCATAGGCAAGAGGAAGCCGTGTTGGCATGCTGTGTGTCATGGGGTCTTGTGGGGGTGAGCGGGCCTGGGATTTAGGGCTGATGGGACACTCTGGGGGATTTCTGCTAAAACATCTCTCTTCATAAATCCAGAAGCATGGTCAGCTCAACAGGGAGAAGAAGGAGTTTTAGAGGGGAAAGAGTTGGGCTTAGTAATAAACGAACACACAAAGGAACCGCTTACCTTCCAACAGCCTCGGGCAACAGGGGCACGACAGCCCCATGGAAATGCAGACACCCATGTCCACGCACACAAGCGCCATTCACAGGGAAGTATTTTCCTGACACAAAATCCAATGTCAGTTTCCTTTCCTTTCCCCGTTTTATATTTTTCCACCCCCCTTCACCAGAAATCTTTTTTAACCTCCTCAGAGCCTTGGGGGAAAAGAGCCATTAATTTGCAAATCATCTGATCTGTGAAAGGATCAAGATGCCTGGTTTTCACTGCTAAATCCAACGTCTTGAGTGGACACAGAGGCACACACAAGCCCGTCATGCTGCCAACCCTTGGGAGCATAGGTGCCAGATCTGAAGCCAAGAAAAGACTCCCTCTCCTCCCGGGACCTGCAGCTGAATTAAGCCTTAGATTCCAAACTGCATAATGTTCATATTTTTAAACCTGGAGAGAAGTGGAGAGATGAAGGGGGACAAAAAGAGGGGGAACTTTGTTAATTAACGTGTTCCATTCAGGACTTAGACTAATTGTCTTCCCCACTTCCAGCCGCCCCCCAACCCAAGCCATTTCTTACAGGAGTTGCTTTTATTCATTCTCATGTTCTACTTTTCTCATTTTTGGATTAATATCTACTTGTTTAATATCTACTGTGGCGCAAAAACGTGACCACGCTCTTTCTTTTCAGAGGGTTGGAAGCAGCACAGGATTCCTAGACAAGGAGCTTGGAGACTTGGCTACACTGTCCCTGGCCATTAGGGAAGACGTTTAGCCTTTCCGGGCCTCAGTTTTCTCATCTGTAACATGAGGGGATTCGGCTAAATGATTACTGAGGTCCCTTCCAGCTCCGACCTCCTCTGGCCGAATGAGATAATGTGTGAAAACACTTTGTGAACACTAACACCGGACAGATGCCAGGGATCATTATTGCAATTCTAATCAATCCTCTTTTCTCCACATGGATCTTGGCTGTTTAGTGCCAGCAAGCAGGCTAAAGGGGGCTGAAAGCAAGAAAGCTTAGCGGACATGGAAAAGCTCTGTGCAGTGGGAGGGAAAAAAAAAACCCTGCATCTCCAGAAACATTGTGTCTCTGTGTGCCCCCTGAGGCCTAGTGGGAAGGGTTGGGGAGGAGGAGGCCTGACTTGGTATGACCCATTTTGGTCTACATGGCGGCAGAGAGTGTATTTCTTCAAAAGCATTGTTGGTCTCCAAGTGACTGACATGGGAACCTGATGGGAAGGCGATTTGCAATTGTTTTTTTCCAGGAAGAAAGAAAGAGCAAGGTGTAGCTGATTAGCAAGTTAATTATTTCAGTACCCCAAGGGTTCCAGTGTGGTGGTAAGTTGTCCAGCCCTGGTGTAATTTCACAGTCTGTGCATTTCCTGGTGAGCACCTGGGGTGCCCGAGTCTGTCTCTTTCTCTTTCCACCTGCCTTGTGTCTTCCTGACACACCTGGGGAGATGAGCAGGGGCTGGGGAGGTTGATGGTACAAGGTACACATTCGGCTTAGGCTGCGGGTGGGGGCCACACCAAGAACAGGGTGGAGGAAGCCCAACTGATGCCATCTACCTCCGCTGAGTGTTTAATTATCTGGCCCTTTCTTCTTTAAAAAATAATCTTTTGTTTAATAAATATTAATGAGGCGGGTTATCGGAAAGTGTAGTTGCCATGAGGTTATTTCCCCAGCCTTAGCATGGAAAGAAACTGGGTTTGAGGAGCCTTTCGGCCCCTCACCGCCTTCTACCCCCACCAGCTCTCCCGTGCTCACGTTCCGCAGCAGCTCTTCCGGTCTCACTTCAAGATTTGATTTCCCCTTGGGGGAGGGTAGGGGAGGGAGGATCATGTGGTCAAATGGACACTTCCCCTCGGAGAGATAAGTTGGAGATGTGAACATTAGCCTCAAGAATTAACAGCTTCTGCCGCTCTCTGCTCTCGGGGCTGAGAGGGCCAGCCCCCCCGCTGCTCCTTCCGCGATGGATGAAGGGAGGGCTCTACAGTTTACTTAAGAGTGGTCCCATCTGCTCAGACTGGCCTTTCATAAGGGGAGGGATTTATGCAGTGTCCTTGTGCACAGACCTGGGATTTGGCTGAAAACCTTGGGCCTCTGAGAATATTACTGAACGCTAAAACGTTCAGCCATGGAGATGATTCATGATTTTGTCTGCATGGACAGTGTGTGTGTGTGTGTGTGTGTGTGTGTGTGTGTGCGCGCGCGCGCGCGTGTGTGTTTGTTGGGGTTGCACGCACAGTGATGATGGGTGCCACTCACCGTTCTCACTTTGAATCCAAATGTTAGGAAACTTTTTTTCCTTCTGTATTCACTCAGGAGACAGGCCCTGGCACCAGGCTCTGGAGACCCCACTTCCTGACTCCAGCGGTGCGAAGATGATACAATACTTTCTGGTGCTGACATTCAGCTGTCTCCCAAACAGGTTGGCTGATAGCCCTGCCCGTCCTTGAAGAGGGGCCGGGGGCTGTCTAAAAAGACAGTTCTGATGACTGCTTCGTTGGTAGTGGCAGAGGATTTGGGGCACAGGGGTGGAGTTAAGTCCAATTGCTGTTTAAATTGGACTTGGCCTCCTTTATTTTACAGTCCTAAGGGGTCTCCATAGGAGAAAAAGTAGCGAGAGAAACTTAGAACACAGGAAAGCAAGCATAGGGAAGAGTTTCTTGTCTCAATCTTGGTACTGCCGTGCCAAAATGAAGCCCAGGGATGGTTAAAAACGGATCCTAGGGACCGGGCACCTTGGCTCAGGCCTGTAATCCCAGCACTTTGGGAGATCAAGATGGGAGGATTGCTTGAGGCTAGGAGTTCGAGACCAGCCTGGCCAACATAGTGAGACCTCATCTCCAAAAATAAAAACTTAAAAAAAAATTTAAAAAACAAAAACAAAAATACAGATCCTAGGGAACAGAGTTTTGAGGTTCCCTGTGGGATCTTGGCCTGACTCTTGGGAGATGAAGAAGTCCTTGGCAAGTTTGAAAAGATCTACAAGTGCCATCTATTCAGGGGACTAAATGTGATTTCTTTTCACTGCCCAGTGGCTGGTAAGGAAGGAAGCATTTTGCATTTTCAGCTTGTAGGATGGTTATTGGTGGTCCTACCATCTTGCTCATGTTCAAGTTTGGTCGTGTAGATGAAGAGCCCAGCTTCCCAGCTCTTAGTTTTTCTTTTCCCTCAGGCCATTCATAATTTAGCTAACATTCTAGTCCATTGACCAGCATGCATTTTGAAAGGTGAGCTGGCAAGCCTGTAACTGTGTGCAAGGTTGTTCTCATTTAGGCTCCAGGAAGGATATAGTTTCCCCATAAGAAAGAAAAGTGGGCGAGAGGCTGAGGTGGGAGGTCACTTGAGTCCAGGAGGCAAAGATTGCAGTGAGCTGAGAACCATGCCACTCACTGCCTTCCAGCTTGGGTGACAGAGTGAGACCCCATCTCGAAAAAAAAAAAAAAAAAAAAGAAAAAAAAGAAAAAGAAAGAAAGAAAGAAATAAAAGCAAGGAACTATTTATATTAATCTTTTAATGAAGGATTTACCAATCTGATAAGTACGAAGCTCCTTTTCCTCCTTCTGAATGAGTAACTATGTCAGTCAATGTTGAGGGTCTGCAGAACCTATACAAAAATGCTTTCTTTGGTCTCTCAGTTTTAACACATGCTGGGGCTTGGGCCTGCCTCTGACAGACTGGGGAGGAGTAGACACATTCCAGAGACCAGGTCTTGGAGTGTTATCTCTTCCCCCACCTCAAATCCTCACCCTCCACTTTATCTGTCTTTAGCACGAATGCAGAGACCTCCTAGGGAAGTGTGAAGGGATGGGTTTTCGTCAGGTTTAGGGAAGGAAGGGGAATAAGATGAGCCCCAAAGAAAGATGGGGGTCATTTGGAATTTTTAGATGACACTCTTTTGTTATACTTTTCTTGTATTGTGTATTATGTCCTACAAATCGTGCATTTGTTACAGTAAGCCACAGTGTGTATGTGTGTTTGCCAAGTGCTGCTTGGCCAAAACAGTGTTAAATAAAATTGTAAGAAATGCTACCAGGGCCTTGCATGGGTTATTTAATTCTATCAATGATAAACAACGTTAATGTGTAGCATCTCAGTTGGCACAGTATCATGTTTCATTTATATATGCTGAGATATATTTAAGCATGAAAGATACAGTTTTCCAACATATATGTTTCCCAGTGATTACTTAGGGGAAGTGTGATAGAAACAGCAGAAACCTTTCTCTCTCACATAAACCTGCATCCTGCAAACACAGACTGCCAGTCACACTTAGTCACATGGCCAGCCAGCCATGTACATATTTTCGTATATATGCCTTCACAGGTAAGTGTAAATGTAGATTTTAGAAATGTAGATTCAGATTTCTGTACTGGTACACGATTCTAGATACATGTAGCAGCACACACAGGCCGCTTTTCAAAGTCTTTGTTACATTTACACATTTTCTCACACACTTACCTACCCTCCTGCATAGACGGATGCTAACAGCAACATGCGTCTCACCCCACATGTGGATATGTATGTGTACACATGTTGGTACTCTCACTGCCAAGTGCTGATGTTCCCAGAAGGATGTGTGCCCACATGCAGGAGACTGTTCTGCCCAGTCTCCTCCTGAAATGTACATTTGTGTGCATGTGCACATTTGCACACACACATGCACACTCCTCCACCCCTGCTCTGGGGAGTACACTAACATTCACTGACACGCTCCGTATGGCCATGGAGCAGCAGCTGCTCTGTTACTCTTGGAGGCTCCAGACGTGGTGGACAGTTTTTTTTACCTGGGAACTGTGTGTTTGCCCTGTGAACCCTGAGGCCTTCAGGATGGGAAGCCTGGAGGATCAGGGTCAAGATGCCAGCCTGTCTAGCCTCTGATGAAAATAATATGAAAACGTAGGAGTGGGAGAGGGGGTGGGGTAGCTGGTCTCTGCAGACAGATGCCTCCAAAAGAGGATCAACCTTTTATTTGCTCATTTGACAAACATGTCAGAGAGGTATATAGGAGTCAGGATGCCTGATTAGCTTCTCTGATCCTGATTCTGCTGCCAGTTAGCTGTGTGGATCTAGGCAACCTGCTCTCTAGGCCTCAGTTTGCACATCTGTAAAGAACGGGCCTGGGGCTGGATGTGGTGGCTTATGTCTGTAATCCAAGCACTTTGGGAGGCCAAGGCGGGTGGATCACCTGAGGTCAGGAGTTTGAAAGCAGCCTGGCCAACATGGCGAAACCCCGTCTCTACTAAAAATACAAAAATTGGCCAGGTTTGGTGGTGGGCACCTGTAATCCCAGCTACTCGGGAGGCTGAGGCAGGAGAATTGCTTGAACTCGGAGGGTGGAGTTTGCAGTGAGCCAAGATCGCGCCACTTCACTCTGTCTCAAAAAAAAAAAAAAAAAAAAAAAAAAAAGAATGGGCCTGGATGGGCAGTTCTCAACCTTGGATGCACAGAGGAATCATCTGGGGAGCTTTCAAAAAATACAGATGTCTGGGCTCCACCCCAGACCAGTTAGATTAGCATCTCTGGGAGGTGAGTTCCTTGCATCTTTTTTTTTTTTTAAAGCTCCCCAGGTTATTCTATGTTCAACCAAGGTTGAGACCCAGTGGCTGAGATGGTCTCCAAGGCTCTTCTAGACCAAAAGCTCTATGACATGGAGGACTTTCCATACAAAAAGCACTGTGCTGGGTACCAGGGCACCCTGATGAAACATCTACATTTACTTGTATAAGGTCATTAAAAGTTATTAAAAATTATTCTTCTTTCAGTTTAGGCAAAGAATAATTTCAAACAAAGTATATTTATCCTGGAAACACTCACACTTGCATTTCCAGCTCTCTTTCTGTTTCTTTGTTTCCTTTCCAATTTATCTCTCTCTGACTCACTCATCGAACACTAATTATATGCCACATATACAAATACTATTCGTGGGGATCTGATAAATGTGATAGATACCTTTGCTACCCACACATATTTCCTGGCTAGCTCCTCACCCAACCTGTTGGATAGCATAATATTTTTAGCAGGGTAAATGATAAGGCACAGGCTCCAGGAGGAAAGTTTTCTCCCCCCACCCCCCAAGCCCAGCTGTGAGTCAGAGAACACCAGCCCCCAGGCCCGTGCCCCAGTTCTGGAGGCTGGCATGGTGCTGAAGAACGCATTGAGCTGTGTGTCCTAGAAAGCTGCTCTCAGACCTGGGCCTTTGGGAATCCCACATTAATATTCTCCACTAACAGTTCCCCAGGCAGGGCCAGTCCCCCTTGAAAACAAACCTGCTCCGTGACCATACCTGCCAGAGAAGACTGCCTCTCATCCACAGTAGCGTGCAGAAGGCAAAACTGAGACAACACAGCCTGAGCTGCCGCCTGCGGGCCGCTTCTCTGTTGGAGGATGTTTAGGAGAGTATGGGGGAGGGCTTCTGCCTCTCATCTGTGGTGGGATGGAGGAGAGGGTTTTCATTCTGTATGGAGGGCCTCCACTTTTCCCTCTGTGTAATCACTCACTCAGGCCTCCGAGAGAAACTCAGACGGGAGCCTGCTTCTCTCTTTCCCTCTCTCCCTTTAGCTACACTGGCCTGCAGAGTTTTGGATGAGTTTTCTTTAGGAAAGTTGTCCCAGCGTGGCCATGGTGGCGGCTCTTCTGTCCAGGTGAGTGCCAGAGTAGGGATCAAGGCTGAGACCCTTGGGTTTGGTCTCTAACCCTCTCATTCACTCCTGTTTGCTGCCTGTGTCTTTGTTTATCTCTGTATTTTCCCCCCTCTCTTTCATTTTGTCTTCTCCCCTGATGACATATGGATCAAGTCCTGGCCACCAAGGTGGCCTTGAACATAGCGTAGGAGAGGTTGCTGGGCACAGCGGACCTCTCATGCCATGCCCAGTCCCTCTTCTCCCCTCCCCTCTCCTCTTGCATAGAGGATGAGTTTGGTGCTGAGGAGGGAGAGGCAGCAGGGGATCCTCAGACTCTAAACTCTGATCCAGGGCCCAGCTTCTCAGGCTTGAGTCCCTTCCCAGGGCCTACCTCCCCTTGGGCCTGGGGAACGTCACACCCCAGGAAGTGATGGATTCCCCAGGCACCTTCAAAGAGCTCTGCATTTGTTTGCAATGCAGACCTTGAATCTTGCTCTGGTCATAAATGTTGTTTATTTTGACTAGGACCTACTGAAAGGGGCTGAGAGGTATAGAAGGCAAAGAGAGAATTCTGTAGGGAAGATCATAAAACCATTAGCAAGGCAGGGCTTCTAGGGGTCACAGGATCACAGACATTTTCTGGTTGGAAGGAGCATAGGCCATCAGGAAGGTCAGAGATGACCACTTTGTCAGCAAAAGGCCTTCAGGGGCCACACAGGGCTAGGGTGGGGGTCTTTGGTCCTCTTGTGTGCGGACTGTTTCTAGAAAGTGGACCTAAGGTATGGGGTCATGACCCCCCAGTAACCTTATGCCAGGCTGGGGAGGCCAATCTTGCTGAATCTGATGGATTTGCCCTCCTGGTGGGAAGAACCAGTTGCTTGGCTGTGTAGCAGAGCCTGCTATCCTAGGGAGTGGGCACAGCTCCTGGGTGGAAGATTCTGCTTCCAGCAGCTCCTGGGGAAAAGACTTTGCTTCCACTATTATTGAGGGAGCAGCTGTATGTGCCAGGGGCTGTGCCTGATGCTCTTCTAGTACCTTGTCTTATTCACCCTTCAAGACAATGCTTGAAAGAGAAGTTTTCATCTCCATTTTGCAGATAAGAAAACTGAAGCTCAGAGAGGAGAGGTGGTTTGTCCAAGGTCACACAGCAAGTTAGTGATAAGGCTGGGAGTAGGCTTTAAGACTTGGGACTCTTTCAACCTAATCTTCTCCACATCTCTCCTCTTCTTCACCATCCACTGTGGTCTGGTCTTCTGCAGCCTGAGAGAACAAATGGGAGTAGGGTTCCCCTCCCTCTAAAGCATATATTGGGCTGACAAAAAACTCAGGAACAAACTTCCTTCTTTTTTATTTTTTTGAGACAAGGTCTTGCTCTGTCACCCAGGCTAGAGTGCAGTGGCATTATCATGGCTCCAACTCATGGGCCCAACCTATCCTCCCACCTCAGCCTCCCAGGTAGCTGGGACCACAGGAACATGCCACCACACCTGGCTAATTTTTAAATTTTTTATAGAGATGTCTCCCTATGTTACCCAGGCTGGTCTTGAACTCCTGGGGTCAATCAATCCTCCTGCCTTAGACTCTCAAAGTGCTCGGATTACAGGTGTGAGCCACCGTGCCCAGACTGCAAACTTCCTTCTTGTAGGGGGAACAGCAGAGCCTTGGGCCCCTTCCAGTCCCTGGCACAGACCTGGCTCACTCTTCAGAGAACATTCTCCCATAAATCCAGTCCACAGTCAGGTAGCTATCCTGGTTGCCTTTCACTCATGGTGTGACTCAGAGCAAGTCACTTCACCATTCTGAGTCACACCTTCCAGATCCACCTCCAGACCTGGGGGCTCTGTGGAAGGTGAGGCTTGGCGGAAGTGGTGGCAAGCGGAGCCCTCTTGAGCTCCTGTTTGGTGTAATAGCTCAGGGCTGGGCAGGAGGAGATGAGACTTGGTTTTGCCCCTAAACCTAACTCAAGTTACATAAAGATTCTTCAAAAAGCAGGCAAGGCAGGGCTTGGTAAGATCCCTGCTGAGCCCGTGAGAGGCGGAGAGCCAGGGCAGAGGCAGCTTAAGTAGCAGTTCTTCCCTGATCCCCTGACTGTGTAATCCAGTTGCTCAGAGAATGGAAAATCCCTTTCGCCTCCCCTGGTCTCCTCCCCCACAAAGGCCTCCTAATAGGCCTGCCAGCTTTGGGGTGCTAATCTGCCCAGACATCACTCTGTGAGCAGGTTGCCCAGGGTTCCAATCCCAGCCGCCCCACAGTGGGAGATGGGGAAGGCTGGGCGGGGAGTGGTTCTGGGGAGTTGAGTGTGGGGGATTGCCTGCTCTCTGGCCTGCCCAGAAGATCAGAGAAACAAACAGGCTCTGTGCTGAAAGAAACTTTGGGGATGGAGACAGGGCACAGGATTGGAGGGAGGTGGGCAGCAGGGCTGGGTCCCCTGGCAGAGGTGCCTTGGGCGGGGCTTATTATGAAACAGTCCCTGTCACTTCATCCGCCAAGCTCCTTTCATTTTTATTTAAAAAGGGCCCCCTCTCCAGCAACTTCACCTCCCCACCCCCTACACTTTCACTCATCCATCCACTGAGCCGCTGACAGCTGCCCTGCGGGTGAACTCCTGATCCTCCTGCGGCTGGGGCTGGAGCAATACTGGAGGGGCTCAGGCCAGATCACTGCCCCCCTCCAGCCCTCCACCCTCACCTCCCAACACACTTACTCACTCACTCCAGATAGGCCCACCTCCGGTCCCCTGAGTCAGCCAGAGAGAGAAGAAAACGAAGGAGGTGACAAAGCAGAAAAAAGGACCGGGAGGAGGATGAAAAGAAATAAAGAGTGGAGAAGAGGAAGAAAAAATCAGAGGGCTAAAAATCAAACAGTGAAGGAGGAAAAGGGAGGAACTGGAGAAGGAAGGAAAGAGAGGAGGAAATGAAGTACAAGGAGAAGATGGAAAAGCAAGAGGAGAAAGGAAAGAAGGAAGGAGGGAGAGAGAGAGAGGGCAGAGGCTGGAAGGCTGGAGCCCAAGCCCAAGCTATCATTCTTAATAGCTGAAGATGCTGAAGGGAGGGGAAAAAACAGGGTTGGGGAGGACTGGCGGGAGGAGGAGACCGCACAGGCAGGAAGGGAAGTACGAGGTTGCTCCAGGTACGAAGCATGAGCCTGGATGGAGCCTCACCCACCCAGCTCCCAGCTCTGGAAACACAGCCCTCCCCCTGGACGAAGGTCCCTCGGTGCAATGCCGCAGACTGTGTCCACGGCCATGCAGGCTGCAGACAGAGGAATCTCTCACTTGGGGTGGTCAGAGTTGTGGGACCGGTTGGATGGAGCCCTACACTCTCTTCCTAGGATGGCAACAGCGTCCGCCCCAGGCTGCATGACCATGCCAGTTTCAGCTGGCTTCACCGCCTGCAGCGTCTGGGTCCTGCCTGCTCCCTTTGGTTACAGTTAGAAATTTCTCCTGATTTGAGATTTTATCTTACAATGGACTGGGCCTTAAAGACCAAGTACTTTCCACCTCCTCATTTTATAGATGCGAAACAGGCCTGGAGAGGGGAAGAAACTTGTTTACAGTCACATTGTGAGTTAATGGGGAGCTCTGCCTTTCTAAGCTCAAAGACCAAGGCTGAGACAATAGCCAGAGAGGACAAGGGAGTGTGGTGTCTCTGCAGAGGGCTCAGCATTTGATTCCCTCTGCTGGGAACACGGCCACAGCATTTTATATCCTAGATGAGAGAAAACATTTGTGGCTACGGTAGTTCCCGTATTTTAAGTACCTACGATACACCAGCTTTGGCATACATTATTCTCAATAACTCCTCATACATATCCTGTCATGTAGATATTCCATGTCCTGCATTTACAGAGAAATAAACCAAGGCCCAGAGAGGTTGAGTAACTTGTCTGAGGTCACACAGCTAGGAATTTGAGCCGGGATTTGCTCAAAGCTCATGCTGAATCTCTTATGCCATGCTGTCTCTTGGGTGTCCATAGCCAACACTCTTCTTCCCTACCTCATTCCTACCCCACCACCCCATACATAGCCCAGGGATTAAATCTGAGACGTCCTCATGGCAGCTGGAACTGATATTGCCAGGGAGAACGCAGCTGGGTGGACCTGACCATGTCTCCTCATCTCCCCTCAAAGACCCCACAAAGACAAGGGGAAGGTCCCCTGAGACTCTGTATGATTTATCTGATGATATTGTTATTTTATGGGACGGGCCAAAGAGGTGTCAGGAAGCAAGTTCGCTGTAAATCTCTTTTCTCTGCTCCCTTTCCCTCTGCCCGTCCCCTCCTGGGATTTATGGTGAAATCTGTTCAGAGCTAGGGACTTGGGGCTTTGGGTTCAGGCTTGGGGTGGTACGGCAAGGGACCATACATCTTCCTTCTCTGGGATCTGCTAAAAGTGTGCTACCCACACCCCATCACGAGCTGCAGCATTGAGTCCACAAAGCCCTTATTAAGATCCCATGGCACTCGAATAGCTCTGCAGACAGAACACATGACTTGCAGTGGAGATGTGTTATCTGGACCCACCCATAGGCTGGTGGCCCATGTGTGGCCCCCTCACTGGTGGGCATGAGTTTCTGAATCCAGCCAGGAACCCGGGAGCAGAGCCCACCTGGGAGCAGATGTGTGACCCCCACACAATAGCTCTGAGGCCAGGAAGAAGTGGCGGGGCTGGGGATGCTCCTCATGGAGTGGCAGGTCAGGGGCTAGCTGGAAAGGAACCTGCTTCTGGGTCCTTTTTGAGATGGGGGTGCACAGGAAGGAAGGCAGCTTGAAATTTGCTCCCTGCCCCAGGGCAGGCAGTCTCAAAGCGACTGGCCCTGCAAACACTGCTGTGAGCTCTGTCACTGGGGGTGAACACAAGGTCACACACTTGAGAGGGCAGATGAAGGCTGGGCACCCTATCCACCTTCACACTTCTGCCCTCCTCGGGGGCTTTCACATCTGCAAATGCTGGGCTGATTGTCCTGAGCTGAGCTTGTCCAGTCAGAGGCCAGTATGTGCTGGTTGCCGCCAGAGGCCTAGAGACAGCTCAGTCCAGGGAGGGAAGAGACAGGAATGAGAGGAGGGCAGAGGAGGGGAAGAGGAGGGAAAGGAGGAGTTAAGAAGGGGAGGGGAGGAGCAGGAAGAGGAAAGGAGGAGATGCTAGCAAAAGCCTTTCCTGACCTGCCCCCCACCCACACCTCTCCTCCACTGTGATGAGAAATCTTCTCTCATCACAGCTCCTTAGAGGGTGCTAGTGTGGCCTCCCACCCACGGTGGCCTCCAGTATTCATGAGCCAGTTGTTGCAGAGGAATTTCTTCAAACAGCCCACGGCCTCTGGATAATGCGTCTTGAGCACCCATGACTCCCCACAGTCCCAAGTCCAGTGTGCAGAATCTTAGGGAGGGCTGGGTGAATCCTGGCTAAATGAATACAGAGAAAAGAAAAGGGGAGAAAAGAAGAGAGTGGATACCAGCTGTCTCCCCCATCCCGTCCTCACCCTGCTCATCTCCTGACTGCCTGAACCAGGGCTGTGCTGTGTCTCCAGTTAAATATATGGAATTATCTATTACAATACTTCGATATTTATTACATTGATTTCGCTTTAAATGCTTTGTAAATCATAGCAAAAAATAATGGCCTTCTAACAGAGAGTCATATACCGTAATCAACTGGAAGAAAGTCAGCATTGTAATTTAAAATAAAAAAAAATCCTTATGTGAGTCTCTCGTTTAAATTAAGAGACAGGACGTGATTCAAATAATAAGGCCCAAGTGAGGCTGGTTTTTCTTGGCAAATTAGTAGAGGTTTTAACTGGAACTGAAAAGGTGTTAAGGTGGAACACTGACCTTATTAGACCTTAATTATTTTCTGTTGTTACGTTCCTGGAGCCGAGGGTTTTTTTTTTTTCTTCCAAAGTGGCCATGTTAAACCTCATCTCAGGAACTTTGGCTTTAGAGGGATATCACTTCTCAAGAGGCATTAGTGGGATAAAAAGCAGACACTTTGCCAGTGTCCCTTTTCTCCACCCTTGAGTTTCATGGGCACCCATAATTGCTGGTTTGGAGGCAATGTTCTTGTCATTGAAAGCTGAGAATTTGCCCCACTCATGTCCCTGATTCCTTTAGCTTTTTACCTGTGGCCTTCCTAGTGGTAGCCTCCTCTCCCTGGATCTAGCTTCAGCCCAGGCTGATGGAGCCAGCATCCACCTGGCCAAGAGAGAGGAGAGGGATGCGTGTGTGTGTGTGTGCGTGCATGTGTGTGTGTGTGTGCGCATGTGCATGTGTGTGCTGATTGGTGGGACACAGTGGGCAGCATTTTCCTCACCATGTACTGCAACCTTCCTATTCCATGGCCAGAATTGGCTGATCATCAGTCCCAAAGCTGACCAGGCCGAGACCAAGATGCCCACAGCACTTAGAGATAAAAAATGGAGCAAATGCCACCCCCTTTAAATGGAAATCATGCAAGTCAATGGCCTAGCACTGTACCTGGCCCAGGGAGGCCTCCAACCGTAGTAGTTTTATTTTTGCTGGGAGGAAGAGCACTCAGGAGAGCGTTCTTTTCACTTGCTTCCAGACTCCCTCCCACATGCCCTGCTGGCCCTGGGGTGGGGTGCAGCGGTAGGGAAGAAAGAGCGAGCCCTAAGAGTCCTCAGGACAGACATCTATTCTGCAGCCACATGCCCCTCCCTGAAGATAACCCACTTGAGCTCTTTTTACTAAACACCATTGGCTCCCGTCCTCCCCCTGGCCTCCAAATCGACTTTGGTCTGATCAGGGTGATGGAGAACTTTTTCTGAGGCTGGGTCTCTTGGGGACCATGTCTGGTGGTTCATCACTATCCCAGGGAAGGTCGGGGTGGGGGTGGAAGATGACGTCGAATCAGTGAGAAAGGTCTGAGGGTGAGCAGGACCCGTTAGGCCATCACAGGTGGGACAGCTCCCCCAAGGAGGAGGAAAACCAAGGCTTTCTATGGTTGCCTATCAGCGGAGAAGTGGGGCCAGCACTCTGCAGAGGACCTCCAAAATCCTAGAACATCAGGTCGAAAAGGTTTTAGGGCCATCTCAGCATACCCCCTTGCTTTGTGGAAGAGGATGCTGAGGCAATCTGAAATGATCAAACACCCTGCGTGAGTATCCAAGAGTGGGGGCAGTGTTGAGATGGCAAAGGAGGGGACGCAAGAGCTATGGGTGCTGTGGCCTCTGACCTGGAGGCAATCTTGCTCCAGCTGAAGGGGCCCTGGTGCCTCAACATGCAAGACCCACCTTCAGTTTTGGCATAAGTGGGTGAATCCCTGCTTCTGGCCAGTTGGGGTGACCCTTTCTGGATCCCAGTGACATCTCTCATCACTCAGAAAGGCCACATGGATGAAGGAGGGCATGCTGGGAGGAGTCAGATGTCTGGGCTTCAGCCCTGCATGATGCAGGGAGCACTCCCCCTTTCTTTTTTCATTATTATTATTGTTTATTATACTTTAAGTTCTGGGATACATGTGCAGACTGTGCAGCTTTGTTACATAGGTATACACGTGCCATTGTGGTTTGCTGCACCCATCAACCCATCATCTACATTAGGTATTTCTCCTAATGCTATCCCTCCCCTGGCCTCCTACCCCCCGACAGGCCCTGGTGTGTGTTGTTCCCCTCCCTGTGTTCATCTGTTCTCATTGTTCAACTCCCACTTATGAGTGAGAACACGCGGTGTTTGGTTTCCTGTTCCTGTGTGAGTTTGCTGAGAATGATGGTTTCCAGCTTCATCCAAGTCCCTGCAAACAACATGAACTCATTTTTTTTATGGCTGTGTAGTATTCCATGGTGTATATGTGCCACATTTTCTTTATCCAGTCTATCATTGATGGGCATTTGGGTTGGTTCCAAGTCTTTGCTATTGTGAACAGGGCTGCAATAAACATACGTGTGCATGTGTCTTTATAGTAGAAACACTCCCCCTTTCTAAACCAGGTTCCTCCTGGACCCACTTTCCTAACCCAGCGTGTGGCTGATGAGAATTTGCTGGGAGGCTAGTCACACAATAGCTTTGTAGACTGTGAAGTGCCGCGCAGGTAGGAGGGACTGTCGTGGCCAGCCCGGATAGCCAACCCAGACGTCGAGAGGAGGACTTAATCAGACATTCATTTGCCAGCCCAGAGTGATCTTCTGGCTTTTACCTCCCTCTTTTCTTTTCTTTTCTTTTTTTCTGTTAATAGTTTTTTATTTATTTTATTTATTTGTTTTTTATTATTATACTTTAAGTTCTAGGGTACATGTGCACAATGTGCAGGTTTGTTACATATGTATACATGTGCCTTGTCGGTTTGCCGCACCCTTGCCTCCCTCTTTTCTACCTTCCTTGTGGCTTAACTCCAAACTCTGCCCCACCAGGGAATGGGACAAGGGAAGGAGCTTAATCCTCCCCATAATATGCCTCTGAGATAGGTATCAGCATACCCATGTTACAGATAAATAAACCGAGGCCAAGAGAGATTAAATAACCCTACCCTACAGCTGCTGAGAGGCAGCACTGGGATATGAACCCAAGTCACTCTGACTCTAGATACATCCGAATCCCAAGGTGGGAGGTAATAGTACACGGTGGAATGTGAGCTACACAAGGGCCAGGATTCATAGACGATTTGTTCACTCCTGTATCCCCAGCCCCTGAAGCAGCACCTGACACTGTCAACAGTCAATATTTTAAAATAATACATATTGGCTAGGTGCGGTGGCTCACACTTGTAATCCCAGCAATTTGGGAGGCCGAGGTGGGCGGATCACCTGAGGTCAAGAGTTCAAGACCAGCCTGGCCAATATGGTGAAACCCTGTCTCTACTAAAAATACAAAAGCTTAGCCAGGCATGGTGGCGGGCACCTGAAATCCTAGCTACTTGGGAGACTGAGGCAGGAGAATCGCTTGAACCTGGGAGGGAGAGGTTGTAGTGAGCCGAGATCACACCACTGCACTCCAGCCTGGGCATGACAGAGAGAGACTCTGTCTCTAAAATAAATTAATGAATATCAACATTAATGTAAAAGTTTGGTGTAGCCAAAGTGACTAGGAATAAAAAAGTTATTGGGAGCTATATCTTACATCACCGTTTTACAGAGGGTTCTGTGTGGTGGATAATTTGAGGTGGCATTTCTTTTTAAAGATAGAGGTGGGGTCTTGCTACGTTGTCCAGGCTAGTCTTGCTCTCCTGGCTTGAAGTGATTCTCCCGAATGGGCCTCCCAAAGTGCTGGGATTACAGGTGTGAGCCACGGAGCTGGGATTACATGTGTGAGCCGCTGGGTTGGCTAGGGGTAGCAGTTGACTGTTCATGGTAGCGGTTTCTCTAGCCATGGCAGAGGTTTGGGCCTCAGAGAGTAGTTGAGTAAAAAAGAAATAGCATTAGCAGTGAAGTAAAATCTCTGTGGACATATATAGATTATATTAAAATTACGTCATAGAGGCAAATCCTACTTTGCCCCTTGGTAGGCCCCTTGGGAAGACCTTACGGAGAAGAGAACACTGCATGCTTTAAAAAAAACCATTACAGCCTTTAATTTTATATATTTAAAGATATTGGACCTTGATGCAAGGAAACCAACTTTTAATTCATCCTGCTTATTTATTTATTTTGAGACAGAGTCTCACTCTATCGCCCAGGCTGGAGTACAGTGGCATGATCTCTGCTCACTGCAACCTCCACCTTCCAGGTTCAAGCGATTCTCCTGCCTCAGCCTCCCGAGTAGCTGGGATTACAGGCACGCACCACCACGCCAGGTTAATTTTTGTATTTGTAGTAGAGATGGGGTTTCACCATGTTGGCCAAGCTGGTCTCGAACTCTTGACTTTGGGTGATCCGCCCACCTTGGCCTCCCAAAGTGCTCAGATTACAGGCATGAGCCACCGTGCCCGGCCCCCAGTTTTATTTTTACTGAGCACCTACTATGTGCCATGCACTGGGTTAAGCCCTGGCAGGTTCAGAGATGTCCAAGGGATGGCCCTCAGCTCTAAAGAGCATCTCAAGGCCAGGGCCCTTAGGGAGCCCTCCCTAGGGAGAGCCAGGGGCAGAAGGGCATGCTCAGGGGCTCGCTCTGCCCAGTGTGGCTCTGTCCGCTCTCATTCCGGGTGGGTGGGAGGGTCAGCTTCCTGCAAGAGATCAGTCTGGGGCGTCTCTCTTTCTCCTGTCTCTCCCTCACCTTCCACACTCCACCCCCTCCTCTGGCTGATTGAAAAGGTGCAAGGGGGAATCTGAGAGATTCTGTGCTGTTTGTTTTGGGTTCAATGGAATCTCATTTACACGTGTTAATTGCAACTAATTGGCACTAATTGGATGAACAGGAAACCTCTGGGAGCACTCATACCTTTAATTTATAGTAAATATCATTAATTAACATATGCTAATTAGAGCCAATTAACATTGATTAAGGGTTGCCAGCTACTTGGAAAGTACAACTCTGTGTCCTCCTCCCTTGATTGTCTGAAGTCAGCACAAAATATGATACATGAAGTCTGAGGGGAGGAGAAGATGGCACATGGAATCGGGTGGCATCTCCCAGCGGAGGGCATCACGGCTCCAGCAGCCCTCACCGAAGCTGGGCACTTAGAGGATGGCACCACCCTCACCTTCCCCAGGGAAAAGGGGTCTGCAGGGGAAGGGCCCTGCGAGATTAGCACTTCTCAGGGAGTGGGAAGGAGCAGATGGTGGGAGGTTCTGGGTGCTGAGATGTTCTCCCTTTTGCCTGGCCCCCAGATGGCAGACCCAGCCAGGGTGGGTTGAAACAGGACTGGAGGTCAGCTGGTGGAGAGACTGGGGCCACTGAGAGCAAGGAATGTTTGGGACTCCTCCTCCAGAGATGAGTGGTGGTGAGCTACCCACTGCCCATTGACCCAGTACCATCTGGCATGGGGCGTATGTGTGTGGCCAATTGGAGTGACCCTTTCTGGATCCCAGTAACATCTCTCATCATCCAGAAAGGCCACACAGATGAAGGAGGGCATGCCAGGAGGAGTCAGAGGGGCGTGTGTGTGTGTGTGTGTGTGTGTGTGTGTGTGCGCGCGCGCGCGCGTGCGCACAAAGCCTCCTCCATCTGACATGGATGTATGAATGGGGATATATCTCCTCCATCTGACACGAGGTGCATAGATGATAGGACCACCTCTGTCAGACATCTCCTTTGAGAGTTTTGAGATATTTTTTACTGAAGACTAGGATGCTATTCAAACTTCCCAGGGGCGGTGTCAGTTAAAAAAAAAAATCATTTGCCCAGGAGCCAGAATGCTTTTAGTTTCCACTTTCAGTTCTGTTACTAACTAGTTATGGGACCCTTGGGATTTATTTTAAAAATGTATACATTGTTTTATTTTAGTCTAATTACAAAAGAAATAAATGTTTATGGCAAATCTCACCCTCTCCATTGCTTCCTTCTGTAATGGGCATCTGAGGCCCCGCCCTTCCTCTTCTATAATATTCACCTTGTCGTTTTGTGTTCAATGTCCATCTTCATCAAGAGGCTGTGAGTTTCCCGAAGACAGGGTTTAAGTCTGTCTTGTTCATTGTGCTATTTCATGGACACTAAAAATACTTGCTGGCTAGGTGTGGTGGCTCATGCCTGTAATCTGAGCACTTTGGGAGGCTGAGGCGGGAGAATTGCTTGTGTCCAGGAGCTCAAGACCAGCCTGGGCAACATAGAGAGACCTTGTCTCTATAAAAAATAAAAAATTAGCTGGGTCCAGTGGTGCATACCTGTGGTCCCAGCTACTCAGGAGGCTGAGGTGGGAAGATCACTTGAGCCTGGGAGGTCAAGGCTGCAGTGAGCTGAGATCATGCCACTGCACTCCAGCCTGGGCAACTGTGAGACCTTGTCTTCATAAAATTAAAAATAAATAAAAATAAAAATATTTATTGCACGAATGAGTGAATGAATGAGTAAAACAAAAACCATCTGTATTTTCTACCACCACAGAGAAAAATGACATTTGGCATTTGGGATGTGTGTGTGTATGTGTTTGTGTATATATATATATATATATCAATATCTATAAATAAAACATGTTATACGTAAAGTACACACACACACACACACACACACACACACACACACGGCTGTCCCAAAAGGCTTAGTGTAGTTTTTGCTTTAATAACTTCAAAAGTGTAAATGCTACAAACTTTAAAGAACAAAAAAAACCTAAAACCTTAATAATTTCAAATTATTATACACTTAGCATTGCGCCCTCCAGAAAGGCTGAAATTGTTTACAGTTCTGTTAGCACTGGAAGAGAATGTGGGTTTCTCAGATTCCAGCTAGCCCTGGGCACTGCTTCTCTCTTTGAGCCACCAGGTAAGTCATTAAGCCCTTTTACTCATCTGCGGAATGGGGTCAGTGACATCAGCACTACTTAACCCTCCCGGTCTCTCATGTGGGAGAATGGGGGTGATTTTGTGACCCAGAGACAGGAGTGTTTGTTCTTCAAGAGATTTTAGTGTTATAGCTCCCAGATTTGAGCTGCTGGCTCTGATGAAAAGAGATGGGGGCCTGGGTGGGACAGAACTTGGAGAAACCTCACCTCCAAGGGAACCTCTGTGGGTAGGTCTTCATTCACCTAACTCAGAGAAATAGGGCTTTCCTGGAGGGGTTTGGGGTTCAGGACAAGGCAAATCATAAAGACTGGAAAAGTCCCCCCATAGCACCACACAGGGTAAAGTGAGTTAAGACCCCTTGCTGTGGGACAGGCCCTCTTCTATATTCTTACATGCGTTCATTCCTTTAATCTTCCCACAACCCAATGATGTAGGTTACTAGTATTAACCCATTTTGCAGATGAGGAAACTGAGGCTCAGACAGGTTAATTAACATGCCCTAGGTCACACAGCCACCAAGTGGCAGGGCTTCGATGTGAATGGAAGTTTAGAGCCTGTGCTGCCTGCTGTGTACTGCACCCTCCCATACACCCACCTCTGGTTTGAGGAAGCTGTGGCTCCTGGGGTGGAAGCCCCAAGGCGAGGAGCCCCCTGCCGCCTAGGTCCCAGCAGCACTGCTGCCTGAGTCCAAGTGGACCCCCGTTCCCAGCTCCTTCCCCATGGAAATCTGAGGTCTGAGGGAGAGCTGCTGGCAAGGTTCACAGCAGCTTAATTACCAAAGTGATTTTAATTTGTTTTTATTAATTGAAATCTCATTAAGCAAGTAATTTACTCCAACACAGCTTAGGAGTCCACAGTTCCATGGGTGAGGAGGCTAAAGGGGTTTTTAGAACTTGCCTTCATCTGGGGACTGTGCCTCTTACCTGATCCTGTGGCCTGTGTGCCTCTGAGTGTGTGTGTGCATGGGCTTCCCACAGAAGGGTCCCCCAAGGGGACCAGAAGCACCCTTTCTCCTTCTTTGCCCATGCCCCCCTGCCCCACTGCCACAGGGCTCTAGACCTTCCCTGCCTTGCCTTGTTCCCTGGAGTGATGAGGAAAAAATGAACCTGAGCTGTCCCTCTGCAGTGGATGTGTGTACCCAGGTGTGTGGCACGTGGTGCAGACACACACAGATACCATTTCGTATTCACTTATTTTTGTGCCAAGTGCTGTTCTGGGCACCAAAGGTGCTGGGAGAAAAATGGGTCTTCACTTCCTATAGTAAATAGCTCCTTTGCCCCAAATGGTCTTGGGGACAGAGGTCATCCAGGAAAGAGGCAGTTTCTGGGCTGGCTTCTCCCCCATCTCAGCCTATACAAGTGCCCCCACCTCTCAAGATCATGTTGTGGCCACTTCTCCAAAGAGCATTAATTCTCTGCGTCCTCCAGATGCACTGCCTTTCTCCTTGGTGTGTTTCTTCTGAGTTGTGTGGGTCCCCCCTCTGGATTCATTCTTCTGTATACCAGAGAGACGTGCTTCTCTTGCTAGCTGGACTGAAGCACTGTGAGGCAGAGAACTTGCTTTATTTATCCAACCTGAGACGCAGAAGACAGAAATTCTTCCAAACCTGTGCCTTACAGGTGCTGTTCAACTATTGTGCAGCAAATGAGTGGATGAGTTGTGTCCTGCCCCTCCTTTAGAATGCAGCTGAAATGACACTTTTTTGGCAGGGGACAGCAGCGCACGACTAAGATTTGTAAGCACTGTTTTTTTAAATTGTGGTAGAATACACATAACATAAAATTTACCATTTTCCACCATTTTAAAGTGTTTAGTTCAGTGGCATTAAGTACATTCACATTGTTATGCAACCATCACCAGTGTCCATCTCCAGAGCTTTCTCATCGTCCCAAATTGAAACCCTGTACCCATTAAGCAATAACTCCCCATCTTTCCTCCCCCAGCTTCTGGCAACCACCCTTTTACTTCTTTCTCCATGAATTTCAGTCCTCTTGTACTTCATGGAAGTGGAACCCTGCCACGTTAATCCTTTTGTGTCTAGCTTAGTTCTGAAATGGCACTTTTTTTTTTTTTTTTGGAGATGGAGTTTCTCTTTGTCACCCAGGCTGGAGTGCAGTGGCGAGACCTTGGCTCACTGCAACCTCCACCTCCCAGGTTCAAGCGATTCTCCTGCCTCGGCCTCCTGAATAGCTGGGATTACAGGCGCCCACCACCATGCCCGGCTAATTTTTTGTATTTTTAGTAGAGACGGGGTTTTGCCATGTTGGGCAGGCTGGTCTCAAACTCCTGACCTCGTGCTCCACCGCCCTTTGCCTCCCAAAGTGTTGGAATTACAGGCGTGAGCCACCGTGCCCGGCCGTCACTTTTAAAGGGAGGTCTTTTCTGAACTCTGGACTCTGTCAGTTCACCTGTCACATGTTCCTGGGTCCCCTTCCATTACTCTCTCATGCAGCACAAGTCCTTGCCATTGTCTTCCTTCCCCAACTGTAATCTCCAATAGGGCAGAGGACACTTGGCTTCTTCCGGACTGGGGTCCTGGCTTAGATGTGATGGTTTTCAACAGGGTGTTTCACAGTGGGGCCACCACAGGCATTTGGGGAGGCCAATTTTTTTTTTTTTTAAATTGAGACAGGGTCTCGCTCTGTAGCCCATGCTAGAGTGCAGTGGCAAGAACACAGCTCACTGCAGCCTTGACCTCCTGAACTCAAGGGGATCCTCTTGCTTCAGCCTCCTGAGTAGCTGGGACTACAGGTGCACACCAACACGCCTGGCTAATTGGTTTATTATTATTATTATTTGTAGAAATGGAGTCTCACCATGTTGCCCAGGCTGCTCTTGAACTCCTGGGCTCAAGCAACAGGAAGGCCAATTCTTCATTGAACGGGACTGTGTGGGCCATTTAGCATTCCTGGCCTTGCTTATTCAGTGCCTGTAGCAGCCCCCAAATAATTGTGACAACCCAAACATACCCTCCACATCTTCCTACCTTCCCTGGGTGGGGTGGGAGTTTGAAACTAGTACAATTGCCTGTACACTGCCTGGCACATAGTAGGGGCTCAGTGAGCGTATGTTGAAAAGGTGACTGAGAGCGTGTATGAGCCGTGCCTCTGACCTGGCTGGTGTTTCTCCGAGATGGGCGCATGCGCATGTGAGGCTGCGGCACATGCCGCTCCTCTGGCCTGTGCCCCTGGGTGTACTGTACCAGCTGAGGATTCTGAGACCTGCTGTAGACCAGGACCCTGCTTCTCTGGAGTTCTGTCTGCATTGAGTGTCCACAATTTTTGTCTCTCCTCGTGGCCCCTGGCTGCCTCCTCCCTTTGCCCCTGACTATGGCCACTTGGTAGATTTCCAGGCCTGACATTTCGAACATGCAATGCCATATGTATTGCCACTCTCAGGTAATTATCACGTAAAATTAAGCTAGTCTTGTACATGAAACCAGCAATTAGCCAGGGATTGAAGGTCAGGGAGAGCTCGTTTATAGAGTCGCTAACAAAATGTTAAGTGGAAGTGTGTGTCAGATGGGCCAGGAGGCTGGATTAGCCGGGGTCGCAGCGGTGGGACTGGAGAGCTGGTGGAGACTCCTAGCTCTGTAGTACTGGGCACAGCGGGAGGAGCTGGGGATTTACAGCTCACACTTTTCTCTTCCAGCTCTCAATCTGGGGCATGACTTTGAAGGGAAGGTTGCTAAGCCTCCTAAATCCCGATACACACCAATGCCGTTTCCCCACTCATCTGGAAACCTGGTGGGTCCTGCCCAAACGCCTGTATGTCAATTCCACCTCCTGCTTGGCGACCCACCATGCCCACATTTTCCACTCAAGCCTTTCAGATCTGCTTTGGGCACCTGAAGACAGAGAGAATCATCTTTCAAGAGTCAGAAACTTTGCACGTGCCATTCCCTCTGCTTAGAATGCTTTTCCCTTTCTCCCAATTGCCTTATCATCAGCCTGGGAAAATATTTATTTCGGCTCCTAAAATCTCAGATATCACTTCTCCAGGAGCTTTCCCAGATGCCTCACTTGATTCCAGAAGGAGCTATCGCCACTTTTGCCTGGCGAGTACGTTTTCACCGTTACACTTATACGCTATGGCAATTTATTGGTGATTTGTCTGTCTCCCCTACTCAATAGTGAATTATTCATCTATCCCTGGAAACCTGGAACTGCTCAATAAATGTATGTGGCATGAATATACATATTATTCTCTTCTGCCTTTTGTTTTTTTACACATTCTTCAAGGCCCTGCTCGGGCATCACCTCCTTTGTGTAGCTTTCCTGGATTCACTTCCCTAGTAGAATTAATTATGCCTTCTACATTCCCATGGCACTTTGTGTGTGATTTCATTACAACACTTGCCAAATCGCTTCATATTTCCTTATCGGTCTATCTGGGGCTACCACATTGCACAACTCCAGGGGACACAATTTGCATTAAATCAAGCAACGTAGAGATGGCACCTGTACCTGCCCACTAGGCAGTGACCTTCTGCAGAGCAAAGACCCCATGACTTTATTAATACCCTGCATACAATGTGCTTTTCTTGTCCACGTTAGTGTCCATTCAGAATAGGTATGCAATAAACATGCAGTGAACATATGTTTAATTTTTCATCAGGGACAGGAGGTTCAGTGGAGAGAGCTCTAGACTTGGAGACTGGGGATGTGGGTTCCAGTTCTAAATTGCTGTGCAGCCTTAGGTGAACCACTTAACCTTCCTGGTTCTCATCCTTTAAAATCAAGTCATATATGCTGAAGTGCCTAGGACAAAGTAGGTGCACAATGCATATCAGTTTCCCCCTTTTCTTCATCTGTAAAATGAGGAATTTTAATATTCCTTGTATTCTTCTTCTTCTTTTTTTTTTTTTGAGATGGAGTCTCACTCTGTCAGCCAGGCTGGGGTGCAGTGGCGCGATCTTGGCTCACTGCAACCTCCGCCTCCCGGGTTCAAGCGATTCTCCTGCCTCAGCTTCCTAAGTAGCTGGGACTACAGGTGCCTGCCACCATGCCCCGCTAATTTTTGTATTTTAGTAGAGACGGGGTTTCACCATATTGGCCAGGCTGGTCTTGAACTCCTGACCTCGTGATCCGCCCACCTCGGCCTCCCAAAGTGCTGGGATTACCGGGGTGAGCCACCACACCAGGCCTATTTCTTGTAGTCTTGTAGAATGATGAGGTCTCAGGATTGGAAGGAGTTTTGAAAGGGATGTGGCCTAACCCTTGGCATCTTTGAGAGGTCGTCATCGAGTTCCGGTTTGTGCATCTCTGGTAATGAACTATTTCCTCACAAAATAGGCTATTCCACCTTCAGACAGCTCTGCCTTGAAAAGAGCTCTATTGTCTGACTCTTGGCTTCCAAGATTCTCCACCATACGGACTGGTTTTATATCATGAGGCTAGTCCCACTGCCTCAGATGATAGTCATAGACAGCGATCTGCTCTAGGCTCAAAGATGCCAGTTCTATTGCCATTCCTTATGTGACTTGATTTAAAACCCAGTCACCATCTTGGTTACCCTCTTCTGAGCTTGCCCCTCTTTGTCCAAAGACCTCTTAAGATGGAGCACCAGAAAAGGATAGGACACTCACCTTCCTTTTCTAGAACGTGCACTTTTTTTTTTTTTTTCCTGAGATGGAGTTTCACTCCTCTCACCCAGGCTGGAGTGCAATGGCGCGATCTCGGCTCACTACAACTTTCGCCTGCTGGGTTCAAATGATTCTCCTGCCTTAGCCTCCCTAGTAGCTGGGACTACAGGCGTGCATCACTACGCCCAGCTAATTTTGTATTTTTAGTAGAGACAAGGTTTCACCATGTTGGCCAGGGTGGTCTCAAACTCCTGACCTCAGATAATCCACCCGCCTCAGCCTCCCAAAGTGCTGGGATTACAAGTGTGAGACACCGTACCCAGCCAGAACATGTGCTTTTATTAATGGAACCCAAGATTGTGTTGTTGGCATCTATATGCCTTTGTTTTTCTTTTTTCTTTTTTTGTTTTTGAGACTGAGTCTTGCTCTGTTGCCCGGGCTGGAGTGCAGTGGCACAATCTGGGCTCACTGCAACCTCCACCTCCCAGGTTCAAGTGATTCTCATGCCTCAGCCTCCCAAGTAGCTGGGATTACAGGAGCGTGCCACCATGCCTGGCTAATTTTTGTATTTTTAGTAGAAGAGTTTCGCCATTTTGGCTGGGCTGGTCTCGAACACATGACCTCAAATAATCCGCCCACCTCGGCCTCCCAAAGTCCTGGGATTACAGGTGTGAGCCACTGCACCAGCCTATATCTCTTTCAATCCTAACAAACATTTCACCATAAGGAGGCAAAGTGCATGAGCAGAATTTCTTTAAAATTTTATTTCACATTTTACAAGTCTGCATTATAAAAAAAAAAACCCACCATATGCAAAGTACAAAAACCAATGACAAACTAGGGGAGAAATATTTGCAACTCACACCACAGGCAAAGAGCTCATTTCTTTAATAGACCAAAAAAAAATATCCACAGCTCAGTGTGAAAAATATCCACAATCTAATAAAAATATGAGCAAAGGATATTAGAAAGTTGACAGGAAAGGGCCTGAAATTGCTTTGTTTGTTTGAGACAGTCTTGCTCTGTCTCCCAGGTTGGAGTACAGTGGCATGATCATGGCTAACTGCAGTCTTGACCTCCCAGGCTCCAGTGATTCTCCTGCATCAGCATCCTGAGGCGACTACAGGTGCACACTACCATGCCCAGCTAATTTTTGTATTTTTTTTTTTTTTTGTAGAGATGGAGACTCCCTAAGTTGCTCAGGCTGGGCTTGAACTCCTGGGCTCCATTGATCCTTCCACCTCTGCCTCCCAAACTGCAGAGATTACAGACATAAGCCACTATGCCCAGCCTTGAAATTGCTCTCAAATATATGAGAAGATGCTTAACCTCACTCATCATAAGAGAAATGCAAATTAAAATCACAGTTGTTTTTCACCTGTCACCTTGGCACACATAAAGATATCTGATAACATTTTGTTGGTAAAAGTGTGGGAAAATAGGCACTCTCATACATTGCAAGGGTAAATTGATAGACTCTGTCTTGGTGGGGATGGGGATTTGGCTTTATCTACTAAATTTTAAAAATGCACAGATGCTTTGTTTGGGCTGTTCCACCTCTAGGAATGCATCCTGAAGATGTACTCACACGTTCACAATAGAAGTCATGTTCCATGAGGGCAGGGACTTCTGCCTGTTTTGTTTACTGTTCTATCTCTAGCACCTGGAATGCTGCCCAGCACATAGCAGGTGCTCAATAAATGTGCTGGGCACATTTAGTAGGTGCTCAACATTTTTAGTAAGAGCAAAAGAGCAGAAATAATGTAAATGTCCCGTTATTATGGAGGAGTATACTGCTGTTAAAAAGACCAGGACAGCCCTCCGTGTACTGATATGTAAGGATCTCCAAGGTATATTACGTGAGAAAACCAAGGTGCAGAAAAACGTATGTAATAACAATGCAGCTGGGTATTTGCTTGTCTAAACACAGAAGGTCTCTGGAAGGAAGCTCTCAAACTGGCCACTGTACTTGCTTTTGGACAGAACAAATTGGGGCCCTGGAACACGGGGTGAGAAGTAGCTTAATTTTTCAGCATATTTGCATATATATATATATATATATATTTTTTTTTTTTTTGAGAAGGATTTTTGCTCTTGTTGCCCAGGCTGGAGTGCAATGGCATGATCTCGGCTCACTGCAGCCTCTGCCTCCTGGGTTCAAGCGATTCTCCTACCTCAGCCTCCCGTGTAGCTGCAGTTATAGGCTCCTGCCACCACGCCCGGCTAATTTTTTATATTTTCAGTAGAGACGGGGTTTTGCCATGTTGGCCAGGCTGGTGTGGAACTCTTGGCCTCAGGTGATCTGCCCACCTTGGCCTCCCAAAGTGCTGGGATTACAGGTGTGGACCACCACACCCAGCCATTTGCTTATATTTCATTTGGATTTTAGATACTGTGAATGTATTACATTTATTTATTTATTTATGAGGCAGAGTCTCCCTCTGTCACCTAGGCTGGAGTGCAGTGGCACAATCTGGGCTTACTGCAACCTCTGCCTCCTAGATTCAAGCGATTCTCCTGCCTCAGCCTCCCAAGTAGCTGGGACTATGTACTCGCCACCACACCTGGCTGATTTTTGTATGTTTAGTTAGAGACAAGGTTTTACCATGTTGGCCAGGCTGGTCTCAAACTCCTGACCTCAGGTGATCTGCCTGCCTTGGCCTCCCAAAGTGCTGGGATTACAGGCGTGAGCCACTGTACCCGGCCATGTTTAAATAAACAAATACAATTCAGAATTTTAAAATAGCTGGGTTCAGGAATTAATCCTTTGCTTTTGAAGTGTACATTCATGTACATGTGTGTTTGTACATTTTTTTTTTTTGTCTGAGGCAGGGTCTTGCTCCGTCACCCAGGTGGGAGTGCAGTGGCACGATCATGGCTCACTGCAGCCTTGACCTCCTGGGCTCAAGTGATCCTCATTTTTTGTAGAGATAAGTTCTCACTGTGGGCTCAAGCAATCCCCGCACCTCGGCCTCCCAAAGTGCTGGGATTATAAGTGTGAGCCACTGGGTCTGCCACGTCTGCACATTTCTGAAGATGTGCATGTATGTGTATGTGTGCATGTATGTGTATGTGTGCATGCATGTATATTTCCAATCTATTACTTTGTTCACAACTGCAGATTAGTCTAGACTAAATGAAACAGGTCCCAAGGATTTCCCCTGTTCGACAGTCTTTGATGGCTCCCCCTTATCTATAAAATCCAAACTCTTAGTCCAGCATCTCAAGATCTTCTGTCATCTGACCCTAACCTACCTCCTGCCACTCCCTTCACACAGTTTTGCCACAGACAAATGGAGCTACTTGCTTTCCCTATGTCCACCCGCCAATATCCCATCCTATGTCTTGAACTGTGTTCTTTAGAAAACCAAGAACCCCTTCACTTTCATTACTGCATCAAATCATACCCACTCTCCAAGACCCATCAGGAGCCTCTTTCTCCAGGAGGGCTACCTTGATGTCCCCAGTGGGAAGTAGACTCTCATTTTTCATCTGCATTTCTCTTACAGCATTCAGGTTTTTTCAGCCTTGTAATGAAAGCTGTTTCCACACCTGATCACTATTCTCCTAAGCTATTGGAAGGAAGGCAGGGTCCAAGCTTGATTCCTATTTGCATGGTCCTCAGAGCCCATTAAATGCCAGGCACATAGTAGGTGCTTGAGAAATACTGAAGGAATGGATATGCCTGTGTCTATGTGGTGGTGATAAGTCAGTCTGTTCTTTGTATAGTCTGAGCCATCACTATCGTGTTCGTCATCGCTGGGGAAAAGCCTTTTTCATACCTCGCTGCACCCGGCCCTGTGTGGGGCCTTCTGTAGAGCAGCTCAGCGTGAGCCACCACAGCCCCTCCATACCCACCAGCCTCGCTGCAGAAGAGGGGCCCAGACGTGACCAGACGGTGAGGCAGCCACATTCCAGACGGATGAGGCACGCCTGGGAGGTCACATGTCTGGCTCACAACCCACCTGCAGGCACTCAAGCTTTACCGACCCTTGAACTGCCCTGGGGTTCGAATCCTCACTCTCCCTGTGAGTCTGTGCAAATGGGAACTCGCTGTCTCAAGGTTCTTGTCTGTAAAATGGGGATGGCAAGCCCTGCCTCATGGCTGCCGTGAGGCGTGGAGAGACTGTCTGGGTAGTGCCTTGCCGAGGGCCTGGCATCTGGCAGGTTCTCAGAGGTTGACATGCAGGAAGCCACATCAGCCCGAGCTAAACCTAGAAAGGTAAATGTATTGCCAAAAACCCCATATGCCAAGCAGCACTTTAGTACAAAGCCAAACAGATTTTTTTGACTCGACCGTTGTTTGGGATTATTTTGCCACAGTTAATGCTCTGTGGGTGAGAACTCAAGACCCACCCAGGGTGTGGTATGAATGGTGGCCTCACATGTGCGAATGGACCCGTGTGCATGTACACAGACACATGGGTGTGCGCACTTGTTCTGTACAGATGTGTACAGACATTCACATGTTGGTGGACTCCGCAGCAGTCGTGCATGTGTGTCCGTGTGTCCATGTGTCCATACACGCGATGTGTTTGCTCCCGGCCATTCATGTCCTGGTGCTGGCCTAGAGGCCCAGGCAAACTGGGACACACCACCAGAAGGAATAAGGGCTGGCTGGAGAAACACTGAGAAAAGATGGGTAAGAAGGAAAAAATATTGAAACACTCAACACGTGGGTGAGGGGCATGAAGGACAGGAGAGTGTAGTGGCTAAGAGAGCAACCTCTGAACCTCTCCTGGGTTCAATCCCTCTTTCTGCTGATTCCCAGCTTGTCGCTTGGGCAGGTCACTCAACCCCTATCTGCCTCAGTTTCTCATCTATGAAATGGGGATTAGAACAACAGCACCTATGAAATAGGCCTGTTGGGAGGAGTAAATGAGTGAATACACAGGAAGTACTCAGTGGGGCCTGGTACCAAGTAAGTGCTTGCTTCAAAAATACTGGTGGTGAGGGATGGCCTCTGCCAGGGCTCTCCTTTCCTTCCTCTTCCTCCCCTCTGAGTTGTCGCCTCCCAGCATCTTTCCCTCCTCTCTCCTCCCCTACATCACTCTCCAGCCCCCCAACAATGTCCTGGTCTTTGCCAGAGCCAGGTTGGGAGCATGCAGCACGTGCCACTGGCAGGGAAAGAAGGCCAACACGGAGCAGGAGGAGGTGGAGATGCTGGCTCCGAAATGTTGCTTCTTTTTTTCTCCCTGTTTCCCCAGCATGCTCCCAGAGGCAGGAGGTTTGGGGGACAGTGGGAGGGCTCCAAAGAACAGACAATCCCAGCCATTCCCCAGCGGGCCGTGGGTCAGGCCCCTCCTTGCTCCATCTGCCTCTGCCGCAGCCTGTGCCATCCGGTTTGCCAGCCCAGCCCAGCAGGCTGGGACCCCAGGCTGTGCCAGCCCTGGCCCCGCTGGGGGTGGGAGTGGGCCATGGCCTGGGGTCCTTGAGGGGTTCTCTTGCTTTGTTTTATTTTTCTTTATCTCTTCTTTGCTTTCTGAGCCCTGGTCTTTCCCAGCCCTTGTGGCTCTGACTCTGTCCTGCGCCAGCCTCTCTAGCTGTCTCACCCGTCCCTGCATCTCTGCCACCACCTGCCCTGGGTCTTCTGCCAGCTCTGGGCTCAGGGAGCATCAGGCCCTGTCAGCCTCAGCTCCTGCACACACCCCTCTCCGCCCCCTGGGCTGAAGGCTGGCAGCCCCAGCATCTGGAGGGGCTGGCTCTCTGCTCCGGCTGCCCTGGGCCGAGGGTCCTCCTCCTTGTCCCCAGCCTGTCTTCCCCTGTTCCCCTCTCCCCAGTGGCTAGAGTCCTCTTCCCACCCCTCTGCATCCTCCCAGCCCAGGACAGCTTGCTGCCCTCCAGGCCTTGGCTGGAGGCTCACAATGAAGCTGCCTCCCCCCACAGACTGGGAGGTGGAGAATCACCATGGCAACCAAGAAAGCCTCCCCTTCCTCCCCTCCTCTCCCCTTCCTCCCCTCCTCTCCCCTTCCTCCCCTCCTCTCCCCTTCCTCCCCTCCTCTCCCCTTCCTCTCCCAGCTTCACAGAAGGGGCTAGAGCTCTGGGGGTGCGGGGCAGTCCAAGCCCTCAGAGATACAGGATGGAGAATGGCAGAGGAACAGGAGTAGCTGATGGGACATTTGTGAGAGAAATGGGCCAGTCATGGGACCATAATTCTTGAGGAACTCGGTCCCACTGATTATGTGACTAGTGTGGTCCCAGCCACCAGCTGAGTTCCTATGGCTCTGACTCATCTGGGCACCTTGCTAAATGCAGAGCTTCAGCCTCCATCCTAGACCTACTGAATTCCATCTCCACAGTTGGGTCCTAGGGACCCATATTTTAGATTCTCTCTAGATGATTTCTTTTCTTTTTCTTTTCTTTTCTTTTCCCTTCCTTCCTTCCTTTCCTTCTTTCTTTTCTTTCTTTCCTTCCCTTCTTTTTTTTTTTTTGGTCTTGCTCTGTCACCCAGGAGTGGGATCCCTTCAGTGGCGGGATCTCGCCTCACTGCAATCTCTGCCTCCTGGGTTCAAGTGATTCTCCTGTCTCAGCTTCCTGAGTAGCTGGGATTACAGGCACCCACCACCACGCCCAGCTAATTTTTGTATTTTTAATAGAGACGGGGTTTCACCATATTGGCCAGGCTGGTCTTGAACTCCTGACCTTGTGATCGACCTGCCTTGGCCTCCCAAAGTGCTGGGATTACAGGCATGAGCCACTGCACCTGGCCCTCTCTAGGTAATTTCTATATATGCCAAAGTTGAAGACACACCAACAGGCCTCTGTTTAAATCCTGGCTTGGTCACACACGATCAGACGGCAAGTCTTGTGATTGTTCCAAGGCTCAGTTTTCACTTCTGTAAAATGGGATAATAGTACCAGCTCCCTAGGGTGTTGTTGAGAATTAGTGCTCGCAGATAACTTTGCACAGAGGTTGATGGCCTCCGCTTTCTGCTCTAGGCTCTGCCATCTCCTGGAGACCAGTGGGGTCTGTCGGGGAGCATGACACCCTCGCTCCATGCCTGCCATGGCCTGAGTCTTCTCTGCCATTATGTGTTACAAGACACTGAGAATTCTCGACACTGGAGCAACATGAAATCATTAAGGCAAAACAATAAATAAAGGCCTAAAAGTTATTACAGAGCTGACAGCGCACAACACCATCCTGCAAAGCAAATATGAATTATTTCAGAACATTTTCAAATGAAAAATCCTCTCTTCCTGCCCAGCCCTGTGATGCATTAACTCCTCTTTCCACCCTTCTCACCTGTGTGGAGAGTGGCCAGGCCAGGAGGGCCCCACCCAGCCCAGAGCTCCCAGGGAATGGGGCTGGAAGTCAGCCCATCGTTTCTTTGGCCTGAACGCCTTTTGGTTTGCTCAAAGTGTCTCCTGGTTCCTTGTCTGCACCCAGGATCAGTGAGCAAGCATTACCGGGAGCCTTTCCTACTCCTAACATTGTGTGTCCCTTCACAGCTTCCAGGGAACCCTCCCTACGCTCCAGGAAAATGGGCTGTATTCTTCCCATTTTACAGACGGGAGACAGGTTCAAAAGGTTTCAGTGACAAGCCCAGGGTCTGATAAATGGCAGAGCTGGGACTCAAACCTGCTCCCTTCAAATTTAAATGAGATTAAATAAGACAATGTATGCAGAGTACTTGCATAGGATACTCTAAAAGCTATATTATTATTATTTTTGAGACGGAGTCTTGCTCTGTCGCCCAGGCTGAAGTGCAGTGGTGCAATCTCAGCTCACCGCAACCTCCGCCTCCCGAGTTCAAGCAATTCTCCTGCCTCAGCCTCCCGAGTAGCTGGGATTACAGGCAGGTGCCACCACGCCCATCTAACTTTTGTAGAGATGGGGTTTCACCATGTTGGCCAGGCTGGTCTCGAATATCTAACCTCAGGTGATCTGCCCACCTTGGCCTCCCAAAGTACTGGGATTACAGGCGTGAGCCACCGTGCCCGGCCTATTATTATTATTATTATATTCAAGGACTCATCCAGGTGCTGCCCTGTTATCCAGCACTGGAATAGGACTGCTGTGGCCATCTGTCATTTTTGACTGCTCAGCATCCCTCCCTTGCTCTGAACAGCACCCCTTCCCTTTGAAGTAATGTCCTCTCCTTTCACTTGGTCTTAGCCAAAAGGCCTAGAAGCAATTGTCCTCTCCTTTCCATTTCAATGGATAAGCTGTCAATCACTGTACCATGCCCTCTCCTGGCCTCTAACACGGACATGAGATCCAGAAATTTAGGATTGCCAAATCATAGTGCCCCATTTTTCTAATTACAGGGACTGAACCTGAGCTAGAACCACTGGAAGATTTAGCTGGGATTTTCTATACAGAGGCAAGTTTTCCCTCTCTCTACCTTACCAGTTCCATGAGGTCATGCCATCTGTCCCCACCCATCCTTCTTACCCCAGATGAAGGAAGCACATCAGGAGGAGAGGATGTAGCCAACACAAAGACAGACACAGAGTTGTAAGATTTGGCAATATTGCTTGAGTGCCTGGATCCAGCTGCACCTGAAGTCAGCTGCACCTGCCTTTCCCAGTTACACAGGCCAATGCTCCCCTTTTGGATGAAACTAGATTAAGCTGGGTTTCAGTCGCTTGCTCTGATGGATACAGGTGCTGTGTGCATGGGAGCACGGCACGTGGCCTTTGGCAGTATATCCAGAGAGGAAGGCCCAACCTAGGAGACCCCTGAAAAATAAGGGCATATCTTATCACGTCTAATCCCTCCGGGGATATAGGAGGCTGAGTGTGCCATTGAAAGAGCCCTGGACCTGGAGCCCAAGCCCAGGGGTATAATCTTGGCAGAGCCATTGCTTCTGCCCTCTGGCGGATTCGTAGCAAGCCCCACTTCTCTGGACCTCAGCTTCCTCATTTGCAAAATGAAGGTATTGGGGATTAGAAAATGATACCCCACAGTTTGGCACTTTGACACGCTGAGTACTTTGAACTGGAGGACACTGGCGGGACCTCAGAAACAAAGTCTCTCTCTGACCTTCTCCTGGTCTTTTTTCTCCTGCTCCCTTTTCTCCCCCAGGGCAGGCCATGGAAACTAGAATTTCTCTTCTCCAAGACGGGTCATAGAAACTAGAAATATTACTCTACCCCTTCCCCTGCCTTTGTGTGTAGGAGGTGGCCATAAAGAAATTCTCTGACCTACCTTGTCTGGTAGTAGGTCATAAGACCCTCATTCCAGAAGGGGTCCTGCCCTATACCAGCGAGGAAGGAATGCTATGCAGAGAGGCCAAGAAGAATCTGAACAGACAGGCCTTGCTGGGCTCCCCGACTCAGTCTCTTACTGTTAAGTCACATCTTTTCTGTCTAATCACATTTCTATATGGCTGTCCCCTTCTTCATTGAACCTAAACGTAAAAATAGACAGTTTTCTCTGAGTCTTTGGGTTTTCATTTCTGAAGGCTCCTGTGTCACATCAAACTTTGCTTAAATACATTTAATGCTTTTCTCTTATTAACTTGGTTTTTGTTATAGAAATTTTGGCTGTGACCCTTATGATGGGGAGGAAAGGTATCATATCCTTTCTACCCCTTCAAAGATGCTATTATCTCCAGAACATACTGCTAAGGTTCTAGGATTCACTTTGTATGTCAATGTGTACTAGGCATGGCTACAGGACCTTCCACAATCCCACCCCTGGCAGACTCTTCAGTTTCATCTCCCATGATTCTACCACAGTTATCCCACTCCCTTGTACTCTACATATCTCTGCAGTTCTAATTTCTCTTTAGTTTAGCTTCTTGAACAAACCATCCATCCATCCATCCATGCAGCCATCCATCCACTCAACCAACCAACCAACCAACCAATCAGCCAGCCAGCAAACCAACCAACCAGCGAGCTTGTTAGAGTTAGAAAATGGAAGATGTAGGATGCTATGGCTGCCTTTAATTAGGGGGGCCATAGCTCTCTCTGAGGAGAGATAATTCTTTAAGGTGAGCCTTGAAGATTGAATAGAGAATAGTCAGGGATGAAGGGAAAGAACATTGCAGGCAAGTGGAACAGCATAGAGCGTGTTGTGAGTGAAAGAAGCTCGTAATGGAAAGTACACAGGCAGCAAAAGGGAGGAGAGCCCAGTGTGTGGCCAAATGTTGGTGGGAAGCAACATGATAACAATTCACTTGTCACCACGTTTACCTGGCAAACTCCTGTTCATCCTTAGAAACTCTGCTGAGACATCTCCTGTGAGAAGTGCCATCCCCAACCCCAGTTGATCACCCCTTCTTCTATACACTGCTTGTACTTCTGTAGGTGCACCTTTCCGCCAGCCCTATGATGACCTCTTGTCACGTCTGTCTTTTCTCTTAGATGTGTATTCCTTAGGGCATGAAGCTGTCTATAGTCGCAGCCTAGCACACATGGGTACTCAACAAATGCTCTCAGATGGAATTGGATCACATGGCGTGTATGCAACCATGAGAGAACTGTTTGTGTTTCAGGAAGGGGCAGGAGGAGAGGCAGGCATGTATATGGGTATCTCTGCGTTGGGACTGAAATTCAACAACATTTCCAGAGGGCTGTTTAGATTCACTGGACTGTGACAAGCTGCTGACCATTTTCTCAACACCAAGAAAAACTGGCTCTGCTGGAGGTGCGGAGCTGGCTGGGGCTGGGGCTGGGTTGCCTGTTTGCTTCTCCCCGATCTCTCCTTGATTTTTTGTTTCCTCCTCTACAAAGTGCACTTAGGGGTCCCCAGTTCTTCAGGACTCTTTGGCGGGGTAAGGTGGCAGACTGAGGCCATGGCCCCGACCTGGGTGCCCACTGGCCACTGGCCAAGCTGGCTTCCTCAGTGAAGATGCTGATCAATGGCGGCCCCAGGCTCCAGGCCAGAGGAGGTCCTTCTTTCTAATCCGTATCGACTGCCCCCTCCTTTGCCTGCAAATTTGTATCAGGCTGTTGTCTGCAGTGGTGATGGAGAGTGTTGGGTCCATTTCCAGTGATCCGTGAGGGGGATCAGAGGCCTCTGCGAGGCTGGCCTGGGGTGTGGGTCGAGGGGCAGCCCTACCTAGGAAAAAAAACCCTGAACCAGCTGGGAAGGAGCTGCTCCGCGTCCTTTACCTGCTTAAGCTCTGAGGGGGCTGGTCCTTCCCCAGGGCAAGAGAGGACAGGCAGTGGGTAGGGGAAGAAGAAAAAAGGACTCCTTACTCACACCATGTCACGTGCAGGCCAGGCGCAGAGCAGAGGCCCTGTGCAGTTCCAGCTACCTCAAGATGTGATGTCCTCCACCCAGGCATTTCCATCAATTAACAAGCACGTAGCCCACCCTCATGCTTCAGGGCATGAGGAAGCCACGGGCGTGTGTGGAGAGCCTGCACTGCACAGGCTCCTGGCACAGTCACACTGAGTTCTCTCAAGAATCCTGGACAGATACTATTTAATATTACTCGTACCATTGAGGAGATGAGAAAACTGGGGCTCCAAAAGTGTCGGAAGCGTGCCTGAGAGCCTGAGCCTCTGCTCTCTTCTCTCTTGTTCTACCTGACTGGAAGGAGCCACCCCCTTAAGAGAGACAGGACACTTGGCTGGGCACAGTGGCTAATGCCTGTAATTCCAGCACTTTGGGAGGCCAAGGTGGGAGGATCACCAGAGGTCAGGAGTTTGAGACCAGCCTGGCCAACATGGCAAAACCCTGTCTCTACTAAAAATACAAAAATTAGCCAGGCATGGTGGTATGCGCATGTAATCCTAGCTACTCAGGAGGCTGAGTGAGGCAGGAGAATTGCTTGAACCTGGGAAGTGGAGGTTGCAGTGAGCTGAGATCGCACCACTGCACTTGAGCCTGGGCAACAGAGTGAGACTCTGTCTCAAAAAAAAAAAAAAAAAAAGACAGGAAAAAAAGAGAGGACACTCATAACCGAAGATGTCAATGGCCATCGTGGCCAGGCCAGGCCTCCCTTTATGAACATGTGACCCACAGGCACCCCTTCCCCTGTGGCCATCTGGTCCATGGCAGGTTTGAGTCCCAGCTCTGCCATTTATCAGACCCTGGGCTTGTCACTGAAACCTTTTGAACCTGTCTCCCATCTGTAAAATGGGAAGAATACAGCCCATTTTCCTGGAGCGTAGGGAGGGTTCCCTGGAAGCTGTGAAGGGACACACAATGTTAGGAGTAGGAAAGGCTCCCGGTAATGCTTGCTCACTGATCCTGGGTGCAGACAAGGAACCAGGAGACACTTTGAGCAAACCAAAAGGCGTTCAGGCCAAAGAAACGATGGGCTGACTTCCAGCCCCATTCCCTGGGAGCTCTGGGCTGGGTGGGGCCCTCCTGGCCTGGCCACTCTCCACACAGGTGAGAAGGGTGGAAAGAGGAGTTAATGCATCACAGGGCTGGGCAGGAAGAGAGGATTTTTCATTTGAAAATGTTCTGAAATAATTCATATTTGCTTTGCAGGATGGTGTCCCTACTCTTTGCTTCTGAGGATGCCTTGGTTCTCTTCTTTCTCTTTCTCACCTCTGACCACTGACCCCCAGAAACTTGTGCCTTCTTCTAAGCCTTGGTGCAAGAATGAGGAGAGAAGAGCCCCTGCTCCATGGTCACTGTGGGTGGGATGGAAGAGAGGGGAATCAATTCTGTGCCTGGAGGCTTAGGTTAGGCCCAGAATGAGCTTTCCTGCAGCTTTCCTAAGGTCACAGATCGTTTAAGCTCTCGAGCCTCAGTTTTCTCATTTGTAAAATGAAGCTACATCTCCCAGACTTCTCTAGAGGAGACTTACAAGAGATAGGGCGTGTATGTCGCAGGTACTCATGGAGTGTTTGGAAATGAAAATGAAGAGTTGGAGTTTGGCTTGGGGAGAGGGTCAGGGTGGGGCAGGGGTGGGAGGGATAAGGGGACTGGTGTGTATAGGAGGGCTGGTGGGATGAGGGAGCAGGGGAGTGTTGAGGGCTGTAGAGAGACCCCTGGGCTGAGTCACAGGAGTAAGGGCAGATAGGGTGAAGTTTGGGGGTTGCTGAATGCCAAGCTGCCTTTGGACTTTGTCCTATGGGTTGGCCCTTTTCCCACACTGAGTCCTTTGTTCAAATGCAGTCCTGTTAGGAAGCCCAATAGGGCAAGTGGATGAAGGGCTGAACTGAGGCTGGGGTCCCAGAGTCCTGCTTTTCAACCCATCCTCATCACCCTCAATCCCAGGTGCTCCATGGACCTCGCAGAGCTACCCTGAGCACCTTCAAAAAGCCTCTGCATGGAGAATGAATCAGAGAAGGCTTTGCTGAAACTCCGCAGACTTCCAGGAGGCCCGAGAGAAGAGGGCTGGGGAACGGGGCTCGGTGCTTTTGTTCTCAGCGCCCCTCAGGGCTCCTGATCCTTGTTCCATTCACCAGTGATGATGCCATCTGCTGGAGGCTGGGTCCAGCTATCAGTTTTCCCTCTGGTCAGGTTGCCTTTGCATGCAGAACAGGGTACAAGAGTCACCAGGGAAGCCCTGGGAGATGCAAGCTGGGTGTCCCCTGACGGGTCCAGGTAAGGGAGTGTAGCAGTCTCACTGCTGGTTTCAAGGCTCAGAGGTGGATGCCTTGTGGGGTGCCTCAGCACATGCCAAGGGCCATCCTATCACTTGCCTTCCTTACCTGCTGCCATGGACATTCTCTGGGAGGGTTGCACACTTCCCTCTTTCACTCTGCTTCTCCACCTGGCTGGCTTCCACGTGTCAGGCCTCAGCTTGGGCATAGTTTCCTCCAGAACGCCTTCCTTGTCCCCCTCTGCCATGTCCTCACTGCCCTGGGCTAGCCTCGCTTGCAGCAAGGATCCCCATGTGCCGTAAGCATCTGCTCATTTGTCTCTTCTCTGCTAGGTTTTACATTTGAGGGTGGGGCATTCTATAGCCAGAGCCTCGCACAATGCCTAGTAGATGGCAGTGAATGAATGAAAGAGCCTTACTCCAACACGGGTGCAGGGAGAGACCAAATTCCATCTTACTCCACCATGGGTGCGGTGTGAGCTCTTCACATTTGAGGAATGACCTTCTAGAGAAAGGCTGGTGAATGGCATGAAGGCCCAGCCAGGGAGAGGTTGGGAGGAGAGCATAGTCACTGGGGTTCCAGGGCTGGGGTGGCCCAGTTCCACTCAGTACGTTTACCTCTTTTCATTCCTGCGTCTTCCCGGTGGGGGATTTGCCCTCCAGATCATACTAGCCCTGGGCATCGGACAGTGTCTGCTCTCCACTCTCCATGCCCACCTGTGCATGGGCGTATCCACCCAGGGGCATTAGGTAGATCTTTGTGTCCTTGGGTCTGAATGAACACGATGGGTACAGGGCTGCCTGGGAGTGTGTCCGAACACATGCACACATGGCACTAACAAACACGTGTGTCTTTGTGTATCCAGGTATGGGTGTGACACCTTTGCGTGTGCAGCTTTGTATGCAGAACATGTCCCAGCATGGTTTTGTATCTGTGAGTGTGTATGTGCTTGCACAGACATAAGTGTGCCCACTGGGGCAGGGTGGGGCCAGGTGTGTTCTGTCACCGTGCTCTGATTAGCTTTCACTTGGAAGCATTTAGGTGACAATTTACAGCTGCACCTGACCCTGGCCTCTCTGCCTCGTCCTGTGTGTGCTGCTACGGCTGCCCCCTGCCCCCTGGCCACATAACTGTGATTTATGGCTGGCCTGTGGGGAGCAGCCCCCTCCCCACTGCCCACCTCTCTGCAGCTCCTGCACCAGATGGGCTGCCTGCTGCTCCCTGGAGCAGCCTTCGCCAGGGAGGGTGAGGCAAGACGACCCACCACCAGGCCCGGCTGGGACCCCTCCCTCGCCCACTGTTCACTCCCTTTCAGACAGTCCCTGTCATCCTGTCTTGGACTTGCTCATGGCTGTTGGGATTGTGAACTGAGATGAGAGGTCAGAGTCTGTGACACAGAACAGAAACCGCCCCCAGTCCCCCATTCATCTCCTCCCCAGACACAGACAGACAGACAGATGGACAGACACACAGATAAAGGTACCGATAGGTCCTCATACAGGGACTGCATGTGCATCTGGGCGTGTGAGCACACACACATACACACGCACACAGTGAGAGTTTGTGGGGGATCTGCATATGTGTGGGGGCTGGGAAGGAAGCCAGGCCCCCTGCAGCCAGGCCAAGCCTCCCCAGCTCCCCACCGGGTCTCTGCCTCCTTTCTCCTGTGCCTACAATCCCTGATGCCAAAGGGGATCTTCTCCAGCTCATGCCAATCCATTATGAAGGTCCACTCAACCAGCAAGGGCATTTCTGGGGGTGTCCCTGGGGTGGGCCCTTGGGGGCTGGGGCTCAACCTTGTACCCCCAGGCTGGCATTGCTGGAAGTGGGGAGTGGCAGAGGGGCTGTGTCAGGCTGAAGGTGAGCGCTGGAAACAAAAAGATTGGAGTAAATTATTATTCCCCCCATGGCTTTCCCAAGGAAAGTGGAAGCAGCAGCCTGAGGCCCGTTTTCCTATTTGATGGGGAGTCAGATAAATGGCAGGCAGCTTGCTCTGATAAGGCCTTGCTCTGGGCACAACCTCTCTCTCTGAAACCCTCTTACTATGCATAGAGGAAGGCTATCTGTGCAGCTGCACCTTGACACAAATATATCTGCACCCGAGATGAAGCAATTCCCCCAGAAATTACAGCAGGGGGATTGCATCTGAGGAGGGGGCCCTGGGGAGGGGTGAGGGCTGCAGGGGAGGGAGGGAAGAAGAGGCCTGGGACAGGCAGGGAGGAGGAGGGAGGCGGCTGGGAGGTTGGGAGTGGGAGCAAGAAGTCTAGAGGCTTGCACTGGGAAGGGGGCTCGGGAGCATCTTTGTATAAAATTTACGTTTTTCCCCATCAAGCAGCTTGCACAGAAATATTCTTTTTCCCCTGTATCGTCGTCTTAATAGGGACATTCTCACCACCACCCTCATCTTCCTCCTCCTGGCTCCACTGCTGCCCTGACCATATTCTCCCTGCTCACAGAATTAAAAGGAAAATACGTGTATGATCTTTACAATTAGTCGCCTGAATGGAGGAGCCTCAGCTGCCTTAGACATTTTCTTTTTTCTTTTTAAATGAAAATTTTGCATTTCTTTTTAATTAAAATTTTTTTTTTTTGCCTTAAGCTTCTCTTTACACATTGAAAAGACAGTGGGGATGGGGTTGTAATGTGATTTTAATAAATACGTGAATAAATAAATATTTTTGAAAAGATGGAGAACACAGAGTGCTGATTGGGTATTTGAAACACTTTTCCAACTTGTCTCATGTCTCTTGGCTTCATGACAGTGTGTGTGTGCACGCGTGCACATGTATGCATGTATGTCTGCAAAACTGTGCATGAATATCCCTGTGTGGGGGGGAATGTGTTCTCATGTTCTCTCACACACACACCTAGTCTGACAATACCCCAGGCTCTCTCTCTCCCCTTCCAGCAGTGTTTTGCTCATCTCTGTGATGAGCCTCTCCCCTTCCCAGGGTGAAGAACTGGAGGCTCCAGCCTCTCAGGAGGCCTGCAGAAAACTCTCTGGTCCCAGAAGAGAAGCTTGAGTAAAGAGACATCCCATCAGGCACAAGGGTCCCCTATCTCCTGCCAGACAGCCCCTCCCCCCAGCTCCTCCTTGGCTGGGCAAAGGTGCTCAAGTGTGATGGCAGCGGAACTCGGCAGGACAAGCGCTTGGGGAAGGGGTAGTAGAGTCATGGGGAATGTGGGTCTCATCCCCCAAACCCTAGGTCTTGGAGGGACAAGGTGGGCTTGTTGGGGTGGGGAAGGGTGGCAGGAGACACTGCATTTACACGTGAGGGTGAGGGGAAGAAGTGGAGTTTGAGTGCATGTTGAGGGCGCTCATGCCCCTCCCTCCCCAAACTGGCACCTGCCTTGGGTCTGACTGTCGGAGCAGCTGCAAGACACAAGAGTCAGCGACAGATGCCACAGCCCCAGCCTTTGTCTGAGCAAGAGAAAAATCACACCCTCCCCTTAAGCCCCTGGGGCAGCTGAAGCTGGGAGGCTTTAGTCATCTCACCCCTCAACTCCATCGCCAACCCTGGAGAGCAACAGGGGCCTTTTTCTTGTCTCCCAACTTTGGGGAATTTGAGCAGTGATGGGAAAGATGCAGGAAAGTGAAGGTTTGGGGGAGAGATCCCTTGAACCTGTCTGCCTAAACTGCGTGACACACTCCCAGAACCCACTTAGGCTGGGGGTGGGGTGTGTTCTGCCACATCAACCTAGATCAGCTGGAAAAGGGCTGAGCTGGCAGGTGGGGATCAGGCTTCTAGTTTCATCTCTGCCACTTCTCTGCGGCCACCTACTTACTCTTCTGGGCCTTGCTTTTCTCAGCTGTAAAATGTGGGGAAGCAATCACTCAAATGACAGATGCAATAGTAACATGGATAACTGTGGATTTTAGACACATATCAAGCCAAGGAGTGAGAACGTGACTGGTTGTGACTATATCTCACTTGCTACTGGTTTGGGCTGAGTCTGGAAGAGCCAGAGGCCTGGTCTCCCTGCAGGAAATAATCCCTGGAAAGTAAGTAGCCTCTTCCAGGCTGCTGGGATCTTTTGGACTCATTTGCAAGCTGTCTCTGGAGATTGGCTACAGAAGTCCAAGGGGAACTCCAAGAGGAACTACTGTGGATAACCAGGCTGGGGTGTGTTGGGGCAGATGCCCAAATTTTCTGCAGTGGAGGACTTAGCCAGAGTAGGGACCCTGGGAACTGTCACCCCTTTAGAGCAAATAGTAGAAAAGCTCCAAGGGAAGCCTAGAAGTCACAAATAGGTGTCCTATTGATCTTCATATTGGCAAGCTGGTGTCTACACTGGGACATGAACTCCCATCCATTTCTATAGTGGGACTTTGGCTATCATTGATATCACATTGGAACATTGTTACCACCACTTTTGTATATCATTGACTGCCATTGATCCGGATATTTGGACAGTGCTCCCTACATTGGGACATCGATTTTCCTTAACCAACTCTGAATTGGGGCATTGATCTCTACATTGGGATGTTGACTTTCTTACCCATCTGTATGGTGGGGGGCATCAATTCCTCTCAACCAACTCTCCATTGGGACATTGATCCCCATATGAGATGCTGATGGCCTCAACCAAATCTTCACTGGGGTATTGATTTCTACACTGGAACTCCCTTTCCTGTCCAACTCTGGATTGGGACATTGATCCCGCATTGGGACATAGATTTATTCCTCTCTCTCAGTATCTGGGCATTATCCCCCACCCAGCCGGGAACAAGGATGCTGATTTTTATTTTAGGGCTTCAGTTCATTCATTCCACCAATCATTCATTTCTTATAGCTACTGTGTGTCAGTTTTGTGCTAATGGTTGGGAACTCTGTTTTTCTTTTCTTTCCTACCATTGATCCCTATGTGAAGACCCCAATTCTCTTCAGTCTTCATATTTGAACACTGATACATACCTCCCGCATCTATCACCCCCTTCAGCCTCCCCTACTGACTTCAACTAAGGTCTCTGTTCATGAGTTGAAGTTGGGAGCCATATTGGAAAGTGCACAGTCTTTGGAGTCATGAGTTTGAATTTTGAGCTTTGCCACTTGCCAGCCTCACTTTCCTCTTCTTTCTTTCTCTCTCTCTTTCTCCTTCCTTCCTTCCTTTCCTGCCTTCCTTCCTTCCTTTTCTTTCTTTTTTCTCTTTCTCTTTTCTTTTTTCTTTCTCTTTTTCTTTCTTCCTTTCTTTTCTTTTCTTTCTTCTTTCTTTCTTTCTTTCTTTCTTTCTTTCTTTCTTTCTTTCTTTCTTTCTTTCGAGACAGAGTCTCAATTTGTCACCTATGATGGAGTGCAGTGGCTTGATCTCTGCTCACTGCAAACTCTGTCTCCCAGGTTCAAGCAATTCTTGTGCCTCAGCCTCCTGAGTAGCTGGGATTACAGGTGTGCACCACCACGCCCAGATAATTTTTGTATTTTTAGTAGAGACGGGGTTTCACCATGTTGGCCAGGCTAGTCTTGAACTCCTGGCCTCAAGTGATCCAACCACATCAGCCTCCCAAAGTGTCTTCATCTTTCAAGTGAAGACAAAGATACCTACTTTTCAGGCTTTCTGTGCAAATGAGAGCACTGAATGGGACCCAGACATAGAGAGCACCATCCTTCATAGCAAGGCTTTCCCTTCCTTGTTCTCTTCCCCCAGTCCGGGGAGATAGCTCTGAACTTGGCATATCCATGTGCCCCCCACATCACATACTGCTGAGGGGGTGAGACCCTCCCTCTCCTCAAATGCCATGGGCAGCATACCTCATGAAGTAAGTCCCTCACAACATTTCAGACCTAGCTCTCATTTTTTAAAATCCATATTATATAGATAGCAATGAGGAGAGCAACTTTTCTACCCCGAGCCTGTGTGTAATTACATATTTTGGCCGCGTGCTGGGCCTGGGATGAATCTGTATGGTAATGCAGGCCAGGGGCTTACGACGTAGGCACACATGCTAATTTTTAAACCACAAAATCGCGGCTGTTTTTCATTTTCATTTCCGACAACACTGGCGGAGATTAGGTCCTATTAAGCACCATGGGGCCTGACCTCCCCCTGGCCACCTGCAGGGCTCCTTGTGGCTTTTGTGGGCTCTTTGGGCCTGGCGCTGAGGCAAACACATCCTTCTTAATTGTGGGACAAAGCTCTGTCCAGCGGGAGGTGCCCAGGTTGGCAGACCAAGGCTGTCTTCTCTCGTCGTCCCCACCCAGGCTAGGGCTAGGTCCCACGCCCGTCCGGGGAGGAACTCGGAGCCTGCGGTGCCCAGGATAATTGAAATTCCAGGCTGTGCCTCTCCTCGTGGACAAGTAAAGTAGGCCCTCGCCCATCTGCAGAGCCCCGAGATGTCCTTAGGGGCCTGGAGAGCAAGGACTCAGGTCACTGAGCTGTCTGTTCAGTCCTAGCCCAGCTCAAGTGACCTTGTGCAAGTCACTTTTCTTCCCTGGGCCTTCGTCTTCCGTCTGTCAAGTCCATGAAATGTAAACTGGGTGATCTGAAAACACTTTGCATTTGAGCTACCTGTCCCCTGCCGAGAGGCAGACAGAGCAGTGATGACAGCAGCTCTCATTTGTTACACACGCATCGTGGGTAAACTATACATGTTCATTATCTCATTTAATCTTCCCCTCGACTCCCCGAGGTGACAGCGTGTTAAACAAAAATCCCATTTTCACCACTCACTGGCCGGATGATCTGTTTTCTCATCTGTAAAACGGGGGAGTAACTGATAACAGTGCTGCCGGATAAGGTATTATCACGATGGAATGAATTGCTGCAGAGTACACAAGACACTTAGAACAACACCAGGCCCAGGGTTGCTATCATTATTATTACAGATAAGGAGATGGAGGCTGAGGAAAGGATAAGGAACTCACTCAAAGCCACCCGGTTAGAACCCAAACCGCAACCCACGAGCCTCGTATCTCCCACTGGAGGCTTTGCCGCCTCCAACTCTTCCTGGCACAAAAGCTTCTCTATCCATCCAGAGAAGCAGCGTCAGGCCCTGCTTCCCTTTAGTCGTCATTTCTCAGTACTGAGCAAAAATGGCAGCAGAGAGACGCAGAGATAAGCAGAGAGATGCTGAGGGGCCCCCTGAATGGGTGTCTGGTCGGGCTGCCACCCCAGCCTTGACTCCTAGGGGTGCTTGGGCACAAGTGAGCCAGTCCAGGCTAGCCCATCGCTGGGGTCCGGCAGGCCCTCTGCTTGTCGGAGGAGAGCTGAGGGTGAGGAGGGGCCCGGGAGGAAGAGCTGAGCCCCTCCCCCTTCCATTCTGTCTCCATCTGCACCCAGAAGCAGCTGAGCGTGGAGCGGGGCCACCCCTCCCGCTCCCGCCCCCTTGCCTTCTCCCCTCCTGGGCGGGGGCTGCCCCGTCTCTGGGGGGGAGCCTGGTCTGTGCTCAATTTCATGCCACTTAATTCACAAGTCTGCCCGTGAAAATGGCGACAAATCGGCCCCAACTGCCCAAATGTCCCGTCCCATCTCGGACGTCTCTCCTGCAGCCCCCACTGCTCCTCCGTCTGACAACCCCTCACCCATCATACTGGAGGGGGAGCGGGCCCTGGTGGCAGCCAGCCGAGCGCCCTGCCGCTGACTTAGACGCCACACATATCCCTTCTGCAGCGGAACCAGGCCCCAACGGGGGCTACAGCCGAGACTCCAGGTGACCCTCCAGTACATGGTCAGAGGCTGGGGACTGTTTTAGTTTGGATTTTAATGTGACTGTGTAATGTTTATTTTTAAATTTACTTTCTTTTAAGAACAATTTAGTTTATTTTTTTTGAATACGTAGCACATTCACATGATTCAAATTTCAAAAAGTGGCCAGGCACGGTGGCTCACGCCTGTAATCCCAGCACTTTGGGAGGCTGAGGCTGGTGAATCACTTCAGGTCGGGAGTTCAGGACCAGCCTGGCCAACATGGTGAAACCCTGTCTCTACTAAAAATACAAAAAATTGGCCGGGCATGGTGGCACACGCCTGTAATCTCAGCTATTCAGGAGGCTGAAGCGGAGAATCGCTTGAACCCTGGAGGCGGAGGTTGCAGCGAGCTGAGATAGTGCCACTGCACTCCAGCCTGGGCAACAGAGCGAGACTCCATCTCAAAGACAAACAAACAAAAACAGGCCTGGCTTGGTGGCTCATGCCCGTAATTGCAGCACTTTGGGAGGTCAAAGCAGGCGGATCACTTGAGGTCAGGAGTTCCAGACCAGCCTGGCCAACACGGTGAAACCCCGTCTCTACTAAAAATACAAAAATTAGCCAGACGTGGTGGCGGGCACCTGTAATCCCAGCTACTCGGGAGGTTGAGGCAGGAGAATCACTTGAACCCGGGAGACGGAGGTTGCAGTGAACCGAGACCATGCCACTGCACTCCAGCCTGAGCGACAGAGCAAGACTCCATCTCAAAACAACAACAACAACAAATTTCAAAAAGCATAAAAGAGAGGGTGGAATGTCTCCCTCTACCTCTACCCCGGTGTCCTGGTTCTCTCTTTCAACTCCCAGTTCCTATCCCAAGGGGAACCAATGTCCCCAGATTCTTGGGTGTCCTTCCAGAGACCTTATATCCAAGAATAAACAAATATGTATAGTCTTTCCTGCCTCTGCCACAAATGATGACGTGCTGTACACACTGACTGCACCTCACTGGTCTCACCTGTATGTCCCGGTGACCAGAGCCTCCTCACTCCACCCCCACCCTCCCACCACAGAGGCTGTTTGAAGTTCTCTCTCCTCTCCCTTCACCTGCCCACCAAAAGGGCTTTGAAGCCACAGAGTCCAGAATTCAAGTCCTACCAGCTCCAACTATTCTCTGGGTGACCTTGATGAGTTCATTTCCTCTTGGGCCTCAGTCTCCAATTCAGTAAAATGGGAATATTCATGTATACCCACCTCGCAAGACTATTGGTGGGAGGGTGGGTAGTAAAGAAGATACTGGGCAAGGTGCGGTGGCTCATGCCTGTAATTCCAGCACTTTGGGAGGCTGAGGCGGGCAGATCACCTGAGGTCAGGATTTCGAGACCAGCCTGGCCAACATGGAGAAACCTCATCTCTACTAAAAATACAAAATTAGCTGGGCGTGGTGGTGCATGCCTGTAATCCTAGCTACTTGAGAGGCTGAGGCAGGAGAATCACTTGAACCCGGGAGGTGGAGGTTGTGGTGAGCTGAGATCACGCCATTGCACTCCAGCCTGGGGAACAAGAGCGAAACTCCATCTCAAAAATAAAAGAAGATACTGGATACAAAGTGAGGAGGTGAAGTGTAGCTGCTCCCTCCTCTCCCCGTTCCTCTCTGTCCCCCCATCAGGGGAATACCTACTCATTCTTCAAGCCCCGGTTCAAAGTCGCCTCCTCCTGATGCCCACCTGCTGCAGGAATTGAACCTCCACTTTGCATCTATAGTGCTTCAGACCAGCCTTGAGGAGAATGTCACTGTGGTGTGGTGTAGCCATCTATACTTGTCCTCCTCCTACAAGGCTGTGAGCCACTTGAAGGCTTCTGATGAAGCAGGAACAAAAATATTAAGATGTGAATATTTACAGCCTTTCTTCTCCTGCCATGTTCCCACATCTGAGCTGATCAAGGTGATACAAAGTGGAAGATGCTTCACTGAAGAAAGAGCATAAAGTTAGCAGCAAAAGCTGGATCAGAATAGAATCGATCCAGTCAACTAGAGGTGGAGGCAAGAGAGAGCAGAGCTAGAGTTTTAGGAGAGAAAAAGGAAAAAGAAAAAAGGGGGTGGGGAGTGTAGTGACCTATGGCACTTTGGGGAAAGGCAGGCCTGAAGAGGATTTGGAGAGAGTTTCTGTCTGTTGTACGACATAGTTGCTTTTCCCACCTTGCCGCTTGTTTGGGAGTTTTGCAAAGGCTTCATTGCCAATCAATGCTTTTGGAGACTATCAGGGTTTCTTCTGGATGTGACCCAGGCTTCAAATGGCCTAAGATTTGTTCAGGTTGCATTGTACATTTTGGGCCCAGCTCAGCAGGTATGCAGAATAATACAAAGATGAGACAAAAGAGCAGGTGGAGGGACAGGAGGAGGAGTGCACACAGGCTGTGGCTCTCTGTCCCTCTCTGGGCAGACCACCATGGTGGACAATGCTCATGCGTTCATGACAACTTGTTCCCCAGGGAGCCCCAGATTTTGATGAACCATCTCCCCAGGTCCCGCCTCTCCCAAATTGTGGATAAATAAAGCCCTAAGATTTTTAATAGGCACAACCATTGAGGATGTATCAGAAATACTCCCTCTCTGTGGTTTTGGTGCAGACAGGAGGGGATGGGTGTTGGGTGTGATTCTCTTTCAGCCTTTCTTTCTTCCCCTCTCAAGAAAGCTTATCAGGAAGCACACAAGCACAATACTTCTAGATAAATATTACTTCATTTGACTCCTTCTAGGAATCTTGTGAGGTGGGATTAATGTTCTTATTTTAATTTCAACTTCCAATTGTTTATTATCAGCATGTAGAGATATAATTTATTTTTGAATATTGACCTATTATGAAATTTTACTGAACTTAATACTTCTAGTTTTATTTTTGATTGATTCTTAGAGTTTTCTATGAAGACAATCATGTTGTCTGTGAATAAAGATGGTTTCTATTTTTCCTTTCCAATCTGTATGTCTTTTATTTCTTTTTCTTGTCTTATTGCACTGGGCAGGATCTCCAGGTCAGTGTGAAATAGGAGTGATAAGAGCAGACATACTTGCCCTTTTTCTGATCTTAGGGGGAACTATGTCTCCATTTTATAGTTGAGAAAATTGAGCCACAGAGATGTTCAGCCACATGCCCAAGGGACCCCAGCTAGTGACTGCCAGTGCCAAAATCAGAACTCAGATCTGCCTGTCTCCAAAGCTTGTGCTCTTTCTACTGCTTCAAGCTTTGTTGTACAAAAGTATGGAGTTAAAATAATTTCCTCTTTGAAGCCCTCAGTTCTCCAACCAGGTCCAGGAGTATAAACGGCTGCTTGGTGAACACTTGCTATTTGATTGGAAGTGGTGAGCTAGAGTGGAAGGCATGAGCTAGAGAGCAAGATGATGGGGTAATCTCCTGCCTTGATGTGGGGGTGCACAGTGAGGTTGGGGATGGAGGGATTTCCATTCCACTCTGCAGCCTGACGTCGGGAAGAATGGTCCCTTGGGTACAGAGAGGACAGCTCTTAGAGACAAATGTGGGATTCAGTTTAGAAGACTTTGAGGGGCAAAAGTGAGTGTGGGGCACAACTGGATCTTTAAGAGGAAGGACAAATGATAGATCAAAATGAGGACTGTGGAGACTGACTTTCCAGGCTTGAAGCCCAATTCTACCACCTACGAACCACGTGACCTTTGGGAGAGTTATTTAGCCTCCCTGTGCTTCGGTCTTCTCATCTGTAAAACAGGGATAATTGTGTTTCTACCTCACAAACTCATTGTGTGGGTTACATGAGTTAATACACAGTAAGCGGCCCTGGCAACCGCTATCTCAAGGTGAGTGATTATGATTTTTGATGAGTCACAGGACTGTCAGGGGGACTTCTAGAAGTTATAAGGGACTGTTCCTCCTCCTTCTTAGAAAACACACATACATCCTGATCAAGCCCCTCCAATTGTAGGTAGAGAAAGACGTGTCTCTCCCAAGTGGCCAAGTTACTTAATTTCTCTGAGCCTCTGTTTCTTCAGGAATGAAATGGGATAATGAGCCTTATCTCACACTGTGAAGAGACAAGCAGATAAGGCATGGGAAAGCACTGTCAATACTTGGTAACAGTAAAAATTGTGACAACTTCCAAGTGCCTCCTCTCTGCAAGGCAACTAACTGAGGGTGCTTAATCTGTGTGTATGTCCCTGTGAGGTAGATTGGCTGTTCTACTTTCTACATGAGGACACTAAGCCCCAGAAATCAAATGACATACGGGCCATCAGCCAGGTTTGAGCCCAGGTAGGCCGATCTCCAAAGCCTGGATCTTTATTATTTTTGTACAATTCTCCTTCCGGGACCAAGGGGCCTGAGCTGCAGCATCTGGGTACAGGTGCCCCCTCCCCCAGGCATCCCCTCCCAGGCCTTCCCCTTGGTGAGGGCTGCCCTTCAGTCACTCCCTTGTCCAGCCAAATGCGGGCGGGCGGGCGGCTGGCGGCTTTGGTGCATGAGGCAGATGGGACCTTCACAAAAGCCCCCGCACCTCTCCAAGCTGGTCCCCCCCACACGCCTGATTACCCCCCAATACCCAAGTTACCATTGATACAGTGGTGCCGGGTGATTCAATTAGTGCAGCCGGCATGAAGGCAGCAGCACAAAGAGCTGGGGTAGTTAGAAACTCATTTTCTTTTGATTATTATAGCATCTCACACGTGCAAGCAGAAAATTATAGGCTCATGTGTCTTTGCTTAATATCCTCTGGGGCCAGATTTGTCGTCATGTTGAAGTTAGCTGTCAGAATTGACAAAATCATGTGGAGTTGATGGATTTACAGTGCCGGGGCCCAGCCAAGCTGGAGAGGTGCAGACTTACACAGATACACAGACAGAGACACACACACAGACACAGCCGCACACTCCCATACACCCTGCGCAGACACACATACGCCCTACTTTAAGATACTGATAGACACGCTCACAGTGATTTGTGCACAGATATGCACACTCCTCAAACGCTGAAACACACCCATTCAGACCTACACAGAGATACACACACATACTCCACACACTGACACCCCCGTACAGAGACACACATACTCATACCCAGCACACTAATATACGCTCACAAGTCTCACATAGGATACACATCCCCCCGCACCAACACACTCCTCCCAGACACAGATACACAAACACACCCCACATCCCATATACTGAGAAGATAGACACAATCATATGCACACACTCACCCTCCATGCTGATAACCCCTCTCTCCCAGATGCTGATACACCTAGACATCCACACACGCTGTCACACACCCACATAGGTGCATGCAGATACACATACCTACTTCTGACTCATCCCTTCCCAGGCACTCACCCCTCCACACTGATACACACTAACCTAGACACACTCAGATCTTCATACACCATTGATATGCACCCACGCAGACACACACTCAGATACACCCATAGATGCTATCATACACATGTTCAAACATACACACCCGATAGACTCCAGTCCAGACACACATGTACACAGACACAATCCCCTGCTTCACACACACACATTCAGAGCTATACACACATCCGTGCAGAGACAGGGGTTCACACACCCACACACACACAGAGCGGGAGACACACACAACTACAGCATGCACAGGCACGAAGTTACAGTGATACATTTCTACACACACGCAGATGCCCAGACAAGTACACCAACACATCCATGGACAGAGAGAGAGAGAGGGAGGGAGGGAGGGACGGAGACAGGACAGAGTCACAGATACAGAAAACAGAGAAACGCATTCACAGAGACATGGGGGCATGGGTGCAGCTCCCAGCTTCCACCTCTGTAGCCCCCTTTTCTTTTCCCTTCTTTCTCTCCTCATCCTCATCCTCCATTGGCCTGGCTAGGAGGGGAAGATTGTGGGGAACAATATGGAAATAGAAACACAGGGTGAGGACTGGGGCGCCCCCCACCTCTGAGTCAGTACACCCCAGCCCCTGGTTTCTGTTTGTTTGAGTGAATGGTAGCCAAAAGGGTGCTGGGGGTGGGGTTGGTGGTGAGGAGAGGTTGTGTGTTCAGAGGGAGAAGGTCTTGAACCTTCACTGAGCACCCCTTACTGTCCCCATTTTACAGAGCTGGAGACTGAGGCCCTCAGAAGGCAAGTTCCTCCCTGATGCCACACAGGGTGCTTTCACGGCAATTAACTAAAGAAGCCCCTTCCAGGCAGAGTGCACACTTTGGTGAGTGGACAAGGGCCACGTGTGTGGGGTACACCCTTACTCAGCAGCCGTGGAGACAGGATGGTTCTCCAAGGGGAATTCCTGGGAGAGGGCAGGAAGGCTGGCTAGTGCCGGAAGATTCCAAGCCCACTGCCTTTCTTTATAGAGCTCCCCACCCCTGCCCACCAACGGGTAATGGGGCATCTGCTATGGGAGAGATGCTGGGGCTCATGCCCCAAGGTATCCCAGGCAGAGGGGCCACACTCAATGCTGTCTGTATGGTAGGATATTGCTGATGAGTCCAGACCAGACTCAGACAGGCTTGGACCCAGGCCCGGTGCATCATTTGGAAAGCCCTAGGTTCCCATCAGTGTTGCATCAGAGTAGAGGAGGAGCCTGTGGCAACCCTGCCAAAGCCCCGAAGAGGTGGGCGGGCTCTGATGAGTCCTAGAGCCTTTGAGCCTTGGCTCAGCCAACCTCCATTCCCTCAGAAGAGGAAAACCCTGCCCAAACTCCATGGCACACACATGAGACACCTGACCTCATCTCCTTCTCCCAGCAACCCTGTGAAGTTGGTCCTATCATCCCTATTGGCCAAGGAGGAGCCCGTCAGATGCTCAGCAAGGGCAATGACTTGCTTGAGGTTACAAGGCTCATAAAAGCCAGGATTTGAACCCAAGGCTGTTTGACTTCCAAGCCCTTGCTCACTCCCCTCCATCACGTGAGGCCGGCCTTCCTCTGGCATAGCAGGCCGGAGGGACCCCCTAGCTCAGTCAGGCCTTAGGGTCCAGGGCCAGCCACTAACTTCCTTGGATAAGCTTACCCCCAGGGCCCCTCCCCAGTGGGTGGGAGGCAATGGCCTGAGCTTTGGGGGTCAGACCCAGCTGGATTCAAATCCCAACTCTACAACCTTGGGGAAATCACTTTGCCTCTCTGAGCCTAACTTCCTCATCTGTCAAATTGGGATTAAAAATAACCCCATTTAAGAGTCACAGAGAATACATGTGCAGGGCTTAGTCCACAGCGGGTATTTCACACATCATAGCTGGTTTTTGTGGTTCAAGGCTCCCCAGCACACCCAGTGCGGTGTCTTCAGTCCATTCCCAAGCTGGGTTACTCAGTCCATTTTTTTGCTCTTCCCTGCCTCTTCCATAGCCCTTGCCCTGGCTCCGGCCCAGGCCTCTGGCTTCTGAGGGTCTTAGGGCCTGAGTGTCCCTGGAGACTTGGAATAGATCCATGGACTTCTCAGGATTCCAGCCACCATTCAAGTCAGGGGCTCTCATTCCTGGCTGTACATTAGAATCGTTGTTTTTTTCACCAAAAAAAAAAAAAAAAAAAAAAAAATTCCAGTGTTCAGGCTGTTCTTGCAAAGGTTCTAATTGAATTGGTTTGGAGTGAGCCCCAGGCATTGGTCTGCTTTTTATGCTCCCCAGGCGACTAGGGTGCAACCAGAGGTGAGAACCACAGAGCCAGGACCTCTAAAGTGTGGCCTGTGGACTGGCAGCATTGGCATCAGCTGGGAGCTTCTTAGAAATGCAGAACCTGGCCGGGTGCGGTGGCTTACGCCTGTAATCCCAGCACTTTGGGAGGCCGAGGCGGGTAGATCACGAGGTCAGGAGATTGAGACCATCCTGGCTAACACAGTGAAATCCTGTCTCTACTAAAAATACAAAAAATTAGCCGGGCATGGTTGCGGGCACCTGTAGTCCCAGCTACTCGGGAGGCTAAGGCAGGAGAGTTGCTTGAACCTGGGAGGTGGAGGTTGCAGTGAGCCAAGAGTGTGCCACTGCACTCCAACCTGGGTGACAGAGCGAGACTCCGTCTCAGAAAAAAAAAAAAAAACAAAAAAAAAACAAACCAGGTGCGGTGGCTCATGCCTGTAATCCCAGCACTTTGGGAGGATCACCTGAGGTCAGGATTCGAGACCAGCCTGGCCAACATGGTGAAAAACCATCTCTACTTAAAATACAAAAATTAGCCGAGTGTGGTGGCAGGCACCTGTAATCCCAGCTACTTGGGAGGCTGAGGCATGAGAATCGCTTGAACCTGGGAGGCAGAGGTTGCAGTGAGCCAAGACTGTGCCATTATACTCTAGCCGGGGCAATAGGAGCGAAACTTTGTCTCAAAAAAAAAAAAAAAAGGCAGAATCTCACCCAGACCCCCCAGATCAGAGCCTGCATCTGAGGAGGATCTCCAGGGCTTCATACTCATATTAAAGCTTGATCGGCCCTGCTCTGGCCCAGGCAGCTTCGATGGACACTGTGGGAACAAGGCTCCAGTTAGTCTTTACTGATGGTGGCGACGTGTCCTCTTCTCCAAAGACGACCACTGGGGCTGGGACATCTCCAACCCACCTCTCTGAGGGGGATTCCTGGTGACCTCTGCTCCTCCTGCCTCCTCCATCTGGGTCTGGTCTTGGAGATATGCTAATCAGTGTGGGAGTCCACCCTTCACATAATTATCATATACAAGAGGCTCCTCATCTCAGGGTAATTTTCTCATCTGCATAATTGTCTTCGACTTCCTTACAGATGGAAAAACCCCTTTACCTTGGGCGAGTTAATCTTCATTGATTGAATATCACATTCATTCGAATGAGGGAGAAGAGACTTTGCTTTCTCAGCAGCAGAACCCTCTGAGGCTGAAAGCCGTGCTCAGCTGGGGGCCGAGGGGCCTTCACTTTGTCCCTGTCCTTGCCCGGCTTGTCAACGGCCCCCTCCCCTTCCCCTCTGACTCTCTTTCTCCATGGCTGCACCTTTCCACTTCTGCTTCTCTCTTTCTTGCTTTTTCTCTGTTTTGTCTTCATCTTTCTGTCTCTGTTGTGTTCCTTAGTGTCTTGGTCTTTGGTTCTGTTTGTGGTTGTTGTTGTTGTTTTGAGACAGGGTCTTGCTCTATCGCCCAGCCTGGAGTGCAGTGACATGATCACAACTCACTGTAGCCTCAACCTCCTGGGCTCAAGCAATCTTCCCACCTTAGCTGGGAGTAGCTGGGAATACAGGCATGTGCCACCATGCCCGGCTAAATGTTGGTCTCAAACTCCTGGGCTCAAGCAGTCTGCCCTCCTTGGCCTGCCAAAGTGCCGGGTTTACAGGTGTGAGCCACCCTGCCTGGCCAGCTCTGTTTTTAAATTTTCCTGTCTTACCTTTGTTTCCTTTCTTTCCTTGTCATTCCATCCCTTCCCTATCTCTCCAAGTCTCAGACTCTTTATTTTATTTTATTTTATTTTATTATTATTATACTTTAAGTTTTAGGGTACATGTGCACAACGTGCAGGTTTGTTACATATGTATACATGCGCCCTGTTGGTGTGCTGCACCCATCAGACTCTTTCTTTACTTGAAACCCCAAGTGTCTCAGCTATGTCCCCACTCACAACTTGGTGAAAGAAAAAAAAATCCAGTGTGAACTCATTGCAGAAGCAGCTGAGATTCTTGGGGAGACAGAGGGCCTCAGCAGCGGTGGAGGTGGGGATAGGAGGGAGGAGGACAGGATGTCCTGGGACTGTGATGCCCTGGATCCCAGGTCCTGGCTGGGAGGCCCATCCTTAGGTTAGAAAATGTAAGACCTAACCAATAAGAAATGTTGTAGGTCTTCACAACCACCCTGAGAGTGGTATTTTCCTATTTTCAAACAGGGATATGATCAACATGTCCAAGTCCCATGAGTAATGGCAGGACCAGGACTCGAACCCAGGCCTGTTTAACCCTGGAGACGGCCCATGATTATTCAGGAGGAGGCTGAGGCCAGGCCTTCTGCTCTCAGTAGGCCTTGAATCAGGTGAATGAATCAGCTTAAGTCTAGAACCTGTCATTTCTCCTCAATCCTCTCCCCTGTCTTAAGAATGAGCCCTAAGGGGTCATCTGGGTTCAGGCCATGGGAGGAATTTTCAGGGACTTTAGACAAGAGAGGACACAGGATTGCTTCTCCCTCTGGGGCCCTGGGCTTGTATTACTTTATTTTTTTTGTTTTGTTTTGTTTTGTTTTTTTGAGACAGAGTCTTGCTCTGTCACTTAGGCTGGAGTGCAGTGGCACGATCTTGGCTCACTGCAACTTCCGCCTCCTGGGTTCAAGCGATTCTTGTGCCTTAGCCTCCCAAGTAGCTGGGATTACATGCACCCATCACCATGCCTGACTAATTTTTCTATTTTTTTTCTTTAGTACAGACAGGGTTTCACCATGTTGGCCAGGCTGGTCTTGAACTCCTGGCCTCAAGTGATCCGCCTATCTTGGCCTCCCAAAGTGCTGGGATTACAGGCGTGAGCCACTGCGCCAGGACTCACTTTGTCTTTGAAGGGCAGGAAACAGACTTCCCAGTTTCATCTCTGTGGAGGGATTTATGCCTGAGGCTAAGCCCTGCAGAACTTGGGGCATAGACTTTAGACTTTTTGGTTGTTTACCAGTTTATCCATAAATCCATGTCTTTGCTGGGCACTTTCTATGTTGTAAGGCACTGGTGATACAAAACTTGATGGGCCACAAGTCCAGCCCCAGAGGACTCCACAGTCTGGTCAGACAATCAGATATAGGAACAAATAATTACAATGCACTCTGATAAGTGCATCTGTGGAGGTTTCTGTGGGTGCAACGTCCTCTGCTACAGAAAGGGAAGATTTCAGTGAGGAGGTAATATGGAAAACGGGTCTTGAAAGCTGAATCAACATTTTCTAAAGAGAAGAGCAGGATAGTGTTCCAGACAGAGGGTCAGCCATGTAAACACCCACGAGTATGAAGACCATGCTGTGTCAGGGAATAGAGCAGTTCTGTGATTGAACACATTTTCTTTTTAAAGGTGGGGGTGGGAGATGGGACTGGAAAGGTGGCGGAACCCAGATTGTGAAAGGTCTTATAGACCATGGCCAGGAGTTTAAGCTTTATTCTTCAGATGGAGGAAACCATTTAGAAGGATGAGCCCATTTAGAAGTATGAACCAGGGCCGGCTGCAGTGGCTCATGCCTGTAATCCCAGCACTTTGGGAGGCCGAAGTGGGCTGATCACCTGAGGTCAGGAGTTTGAGATCAGCCTGGCCAACATGGCACAACCCTGTCTCTACTAAAAATAAAAAGAATTAGCTGGGTGTGATGGTGCATGCCTGTTAGTCCCAGCAACTTGGGAGGCTGAGGCATGAGAATCACTTGAACCCAGGACATGGAGGTTGCAGTGAGCCAAGATTGCCACTCCATTCCATCCTGGGTGACAGAGTGAGACTCTGTCTTAAAAAAAAAGAAAAAAAATTATGAACCAGGAGTGAATATATTATTCTTTAGGTAAGCCTGGCTGCTGTAATAAGTAAACCGCCAAATTTCAGTGGCTTCCCCCAAAAGGTGTCCTTCTTACTTACACAGCAGTCCAATATGGGTGCTCCAGATTGCTGGGTCACTTCTTCCACATGGTGATTCAGGACCCACCAGCCTCCTTACACCCCCGTCTTAGTCAATTTGGGCTGTGATAACAACCAACCCTAGATAGACTGGGTGACTTAAACAACAAACATTTATTTCTGATAGTTCTGGGGGCTGGGAAGTCCAAGATCAAGCTGCTGTGGATCTGGTGTCTGTTAAGGGCCCATTTCCTGGTTTGCAGACAGCTGTCTTCTCATTGTATCCTCACACGCAGAGAGCAGAGTGGGACAGGGGAGACTGTGTCTCCTCTTTTCATAAGGGCAATATTCCCATTCATGAGGGCCTCACCCTCATGACCTGATATCTACCCGTAATTACCTCTCAAAGGGCCCGCCTCCAGATACTATCACATTGGGTTAGGATTTCAACATAGGAATTTTGAATTTGATTATGAATATTAATTACAAATATCAATTTTTTGGGGGGAGGCACAAACTTCAGTCCACAACACCCCTAAGAGTGAGGAATCTTGGAAGGTCTTGGAATCCCCCACTTCCAGCTGGTGGACAAGGAAAGAGAGAGGGTGGAGAAGGTACAGTTGCTTCTTAATCACTTGGCCCAGAAGCAACACACATCACTTCTGCCTGCATTCCACCCGCGAGAAGTAATTACACGGCCTCAAGCAGTTGCAAAGGGCTCTGGGAAATGTAGGACCTGGCAGGGTGGTGCCCTCCAGTGATATATGCCCCCTTTGAAAGGTGCAGCATGAACTTTTGGTGGACAGTTAGCTGCCTCTGCCACCGGTTGAGTTTTAGGACAGTACCTCTGTCAGTAGAGTAACAACGGACTATGAACGAAGGTTTGGAGGAGAAGCAACTAGAGAAGTCCCAGTAGGAGGCAGTTGCATTAGCCCAGAAGAGAGAGAATAGAGTCCTTGTACTTAAACTGCTTACTCTAGACAGCCCTTTCCTTGAGGGGCATTGTGGGGAAATAGAAGACTTCTACCTTCCCTATATTAGTATAGGACTTAGGCTGAGCCTATGGAGAAAAGGGTGGGGTGGGAGGTAGGGGATGGGGATGGAGATGGGAGCAGATTGGTGGACCTGGCTCCAAATCCTGGCTGCACTGTGTCCTCAGCCCATTACCTTGAGCAGTTTACTTGACCTCCAAGCCACAGTCTCCTCATCACTAAGATAGAGATGATAATGACACCTGGCTTACATGATCATTTTAAGTGCTTAGCAGACTGTCTGGAAAGTATCCAATAAATGCTAGACAGTCTCATGAGTGTTGTTGTTGTTATTCAAAGACAGTCTGGGGGTTCAAATTCTTGCTCAGATGCTTGAAATCTAAGTGAATTTAGATACAGGCTCTCTGAGCCTCAGTGGACTCATCTATAAAGTGGCGATAATAATAATAATAACTGTCTTGCAGGGCTGCTGTAAGGATTAGAGTTCTGCAACAGAAGACCTAGCACAGTGCCAAACACATTGTAGGAGCTCAGAAGATGTCAGCAATAGTTTTTATCTTACCACTATCACTAATGTTACTACCATTGATGTTATTCTCATCATCATTATAATTATCTCTGAGTGCTCAGCATCTAGTAGATGCTTGGTAAATATCAAATCAGTGGATGAATGACTACCTCTAGAAGCTCCTTTTATTCCTTCGTTACAGGTCCTGGCTCCCTGACTTCATTTCTCCTATATATTTTATGCAGGATCTGCTTCATGGCAGAACAGAGTAATGGTTAAGAGCTGGGTTCTGGAGGGAGCAAGATGTGATTGTGTGTCTGTGTCCCAGCTCTGCCACCTGCTAGAGGTATGTAACCTCTCTGAGTCTCAGTCCCTCCATCTGTAGAATGGAATTCTCAACAGTACATGCCTCATGGAGTTGTAGGAGGTGTATCCAAGCTGATGCTTGTAATACAGCGCCCAGTGCTGTAAGCACCTGTAAGTACTCAGCGAAGATCATCCACCTTCCCTACATTAGCATGGGACTTTGGCTGAGCCTATGGAGAAGTGGGTGGGATGGGTGATAGGGGATGGGGATGGACATGGGAGCAGAGAAAGAAGGTGAGGCCAGGCTGTGAAGGCCTTGAATGCCAGGCTAGGTGGCTCTAACTGGGCCTTGCCTACTCTCTCAGGATCCTGGAAAGGGGCCCTGGTCTAAGGGCTCCGCCTGCAGACCCTTTGAGACAGAGCAAGGCTAGGGCGCCCTACAGGGGCAGGCACACATCTTCTTTGGACTCAGCTGTCTCCAGCTGGAGTGGTGGGGAAAGGAAGGTCATTTGCAATTCAGATCTGGGGCAGATGGGAGGATGCCATAGATTGGTGGGGGGCGAGGGGGACACGAGTGGAGTCAGCTGCTTTACTTCTCACGCACATCCTCCGCCAGCCCTTCCTAGCCTGGCTGCAGCCCCTCAGAGCACAACCCAGGCTCAGGTCTGTCCCAGCCCACTTAGACACATGCTCTAAGTGCTTTACATAAGTGAACTGATAACCATATGAGGAAGATTATTTTACAGATAGCGAAAGTGAAGTCCAGAGAGGCAAAGCAACGTACCCAAGGTCACACAGCAGAGCTGCAGCTCACGTCAGGCTGCCGGGCTCTAGAGCCCATGCTGACTCATGCATTGCACCATCACAAAATTCCTCCCAGTTACAGCGCCTCCACCTTGTGGCCCAAAGACCCGGGAGGATGTTGTGTGAAGCGCATTGGACACACGTAGCCGAGTTTCTCCTGTGAACCTGCAGCTGGCCTGGGGGTATCTCCCACCTTCTTCACAGTCCATGCGGCTCCCCTGGGGCTGCTAGGCCACTTTAGCAGGGAAATCACAGACCCAGGCCCTTCCCACTCTCTGGGTCCTGAGTCTCTTGCCCCTCCTCTCCCCAGCTCCCCTGGGGCTGCTCTAGAACTGAGACCGTGCTGGCTGTGCCAGGTCAGCCACTGTGGGTCCCGCTCATCTTGCCCCTCCCAGCTCACCCTCCCTGGGGCCGACTGGGGCACTCTCTGCCCACAGGCTGATGGCCTGGGTGTCAGAAAAAGGCTGAGTCTTAGGAGAAGGCTGTGTCCTGAGGTGGTAAGGGGACCTCTGGACCATCAAAGGGGACCCAGGTGATAGATCAGGACAGGCAGGTGCAGGGACTCAGGGGCAGACTGACCCCCGGAGATGGTTAACCTAGGACAAAGCAGGTCAAATATCTGGGGACGACTGCTTTGCTTCTCCCTTTCGACGGAGAGGAAGTAGTGGGTGTGAAGTACCCTCACACGCATGCCCATCACCTGCCCTCTCCAGCCACCATGTGGTCCTGGGAGGCGGGGACTGTTGGCTCCATCTTACAGCAGAGAAAATGGCAATTCCAACAAGGCCCTACTTGGCGAGTCTTTGTTCCTTGATGGCCAAAAAGGTCCATTCCCCATCCCCTGGCCCCTCTCCTTTTCCAGTCCCCGAGGGAGAAAGGACAGGTAGGCTGGCAGCTTCCCTGCTGGATGGTCCTTTCCCGTCCATGGGACTTCTGTGCCGATGAAGTCATTCATCCAGGTGGGACACCATGCTGTGAGTGACTGACTGACTGGGAAAGAGCCAGCGAGGGCCCTGGCCAGCCTCTCCTCCCTGCTGAAGCTGGATGTTGGCCCTCACTCGCTGTGTGACCTTGTGCTAGCCATTTTCTCCCAAGTGCCACCATTGTCTCATCTGTGAAGTGGGTAGCACATTCACCTCTTCACCAGATTAGTTTGTGAATGCCCTTAGCCAGCACCTGTGTAAGCCCCAGCCCGCCATCCACTTAATGACTGAATGCTCTAATCACTGCCCCCACCAAGATCTTGGTTCCCCAGTGGAGCCCACCCTCCTCCCTCTGTGACCTCTGACCCTTTCTCCTCCTCCCTGCGATTCCTCCTCAGCAAGGGCTGTGAGTCCCTTCCCCCCATGAGGCCCAGGGGGCCCAGAGAAATTAGACTGAATCAAAGCAGAAAATGAGTTTTCATTCATCTTGGAATGATGCGAGAGGTTACGGGCAAGACAAATAGCAGCCTCCCCCTCTTCCTTTATCACTGTCACCGCAATTAATAGGCTGTGGCCTTCGTTATCCAGGCCTTTGCTAAGGAGAGAGCAGGTCCCCGGGCGATGCTAACGAGGGAGAGGAAGCAGGCTTCACTCCATCCAAGTCCTGCCATGTGGCCATATGCTCACCTGGCCCTTCAAACTCACAAAGGAGGGGTGCAGCCACCCGCAGGGCAGGCCGGGTGAGAGGGGAACAGTCTCCCAATACCTCTGAGAGTGCCCAGCCAGTCTGTGGTCTGATGATCAGCACAGCTGCCTCATCACAAGGACAAGCTATGTGTTATTTCCTCTTCATACGACGCCTAGGAGCCAGGCGTCTCTTCTCCAATTTTTCTGATGAGGAAACTGAGATTCAGAGCATACTTATTTGAAGCTACTTGTTTGAGGAGGTCACATAGATTGGGAAGAGGAGGAGCCAGGCTTTGAACACAGACCTGCTTGACCCCAAAGCCTGGGTTCCTCACTATCATATTCTATTGACCAACCATATGGAAGGAGCGAGGACTGGCAAACAGGTCCCTGAAAGTCTCTGAGTCCAGGGTTTTCGTATAAAAAGAGCTTTAGAGGTCAACTGAGTCAACATTAATTCCACACTCTGGCCCGAACTTGGGGCCTCAGATCCTGCAGGGACATTGGAGTTATTGCCAGTCCTTAGCCTGAACGATGTCTTTGTCAAAAGGACCAAAATGAAAGTCCTTTATTCAAGTGTGAGTTGATACTATTCAGATAATTTTAAAAATGAATTCCTTTAAAGGCTGACTGAACGCCAAAGGGGCTTGGTTCATTGAGTATTGCTCAATCAATGAATACTGTAGTACTTATCTATTACTGTGTAACAAATTATCCCAAAACTTAGTAGCTTAAAACAACAATAAATATTTACTATTTCTCACAGTTTCCATGGGTCTGGAATTCAGGAGTAGCTTGGCCAGCAGCTCTGGCTTAGGGTCTCCTGTGACGTTACAGTCATATGTTGGCGGAAACTGCAGTCATCTGAAGGCCTGACCAGGGCTGGAAGATCTGCTTCCAAGATGGCACACTTGTGTGGTTGGCATGTTGCCACCTGCTGCCGGTGGGAGGCCTCAGTTCCTTTTTGTGTGGAGCGCTCCATAGGATGGCTCATACCAGGGCACCCAGCTCTCTGAGAGCTGTGATCCAATAGAGCAAGGCAGAAGCCACCTGCCATTGATGACTTAGCCTCAGAAGCCATATACTGTCACCTCTGCCATACTTTACTGGTCACAAAGATCACCCTGATTCGATGTGGGAGGGAATTAACATGGGTGCGAACTCCAGCTGGTGAGCATCATCTTGGGGGCTAAAATCAAAAGAACATTTTGTAGAGTTACGAAGGGAGCCTCAAGGTTCAGAAAACAGGGGAAACAATCTAGTGTTAACCATCAGGACAATCTTTACCTTTTGGGGAAGTAGGGACTGGGAAGGGCCGTAAGGGGACTTCTTGGGAGTCAGTGATGTTTTATTTCTTGGTCAAGATGCTGATGAACTTTGTGAAAAATCACTGTGTGTGTTTATGATGCTTCAGTAAAAAATTCTAAAGAGGGGTCCTTATCCTTGAAAAGGTTTGGAGCCATCTGTGTAGGTGGTGGTGGTGGTGGTTGTTGTTGTTGTTGTTTTGGAGACAGAGTGTAGCTCTGTCGCCCAGACTGGAGTGCAATGGCATGATCTCGGCTCACTGCAACCTCCACCTCCTGGGTTCAAGTGACTTTCCTGCCTTAGCCTCTCAAGTAGCTGGAATTACAGGCACCTGCCATCATGCCTGGCTAATTTTTGTATTTTTTGTAGAGACGGGGTTTCACCATGTTGGCCAGGTTGGTCTTGAACTCCTGACCTCAGGTGATCTGCCCACCTCCCAAAGCGCTGGGATTACAGACATGAGCCACCTTGCCTGGCCAGTTCTAATCCGTAGGGGAGAAAACACTGGGACTCAGGGACGGAAGGTGACTTGCTCAAGGTCCCTTGGTGGGTCAGGTGTGGAGTTTTGGACTGGCATTTGGGACTCCTGGGTCCTGAGGAATGGCCTTTTACAGGCACTGTGGGGACAGGAGCCGATGCCATCAGCAGGCTGGGGCTGGGGCTCTGTTTCCTGAACTCTGCTGCCCTTCCTCTCCCCAGGTCCCCCCAGGGCTGCTCCAGAACTGAGACCGTGCAGGCTGTGCCAGGTCAGCCACTGTGGGTCCCGCTCACCCTGCCCCTCCCAGCTCACCCTCCCTGGGGCCGATCGGAGCACTCTCTGCCCATAGACAGACAATCTGAGTGCCAGAGAAAGACTGAGTCTTGGGAGAGGGCTGTGTCCTGAGGTGGTAAGGGGACAAGGATAGGAGGAAGTCTGCTGTGTTAGAACATGATTCACTCAGATGACAATGACTGTCTCCCTTGGCCAGACTCAGGCCTTTCAAGGCAGGGACCCGTCCTGATTCAGCTCTGTGTTTCTTGTGTCCATCAGTTCACCCAGCAAATATTTACTGAGCACCTATGATAGGCACTGGTGATGTGACAACGAACAGAAAAGACAAAAGCTCTGCCCTTAGGGAACCAACACTCTAGTAAAGGTAGACAAAATGAAACAGGTAACATATAGAATATGAGGTGCATAGGAGCGTGTGTGTGGAGTTGTGTCAGGGAAGACTTTATTAAGAAAATGACATTTGAGCAAAGACTTGAAGGAGACCAGGGGGGAGCCTAAGGTTGTCAGCAGGAAGAGTATTCCAGGCAGAGGGAAATGCATGTTCAAAGACTTGGACAAGAGAGCATGCGTGGCATGTTAGGAATAGCAAAGGGGCCAGTGAGGCCAGGCAGGCTGAGCAAGAAGGAAGCTCAAGCTAGGGGGCCCATCTGGCCTTGGTTTGAACCCTGGTCCTGCTATTCCCTAACCAGTGACCTGAGGGCTCTCTGTTGCACAGGGAGGGTAATCCCACCTACCTCAAAAGTCCTTTTCAGGCTTTTTCTTGAGACTGGATCTCCCTCTGTCACTCAGGTTGGAGTGCAGTGGTGCAATCTCAGCTCACTGCAGCCTCCGCTTTCCAAGCTCCAGCCACCCTCCCACCTCGGCATCCTGAGTAGCTGGGACCACAGGCGTGCACCACCATGCCTGGCTACTTTTTGTATTTTTGGTAGAGATGGGATTTCACTATGTTGCCCAGGCTGGTGTTGAACCCCTGAGCTCAAGTGATCACTTGCCTTGGCCTCCCAAAGTGCTGGGATTACAGGTGTGAGGCACCGTGCCTGGCCTTTTTTTTTTTTTTTTTTGAGACAGGGTCTTGCTCTGTTGTCCAGGCTACAGTGCAGTGGCACGATCTCAACTCACTGTAGTCTCAACCTCCCAGGCTCAAGCGATCCTCGCCTCTCAGCCTCCCGAGTAGCTGGGACTATGGGCTTATGCCACTATGCCCAGCTAATTTTTTTTTTTTTGTATTTTTTTGTAGAGATGGAGTTTCATCATGTTGTGCAGGCTGGTCTGGGCTCAAGTGATCCACCTGCCTTGGCCTCCCAAAGAGCTGGGATTACAAGTGTGAGCCACTGCACCTGGCCCCTTTTCAGGTTTAAACTCAGCCATACCTTTAGTGACATGTCCACAAAGGTTGAAAGAGACAGATGGTCCTCGTCTGCCCCGCTTCACTGGGATATAAGCTTCACGATGGCCCGGGATTTTGTCTGTTTTGTTCATTGCTAACTTCCCAGACCCAGAATAGTGTTCTCAACAGGGGCCTTCACGCGCCTTACAATTAAACCAACAGTGACAATATACTGTGATGAAACGTACAACAAAGGGGAGATGCAGGGAGCTCTTGGCAAGGGAGCTGATTGGAGAATGTCAGGGAGGGCTTCCCGGAGGAAGCTGCGGCTTTGACCTGCTAATGAGTAGGGGTTAGCCAGACGGGGGTTCCAGGCAGAGGGAACAGCATGCGTGAAAGCCCAGAGGCTGGAGAGAGCAAATTACTTTGAATGTTTCAATACAGCTAGAATAGAGCACTGGGAGGGTCGAGTGGGCAGAGTGGTATGGGGTCATGGGACAGGAGGGGCTGGGGTGGGGAGACATGGCTAGAAATTAGGTAAGCAGAGTGCTGTATTCTAAGAGCAGTGAGAATATTCAGGTGACAATCATGTAGGTAACACAGTACCTGGCACATAAAGTGAGATGGAGGGAGGGAAGGAAGGAAGGAAAGGAGGGAGGAGGGGAGGGAGGAAGGAAAGGGGGGGGAGGGAGGAAGGAAGGAAGGGAGGGAGGGAGGGAGGAAGGAAGGAAGGGTAAATGGAAGGAAGGAAGATTCTAGCCAACCACAGTCTAGCCCCATGCTGTTTTCAGTAGCCCTGTGGCTGGAGCTCCTCTGTAACCCTGCAGCTCAGCAACACTCCTGGGGTATCCAGCCCTACGGCCCCTTTTCCAGGCCCAACAGGCCTCAAGGCCTCCTAGGACAGAGTCTGCCCTGCTCCCTCCCACTGTCTGTGCTCTGCACCATGCAGGGTGGGGTGGGGCAGACAGCCCCAGGCTCCCCACCATGAACGTGTGTTCTGGTTCAGTGGAAGGACCTTAAATGCACAGACAAGGACACAGCAGTAAAGGATGATGTGGCCGAACCCCCCGGTTCCACGGCGAGCAGACCCCAGGTGTGTGATCGGGAGCAGTTAAATTTCATCATTACCCTTTCTCCGATGGTGTTTTTTATAGTCTTTTTTACTACTGGCACTAAAGGTTCTGGACTCATCCTGGCGGACTGGAGGACATCACTCGTCGAGCTGACTGCTCTGTGATATAAAAAAATGACAAGTCCTGGCTTAATCTTTCTGATAACTGTGTTCCGCGCCTCCATCCATCTCCACCAAGGGGTTTGGGCGAAGCTGGAAGACAAGAGCATCCCAGCATTTAAGAATGAAAAATTAAGTGCCCTTTTTAAGCACAGCGTGGAGCTCCCTGGCTTGGTGCTGTTCTAGAGGTGGGGGGAGAGGGGCAGGGGAGGGGAGAGTAAGTCCAGCTGGGTCTCCTTCAGGTCCCGGGGTGGGGGGATGGACAGCGGGTCCCACACGGTGTCGTGGGAGTGCCAGGTGTGAGCACGTATACTTGGAAGTGTGCACATGTCTTGTGCCCCCCGGGTGGCCCCTTGTGCCTGAGCCTCTGTGGCTGTGGTTTTCTGTGTCTGTATCTGGTGGTGTATGTCTAATATGGGAGAGTGAAAATAGCCCTGCACTGCAAGTCAGGATGCCTGGGTTGGATTCCTAGCTTAACTTTATTTTAATTTTTTTTAAGAGAGCCTCCCATGTTGGCCTCGAACCTCTGGGCTCAAGGGATCCTTCTGCCTCAGCCTCCCGAGTGTCAGCTCTACTGGCTTTAGCTATGTAGCCTTTTGGCAAGTCGTTTTCCTGCTCCGGGCCTCAGTTTCCTCATCTGTAAAATCAGTGAGCTGGGATCGCCCGGAGCCAAGGTCTTCAAGCAGCACCCACTGGCTGGCTGATCCCAGGCCTGTCACACGTCTATTTTCATCTGTTTCCCTGTCTGTCCCAGGAGACCTTTGCTCCAGATGACCTCCAAGGCCACCCAGGATGTGACAACCCTAGAGCCAGGGAGCCAGCAAGACCCCTCCGGGCCCAGGTTCCCGGCCCAGCATCCCAGCTCTGGCCCAAAGCCAGCTTCCAGGTGTGGCTCAGACTTTTCTGTGCCTAGGAGAGCAGCCACCTGTTTCCTTTCCATGCCCCAGAAAGGGCCAGAAGCAGGGGCGGCCCTTGGGAACAGGGTGCAGAGGGCAAGAGCAGAGGCTTTGCTTCAAACCTGGCCTTTGATTCTAGTCTTTCTTACCAGTTGTATCGTGACCTTCTGAACCTCAGTTGTCTTGCCTGTAAAATGGAAATGAAGGGGATGGTTAGCACTCCCACTGGATCAAATAAGCTGCACCTCATACATAGTAAGTGCTCAATAAATGGTGGTTAGTATCAGATGTCCCTGAAGGAGCAACCCTCCCTCCCAAGCTTTTTATAATCACCAAAAGCTCTGAACAGAATTTGCCTGTCTGCCACCCCCTAATCCCATCTCCAATGCCTTCCTCTCCCTCCCTTGGAAATCCATCAGGGGGGACAAATGGCCGTCTGGTTTTTGATGAGAGAGGGAGGGGGAGCTAGTTGGGAGACCCTGGCTGCCAGAGGACTGGCTTGTCCCTGAAGGGGCCAAACATTTGTTGTAAATAATAGTGAGAGGAAGAAAAACAAAAACCAAAAAACCTGCAAAAGGCTCCCACCTGGGCCCCAGCAGATGCAGCCCCCTACACAATCCCTTTATCACCAGCGCCTGTGGTTTGGAGAACAAGATGCCAAGCCGATAGGGCCTCGGTTATCTGAGGCAGGCAGTGTTTATCTGGGCAGTTTCCGCAGGCCAGGGTCCCCATTGGTGTGTGTGTTATCTGGGCCAGAGGGGGAGCAGCGGGAGATTTGACCCCACTCCCCCACTCGGCAGAGTCAGTGGGAAGCTTTAGGATGGGGAGGGAGGTGGGCAATGAGGACCTCTTGTGCAGCTGGGAAGATTTGTGGTGAAGAATGGCCAAGGTCCCCGCAGGCCTCAGGCCCAGGCTTCCTTACCCTGGGGCATTTGGGGCTGGTGTGAACTTGCCCGAGAGATTCGGTGTCATGCCCATGCCAATGGAGGTCAGTAATCTTATTTACCCTGTGTGCGGGGGGAGCCATCCCATTCTACAGACAACGAGTCCTGGACAGGTCGTGTCACTTGGCTAAAGGCACCCAGCCAGTAAATGGCAGAGCCAGGATTTGAACTCTGGTGTGCCTAACTCTAAAAACGCTGGCCTTCCAAAACAAATCCTATGACCTGAGCAGAGTGGACCCCAGTCCCTTTCAAAGGAGTGGCACATACATTCTCAGAGACTGTTTGCGTCCATTCGCTCTACAATCCCACGCCAGACTTGGAGACTGGGAGTTTAATTAAGCTTTATCTTTTCCCCCATTTTACAGATGAGGAAACAGAGACCCAGAGAGATACAGTCCTTGGCCAGTCAGCCAAGTTGGAGCATAGCTTGGACTTTGAACCCAGTCTCCCAGCTCCCAGTCTGCCTGCAGCCCTGTCCCTCTCCACCCCCAAGCCCTGACCAGAATTCTCTTCTGTACATCCAGAAGGGCTTTCCCATTCCTCAGACTCTCTGAGGCAATTACAGTCCCTACCACTCATGTGGCCCTTAATCATTTACTGCCCTTGCAAACAGCCTGTGGTCAAAAGCAATAAAGTTCGGACTTGGACAGATCAGACCTCGTGTGGCTGTTGTTTGTGCACACGGCCCACCTCCTTTACTGACTGGAAGAGCTCAGAGGGCAAGAACCAGGTGGCTAGAGGTTTCCGTGTTCTCCCTGCCCTGCTGCCACGCTGAGGGGGTTTGGCGAGCGAATGCACACGCTTGGACCTGGTGCTTGGCACATCAGCTGGGGAGGAGGCATAGGGTCAGGGACACGGGAGGAGCTGGCTCCTTACACTCTAGAGGGCCAAGGTTAAACCCAAGGCCTGGCCCAGCCCCATTGGCCAACCCTGGCATCCTACATGTTAGTGACTGGCACCACAGCCACTCCTCCTCTCTCACTCCACCTTCTCCTCTCCTCTCTCACTCCACCAACCAGTCATTTCCAGCTCCCATCAGTTCTGCATCTGAAATACTTCTTTTTGGTCAGGCCACCAGCTGCACACCCTGGACTACTCCACCAGCCTCCTGATTGGCCTCCCTGCCTCCTGATTGGCCTCCTTGCCTCTGGTCTACTCTCCAGTTGCAATAAGAGTGATCTGAAAATGCAAACTTCAGCTTGTTCCTCCACTACTTAAATGTTCCTGGGTCGGCCAGGCACGGTGGTGTAAGCCTGTAATCCCAGAGTTTTGGGAGGCTGAGGCGGGTGGATCATTTGAGGCCAGAAGCTCGAGACCAGCCTGGGCAACATGGTGAAATCCCATCTCTACTTAAAATACAAAAAAATTAGCTGGGTGTGGTGGTGCATGCATGTAATCCCAGCTACCCCGGAGGCTGAGGCACAAGACTCACTTGAACCTGGGAAGTGGGGGTTGCAGTGAGCTGAGATTGTACCACTACACTCCAGCCTGGGCAACAGAGCAAGACTCTGTCTCAAAAAAAAAATAAAATAAAATAAATAAATGCTCCTGGGTCATAACTCTCCTATGACCTGGTCCTAGCCCACCTCTCCAGCCTTTCTGCTGGTGCTCTTGGCCACTCTGAACTCTGGGTTCTTCAAAATGACCCCCACACCTTGCCCTGGGTCATGGCACGTGCTGTTCTGTCAGCGGGAGGAACAGTCCTCCCTGCCCGGGCTCCCCTCACTGGCCGGCTCCTCCTCCTCTTCCTGGTCTCGCTTGGCATCACCTCCTCCAGGAAGCCTCCCCTATCCCCTACTGAGGTAGGTGCCCACTTGTCCAAGCCAGCTTTTGCACGAACCTATTATGGCCCCGAAAACACGGATGGGGAAGTGCCTGTCCTCTGTCTCTTCCATTAAACTCCAGGTTTCATGCAGGCAAGGGCTGTGCTGCTGTTCACTGAGGCTGCTTCTCAGTTAGTGTTTGGGAAGGAGCACGTGCTTGACATCGCCTCTCTTTCCTGATTCCTTTAACCCCTCAAAGGAACTCAAACAGAGAGTCCCTGGTGCTGGGGAACAGAGCGCATGGAGCCCACGCCTCTGCCCCTGGGTTTCCTGGGTGGTTCTGAACGATGATCTTCCCCTCCCAGTCCTGGGGCCTGTGGCTACCCTGTCCACTCCTACCACCCTCCTGTGACCACAGTGCAGCCCGCTCCCCAGAGATGGAGTGGGCAACAAGGCTCCGGCTTGGGCCTTCCTCTACGGAAACTCTGAAGTCACTCCACCTCCTGGTGGAGTCAGGGTGAGGAGTACCAGAGGCCTTCTGGGGGAAACTTGGGGCCCTGGGGCCGGCGGAGCATTCCCCAGGCCTCCCCTTCTTCCCACCCCCCTCCTGGGAGCCTCACCAGCCACTTCACTGCCTTCCCTGGCCTCCCTCTCCCCTGACTGCTGGGCCCTGGCAGAGGGCGTGGGACCGTGCATCCTGGTATGTGTATCCAGCTGCTGCTCGCCACAGCTGGCTGCATCGGCCTCACCGAGCCAGGGAGGGCACGCTCTGCCCCCCACCATCCCACCTCCCTCATTCCTCCACCCCCAACCCCACTCCCCGACCCCGACCCCCCTGCTCCATTGAATGCCCAAGATTGGAAGAGGGTCAACAGAATGTGGGGCCATTCATGGGTGGGGGCAGGACGTAGGTGTTCAGTGCCAGCCCCCGACTTACATGGTCCCTTCCTTGTTGGACACCCTGAGCCCCAGCTCTCCTGGCTGCTCCCCTCAGGACGGTGAGAGGCAGCAGCGTTCTCCCTTCTGGGGCCTCGGTTTTCTCTTCCGTTCAATGGAAGATAGGCTGCTTTGGGAAGGCCCTCACCTTGCAGGGAAGAGCCTAGAAAGTACAGCGAGGATATATGCACTTCACTGAGCAGCTCAGGGCATTGTGGGAGAGGCTCCAGGTGGGGGAGGCGGGATTAAAGCCCTGCTTGGGGGAGATTATGCCTGAATTGGGAAGGGGAGCAGTGAGAGGCAGGGCAGGCTTCGATTTGTGGGTAGAGTACAGAGGAGGGAGGCTCAGAGCACCTGGCCCAGGGCTGCAGGGATAGCATGGGATTGCCTGTGGCTGCAGACGGTACCATTCTAGATGAAGCGGCAGGGCGGGCCTCCGAGGGTCGGCTGGGGGAGCTTCCCAGCAACCTACCCACCCTAGCAGGCCGGGACCCCCGCACAGGACACCCATCCTGCCAACAAGCCAAGAAGCATTTGCGGAATGCTACCATGTGCCAGGGAAGAGACAAGTCCCCACACTTGGCCGTCAGAGAGTCCAGCACAGCAACAGGAACTGCCGCTGGGCAGCAGTCATGAAGTGGCCCAGGGAGAGGGCACGCCTGCGGTGCCAGGCCCCGTTTCCACGCCCGTTTCCTGCACTCATGGCATTAGCTCCTTTCTAACTCTCATGACACCTCTCTGAGGTATGTGCTATTGTCTTCATCCCCATTTTATGGATAATGAAAGTGAGACACGGAGAGGTGAAGTTATTTGCCCAAGGGCACACAGTTGAATCCCCAGGAGAAAAGCCTGAATCCAAACTTGGCCAGCTGGCTTCAGGGTGTTCTTCTCAGGCCTATGCCACTGACCTCCTCCCCAGGAGACAGGGAAGCTGTCTCCACATTTTGCGGATGAGGGAAGCAAAGCTCGGAGTGGAAGTGGTATAAGTGCCTCCTGTTACCTGTGGCACGCTCTAGCATTCATGACCTAGAGGTCAGGGTGCAAGGTTTCTTTAGGAGTGGTGAGTTTCCTTTGGACAAAGGTGCCTGAGCCAGCTGAGTCAAGGTTGCCGGAAACATGCCGCACATTTTTGTGCGTGAGTGTGTGTAAATGTATGAATGCTCGTGTGCACTGTATCTTATAGGCCTCAGCCAGCTCCCAAAAGCCTCATGGGGATGCCTCCGCCCTGCCCCAGGCATGCTATTCTCGGGACAGACACAAGCCCATCTGTCCCAAGACCCCTGTGCCCAGCTCCTGCAGCCTGGCCTAACGCTCCCCACCCACCCCCACGCCCCAGCCTCTGCTAGTGCCATCTGGCGGGTGGCAAGATGCCCACCCCCGGGGAGTGGGTGCCAGGGGCCAAGAGGGGAGCAGCTGGGAGGTTGAGCTGACCCCACAAGCAGCAGCACAGCCCCAGGCTCTGTCTGGAGAGCTGTAGCAGGGTCACTGCACCTCCTAACCCACGAGAGACACACTGCGAGGGTCTTTCGCTGGCCTCAAGACACAAGGAACCAGCTCGAACTGTTTACCATTGGGAATTCCCATCTCTGGGGACTCACCCCTCCCCCATAACTCACTCCAGAGAAGGAACGCGGGGTGCAAAGTCTTCCCGAGCACCCCCACCCAGAGCACTTAGCTCCCGCCGCTGCCACTGTCTGTTTCGCAACAACGGTTCATGCTTTTGCAGCTCTTATTTCGTGGCAGGCTCTGTTCTCAGTCCCTTTCTGTTGATTGACACCTTTAATCTTCACGCAACTCTGTGAGATAGATGTAATCACTACCCCCATTTCACAGATGGGAAAACGGAGCTACGAAGTGCTTAAGTAACATGCCCAAGGCACACAGCTGCTAAGTGGCCGAGCTGGGATTAGAACCCAAGCAGTCCAAGTCCTTCACATTGATTTTGCGCCTCCCATGGACCAAGCACTGTTCTGAGTGTTTTACATGAAGTAGCTCATTTAATCCTCACAACAGTGTTGCTATTGTTTCCATTTTACAGGTGAGGAAACTGGGGCACAGAGAGGTTGCATGACTTGCCTAAGGTGACACCAGTAAGAGGAGGAAATAAGTAGTGGGATTTGAACCCAGGCAGTCTGGCTGTTCACAGGATCCCAAGGTTCATGGGTGAAAGGTTCACTCAGTAAAATGCTGTAAGAATAGATGGAGATGGGCTCATTCGGCCTCCGCTCTTGTCTCTCCTCTCTGCATTATCCCATTCTCGGTAGCCACAGCCAGGGAGACAAGGCGGAGGGAGGAGAGAGCATCTGTGAGCTGGGCAGGCGGGCAGGCAGGCAGGCGCGGGCAGAGGCTGCACATGCTCACAACGTCTCTGCTGTGGCCAATTAAACAAATTGCAGCAAAACAGCATTTTATTAGTATTTGCCCATAGCAGTCTGGAGCTGCAATAAATTTCCTCCAGGCTGCGGCACTGGAGAGGCAGGCGGAGGGGTGTGTGTGAATGGGGGAAGAGATCGGTGCCATTGGAGGGGCATGGGGAGCAGGGTGTGGGAGGGAGACTTGGCATGTTAAGCAGTGGATGGTGGAAGAGAAACATCAGGAACGGCCCTGGGGGCTGTTGGGTATCAGAGTGGCTGTCTTCCCAAACAACCGCTCCGCTTCATCATAAGCACAGTGAGTTATGAGGCGGTGTTGTGCGCTGCACACGAGCAGCGGGGACCATGAAGCTGCCTGTCCTGGTTAGGCGGGGGGTGGGCAGGTGGGTGTGGGCAGGGAAGCCCAGTGCCTGGCTGAGGGTCCCCCCAAAACTCCATGGCAGCTGCCCTGGGTTCAGCCCTCATGATGGGATACCTGGGTCGCTGAAGTGGCCGCCTAATTGGTCTCTCCTCCTCCAATCTTGATTCATTCATTCACTCAAGAGGTATTTATTAAATGCCTGCTGTTTGCCAGGTCCTGGAGTAAACTGTCTGTAAACTATATCATTCTTCTATTTAAAAAACGTTTCCCTGCTGCTTTCAGTATCAACCCCAAGCTTCTGAGCCCGGTGTTCAAGGCCCTTCCTACGCAGGCTTCCTCCTCCCTTTCTAGCTTGTTCTGTGGCCACTCCCCTCCACCTCTCTGATAATAATAATAATGATAGCAGCTAACATTGATCAAATGCTCACTATGTGCCAGGCACTGCTCTACGTGCTTTATCATGTACAGTCGTGTGTTGATTAACGATGGGGATATGTTCTGAGAAATGCATTGTTAGGCGATTTCATCACTCTGTGAGCATCAGAGAGTGTGTTTACACAAACCTACCTGGTAGAGCCTATGACACACCTTGGCCGTATGGCATAGCCTATGCTCCTAGGCTACAAATCAGTACAGCACATTACTGTACTGAATACTGTAGGCAGTTGTAATACAATAGTAAGTATTTGCATATCTAAAGATAGCTACACAGGCTGGGCACAGTGGCTCATGCCTGTAATCCCAGCACTTTGGGAGGCTGAGGTGGGTGGATCATGAAGTCAGGAGATCGAGACCATCCTGGCCAACATGGTGAAACCCTGTCTCTACTAAAAATACAAAAATTAGCCAGGCATGGTGGTACATGCCTGTAGTCCCAGCTACTCGGGAGGCTGAAGCAGGAGAATCGCTTGAATTTGGGAGGTGGATGTTGGAGTGAGTGGAGATTGTACCACTGCACTCCAGCCTGGGTGACAGAGTGAGACTTCATCTCAAAAATAAAATAAATAAATAAATAAATAAAAATTTAAAAAAAGAAAAAGAAAGAAAGAGGGAGAGAAAGGGAGAAAGAGAGAAAGAAAGGGAGGAACTGGAATGCTGGATGCAAACCAGGCATTCTGACTCCGCTCCCGCACAGCAGCCCACTGTTTCTTACACCCAGCCTTCCTCACCCCTGTGTGCTGTGCTCATGCTTTGCTTCTGCTGAAAACGCCCTCCAACCACTTCTCTGTCTGGCAAACTCCTACTCAACCATCAAGACCCCTCTCAATACCCCCTCTTCTCTCTGGTTCCAGGTAAAGAGAGCTGTTTGCATCTCTGTGCCTGCATAGCACCTGGAGATGTCACCCCTATGGCACTAATTGCACCCCCTTGAGGAGTTCTTGTGCCCTGCTGAGCTCCCTCAGAGCAGAACCTTCTTTGCATCCTTGGTGCCTCGCCCTGGCATTGGACCAGGATGGGCTGCCTGGCGGAGGTTAGGGGCAGTAGGCATTGAGGCTTAGCTGTAGAGTGAACCTTCACCTCCTCTCCATTCTGGAAGTCCTTGGGCCTAGGCCCTCCCTCCCTTCAGACCTCAAACTAAGGATCCTGATGGGAGATGAGGCTGGAGGAAGATAGGAAAAGGCAGGACTCTGGAGGGTGGCCTGGGGAGGAAGTGGCATTAACCCCTCAACCCCCCAGGGCCTTCCCAAGGGCATGGCGGGGTCACCTGATCCTGGGACCTATCTTCTGGCTTTGGGCCCAGCCAGTCAGGCTGTTCCAGTTGAGAGCTCTCAGCCACAAACGTTTTTTGGTTTTGTTTTGTTTTAACTTAAACTATATTCCCTCCTCTCCCTACCCACCTCCAGGCCCGCCATGGGTAACTTAAATCAAACCAGTCCCCACCAATTGCTTAGGGGTATGGGGGGACTAGTCTGATCTAAGTTTGATCTAAGATGATGGCATTTACAGGTGCTGTGCAGGCACAGAGAGAGAAACAGCTTCCTTTACCTGGAGTAGGATGCTGAGGGATCCCCTGGCCAGCCCTCCTCCCATTGCTAGGGAGGTTTCCATATGTAGGAGACCAGCAAAGGGCATGGGAGGCAGGACACCCCCTACACTCACTGTGGACTGCCAGGGCATCTAGGACTCAGGCCACATTGTTCTCCCAACCTCCTGGAAACAGGCAGCCACTCAGCTCCCTCCTCCTCTTCTCACCTCCCTCCCTTCCCCTCCCCGCCTCCCCCAACTCCAGTCCTTTTCCTCCAGGAAAACATCCTTCTTTTCCCCCAGTTTTAGTGAGATGCGTTGGCAATTAAAAATTGCATATATTTGGCTGGGCACAATGGCTTACACCTGTAATCCCAGCACTTTGGGAGGCTGAGGAAGGCAGATCACTTGAGGTCAGGAGTTTGAGACCAGCCTGGCCATCATGGTGAAACCCGTTTCTACTAAAAATACAAAAATTAGCCAGGTGCGGTGGCGCGTACCTATAGTCCCAGCTACTTGGGAGGTTGAGGCAGGAGATTTGCCTGAACCCGGGAGGCGGAGGTTGCGGTAAGCCAAGATCGCACCACTGCACTCCAGCCTGGACAACAGAGTGAGACTGTCTCAAAAAAAAAAAAAAAAAAAAGCATATATTTGAGGTGTCTAATTTGATGATTTGATAGATGTATACATTGTGAAATATTCACCATAATCAAGCTAACACATCCATCACCTCACAGGTACCATTTTCTTCTCTTTCTTTTATTTTGGTGGTAAGAACACATAAGACCTATCCTCTTAGCAAATTTCAAGTATACAATACAATATTGTTCACTGGAGTCACATTGCTGTACCTTAGATCTTCAGAACTTATTCATCTGATGTAACTGAAACCTTATACCCCAAGACCGACATCTCCCATTTCCCCCTTCCTCTAGTCTCTGGTAACCACAATTCCACCTACCTCCGTTTCCATGAGTTTGACTATTGCAGATTTCACATGTAAGAGAGGTCGTGCAGTATTTGTCTTTCTGTGTCTGGCATAACCTCCTCCAGGTTTACTCATGTTGCTGCAAAGGGAGGATTTTCTTCTTTTCAAAGGCCAATTAATATTATCTATATCTGTATCTATATCTCACATTTCTTTATCCATTCATCCATCGACAGACAAAATGTTCTTACTTTTTCTTTGGGTGCCTTCCTTGCTCATGTCTGAGCCCAGAGGCTGACACACAGAAGGAATTCAGTGAGTATTAGCTGACTGCATGAATGAATGAAAAAAATTCCATTCAAAGGAGACATTGCTTTCCACCCCATAGCAGAGAAGCAGAGCCTTAGAGTTCCCATCTTCATCTTGTCATTAAAAGGATCATTATTTTGCTGATATCTAGCCATTCTGCCCCAAATCTTAATTTCTGAACCCCTAATGTTATGTAAATCTTCCTGGCCTCACAAGAACCGGGCAACCAACTACCTCCTCTTGCTCTCAGCAAAACTGTACTAACATCCCAGGAAATACACCCTCACCTGGTCAACCAAGCAACATTTATTGAGCACCCACTGTATACAGGGCTTGTTGCTACGAGGGCCACAGACAAGGAGGTCCTATCACTGTCACTGCCCTGACTGCCTACGAGCCTGGAGGGGCTGAGTCACATGGGCTCCAGTAGGGGCAAGTCCACAGGGTTTCCTAAAGAAGGGCACAGACACAGAGGAAAGGAACACCAAGAGCAAGTCTCTCTCTTTCTTCCTTCCTTCCTTCCTTCCTTTTTTCTTTCTTTCTTTCTTTCTTTCTTTCTTTCTTTCTTTCTTTCTTTCTTTCTTTCTTTCTTTCTTTCTTTCTCTTTCTTTCTTTCTTTCCCTTTCTTCCTTTCTTTCTTTTTCTTTCTTTCTTCTTTCTTTCTTTCTTTCTTTCTTCCTTCTCTTTTGTCTCTCTCTCTCTCTTTCATTTTATTTTTATTTTACTTCAAGTTCTGGGATACATGTACAGGACATGCAGGTTTGTTATGTAGGTATACATGTGCCATGGTGGTTTGCTGCACCTATTGACCCATCCTCTAAGTTCTCTCCCCTCATCCCCCACCCCCTAACATACCCTGATGTGTGATGTTCCCCTCCCTGTGTCCATGTGTTCTGATTGTTCAACTCCCACTTATGAGTGAGAACACGTGGTGTTTGGTTTTCTGTTCCTGTGTTAGTTTGCTGAGGATGATGGATTCCAGCTTCATCCATGTCCCTGCAAAGGACATGATAATCTCATTCCTTTTTATGGCTGCATAGTATTCCATGGTGTATAGGTACCATATTTTCTTTATCCAGTCTGTCATTGATAGGGATTTGGGTTGGTTCCATGCCTTTGCTATTGTAAATAGTGCTGCAGTAAACACAGGTGTGCATGTGTCTTTATAATAGAAGGATTTATATTCCTTTGAGTATGTACCCAGGAATGGAATTGTTGAGTCAAATGGTATTTCTGGTTCTAGATCCTTGAGGAATCCACAAACTGTCTTCCACAATGGTTGAACTAATTTACAATCCCACCAACAGTGTAAAAGCATTCCTATTTCTCCACAGCCTCACCAGCATCTATTGTTTCTTGACTTTTTAATGATTGCCATTCTAACTGGTGAGAGATGGTATCTCATTATGGTTTTGATTTGCATTTCTCTAATGATCAGTGATGTTGAGCTTTTTTTCATATGTTTGTTGGCTGCGTAAATGTCTTTTTTTGAGAAGTGTCTGTTCATATCCTTTGCCCACTTTTTGATGGGATTTTTTTCTTGTAAATTTGTTTAAGTTCCTCGTAAATTCTGGATATTAGACCACATTTCTTTCTTCCTTTTCTTTTTCCTATATATTCCTGTATTTAAGTGTCTTCTAAGGAGCATATTCTGCTCTTATAAGTTTTCAAACAATATTGGATTGTTTTTACAGAGAAGGCATGGCACCCATACATGGGAGAAGGTGGGGTAGAAGCGTTCTCCTTCTCAGTCATCTTGGGAGGTGTGGGACCATTGATTCTCAGACAGCAAGGCAGGGAGGCCAGGTTCAAGGCCTTGGATTATTTGGGTGGGAGCAGAGGTGATAGACCAGGGCCATAGGGCCCAGAGAGCATGGCTAGGAGGTCACATCCCAGCCTGGCTCAGCCACCCAGGGTGTGGGGACCCAGCCGGGGCTGGTTGAAGCAAATGGGAATGAAAGCCCCATTCTCCAATAAATCAAGTCTAGGAGTCCAGCATTGCAGCTTCCACCATTGACAAATCAGGGGGTGGGGATGGGGCAGGGTGTCAACAGAGTCCTTGTCCACTCTGGTTCTATCTCTGCACCATGGCTAGGATGGCATTAGAACATAGTGAGACGACTGTGACTGGCTGTGAGTAGCGGGAAAAATGTAAATATATATCAGGTGTGGCCCGTTATGTTTACAAAGCAATTTCACATTCCTAAGACAACTTGTCACCACAGCCCAATGAGATGTTGTTAGACTCATTTTATAGATGAGAATCCCGAAGTTCAGAGAGGTCATTTGCCAGCGATCACGTGACTGGTGATGAGCTGAGTCTTAACCTAAGTCTTCTGATTACAAAGAGTGTCTTTTCCTATGGAGTTTTTGGGGGCAAGGAGGACAAAGAAACAGGTCAGCTCAGCTTCTAGGCCCCCAGACTGCTGCTGCGGGGGAGAGCAAGGAAAGAACAGGGTGTCATGAGTTCAGTGGTCCTACTGCAGAACACACTGCGTCCAGGCTGTCTTCCGGGACACACTGACTTTCAGTCTTGCACAGGAATGACATTCGGGGCCTACGAGATGCTCTCTTGGGCTTCCTGTGGGCCTTAAACTGTACAGGCTTGAGATGGGCCAAAGCTGGTAAGACTCTCCATGTTGAGGACATTTAAACTCAGAGAGACAAAGCAATTGGCCCAAGGTCACACAGCAAGTCAAGGTCTGGGCTGAGATTAGGAATCTGAGTATGTGACTCAGAGGCCCTTCCTTTCTGGGTCTTCTCTGAGTCACCATCCGTCTTCCTGCCTTCTTTCCCATCTCTCCCCGCAGGGGCTGGGGCTGGCAGTTTTGTTGCATGTTTTTTTTTTGTTTTTTCTTTAGAGATGGAGTCTCACTCTAGCCTGGAATGGAGTGCAGTGGTGCAATCTTAGCTTACTGCAGCCTTGACCTCCTGGGCTCAAGTGATCCTCCTGCTTTAGCCTCCTGAGTAGCAGGGACTACAGGCATGCACCACCACGTTGGCTAATTTTTTATGTTTCTTATAGAGACGGGGTCTCATTATATTGCCCAGGCTGGTCTCAAACTCCTGGCTTCAAGCAATCCTCCCGCCTGGGCCTCCCAGAGTGCTGGGATTACAGATGTGAGCCACGGTGCAAGGCCGGAAGCTGGCAGTTTCTGAGCATCAGACTCTGCTATTTTCCTTCCTCTCTAGATAACTGGGCCTTTGTAGAGCATTCCCAACCCTTTTCCAGAGAGAACCTCCAAGAGTCTAGCCTAGGCCCTAAGTGGCAAGACTGGCTAGAAGTTTGGGCCAGAGGTGGCAGGTTCCTCTAAAGACCTGGCTGGGTAAGTCCTCCCTCAGGGGCCCCTAATCTCACCTCCCTCCTTGTTGGAATAACCAGTGGTATCTGGACCCGTTACTGGATACCTCCCCCTGCTGGGGTGTGCATGCCCCCACAGGCACTGGGTGGGGGTGAATGACAGACAGTAGCAGGCCCCAGTGGCACACTGAAGATAACTGCTCTTGACAGATGAAGATGCAGCCCAGGCAAAAGCTACATCCTATTTGGCTTTTAATTTGGAGGCCCCGAGAGTGAATTCGGAAGCTCCCACTCTTGTCCTCACGTGCAAAGTGGATCTGACTTTCAGGAAATGACCTGAAGTGAAACCACATTACTCATCAGCACGTCTCTCAAATTCACAGCCTTCACGCTCCCGCCCCCATCCCTGGAGGGATCAGGATTTCCGCTCACTTGTTCCTGTCCCTTCACACACATACCTTTATCTTATCGAGGGGCAGCTGGTGTGGCCCAGGTCCCTGGTAACCTCAGGAGTGAGTGGGGTGGAGGGGACGGGGGAGAGCAGATCTGGGCTGCAAGCTTGGAATTGGGAACTTCACCTAATCCAGGAATCTGCAAATGATGGCCCATTGGCCTACTCCAGGTGGCCTGCCCCTGTTTGTATATGGCCACGAATGAAGGATGACTTTTTTAAAGGTTGAAAAAAATCAACAGGAGAAATGTTGTGACATGTGACACTTATATGAAATTCAGATTTCAGCATCCATAAATAAAGCATTTATGGAGCACAGCCACGCCTACTCATTTATGTTACGTCTTTGGCTGTTTTTGAACAACCACAGCAGAGTTGAGTAGTTGAGACAAAGAGTTTATGGCCCATCAATCCTAAAATATTTACTACCCTGGCTCTCTGTTTTTTTTGTTTTTTTTTTTTTTAATGGAGTCTCACTCTGTCGCCCAGGCTGGAGTGCAGTGGCACAATCTTGACTCACTGCAACCTCCACCTGCCAGGTTCAAGCGATTCTCCTATCTCAGTCCCCCGAGTAGCTGGGATTACAGGTGCATACCACCACACCTGGCTAGTTTTGGTATTTTCAGCAGAGACGGGGTTTCGCCATATTTGCCAGGCTGGTCTTGAACTCCTGACCTCAGGTGATTCAGCCGCCTTGCCTCCCAAAGTGTTGGGATTACAGGCGTGAGCCACTGTGCCCGGCCTACCCTGGCTCTTTGCAGAAAAAGTTTGCTGATCTCTGATCTAAACTCTCACCTCCCCATGTTGAAAGCATTTAAAAATCAGGTGGGTGGGCCGGGCACAGTGGCTCATGTCTATAATCTCAGCATTTTGGGAGGCCAAGACAGGAGGATCACTTGAGGTCAGGAGTTCGAGACCTGGCTGGCCAACATGGTGAAACCCCGTCTCTACTAAAAATACAAAAATTAGCTGGGCATGGTGATGCTCACCTGTAATCCCAGCTACTTGGGAGCCTCAGGCACGGGAAGAGAATCACTTGAACCTGGGAGGTGGAGGTTGCAGTGAGCCAAGATTGCACCATTGCACTCCAGCTTGGGTGACAGAGTGAGACTCCATCTCAAAAAAAAAAAAAAAAAAAAGTCAGTGGGTGGCTGAGTGCGGTGGCTCAGTCCTGTATTTCCAGATCTTTCGGAGGCTGAGCCTGGAGTTCCGAGGCTGCAGTGAGCTATGATTGCATCACCTCACTGCAGTCTGGGTGACACAGTGAGATCCTGTCTCTAAAAAGAAAAATTAAAAATAAAAAAATCAAAAGCACTGGGGCGGGAACAGGGGAGGAGTTGTCCTGAAACCCCATCTGCACCCCCACTAGGCAGGATGAGGGACCTCTGCTAACTCTCCTCCCATCCTCACATCTCAGAGGGTGAAATGAAATGCGATCATCACACATTCAATGTGCACACCAGGACCAGCTCTACGCAGCCTCTGCTGCAGGTAGAGGAGATGGGAAGATGACTTAAGACCTGCTCTCATTCCCAACCTCCCGCAGCCCACCGAGTGCAGGGTTAAGCCCAGGGGGCAATGGTGAGTGCCCCTGGCCCTAAGTTCGGGGCGTTCACAGTCTGGGGTGAGAGGTCTAGACAGAAAGGTAAGCAGAAAACTACCCTGTCCTGTGATAGGTGTGACCTGTGGAGATCTACCTCAGGAGCTGAGGCAACAGAGGGGGTGGGTCTCTAACAGCCTGAGGCATTAGGGAAAGCCTCCTGGGGCACTTGTAAGAGGGCTTTGAAGACTCTGCCCAGAGCCCCCAGAGATTCTGGCTGCATCTTCTGCGGTGGATCCTAGCTTGGGAAAGTGTGTAGAGTTTCCCAGGGGATCCCAACATTCAGCCAGGGCTAAGTGTCTAAAGAATTAGCAGGAATTGGCCAGGCTCGGTGGCTCACGCCTGTAATCACAGCACTTTGGGAGGCCGAGGCGGGCGGATCACCTGAGGTCAGGAGTCCGAGACCAGTCTGGCCAACATGGCAAGACCCTGTCTCTACTAAAAATACAAAAATTAGCTGGGCATGGTGACGCACACCTGTAATCCCAGCTACTTGGGAGGTTGAGGCAGGAGAATCGCTTGAACCTGCTGGAGGTAGAGGTTGCAGTGAGATCGCACCACTGCACTCCAGCCTGGGTGACAGAGCGAGACTCAAAACTAAATAAATAAATATAAAGAATGAGCAAGAATTGGCTGGGTGAAGTGGGCAGGAAGCAGTCCAGACAGAGGAGGGACAGCCAGCGGGAACGGCCAGGGGTCCCGGTATAGATGGCTGAGCTACCCGGTTGGTAGGTCACTTGGGCCCTCCCCACGGCATGCCCCCCACCCCCAGGTCCTTCTCTCCGCTGCTCCTCCCAGAGGAAGACCTCCCTCCACCCTGATAACCCCCTTATCTCTCCAGGAAAAGTGCTGATCCCATCAGATTCATTCACAAACTGAGCCAATTCCGGGGCTCAGGAAAAAGAATGTCCCTTGGTGTTAAGATAAGGAAGGAAATGGTAATCTACACATCATTAGGTCAAATGCCCTCCCACCTCCCTCCCCACACCCAAATCGTGCTGTGATTTAATCCCAGGGCAAGGAGCTCCCCAGGCACAGGTAAGCGGAAGCCTTGAGCCTCCATTTCCCCTAACCCCTCAGGAATGAGGCCTGAGAGGTGGCAGTGGGGCTAGTCCAGGCCTCATCTTCCTGCCTGGCCCTGCTCTTGGTCCTCCAGGCGCTGTCAGAACTCTCCGGACTCACACGCCCTATCTTTGATCGCTCAGGTAATGGCCTGGCCTGCTCTCTGTGGAGACAGGGAATAGAGTTAGCACCCACGCTCTGGGAGCCCTGACAGCCCGTTTAACAAGGTGTCCAACATCCCATTTCCTCTGCACTTCCTCTCGCTTTAATCCTTTTATGTGAAACCCACTCAGGAGCAAGCCCTGTGAAATTGATGCCTCTCTGTACACATGGCCTGGCTCGCTCCCTGTTTCTCACGGAGCACAGACCCCTCCCATTCCAGACACTAGGAATAGCCGGGCCTGGCGTGGGGGGAGCCTGGTGCCCCAGAGGGTCACCCCCAAGCTCTGGAGGGTGGGGTGCTGATGAGGCACCTCAGAAATGGCTTAGAGTTGCTGGCCCCGGGTTGGGGCTTCTTGGAGCTGCAGCTCAGGACTGACACCCAGGCCACCAATGGACTCCCCTCCTCCCTAGTTCACTGCCCCTCCTGGACTAGAAAGAAAGAAGGAAGCTCCTGGTGGCTCCAAGGAAACCTGTGACCCCATGCCTGCCCCCCAGACCTATCCCCTCCAAGAAAAACAAATCATTAACTTTTCAGCTTGAACACCCAGGGGCGGGAAATGAGAGTCCTCCAGGCCATCCCAGCCAGGGCAGGAGATGAGATAAGGCCCAGGCTATCTCCGTTGATGGTGGGGAACATAAAATGCTAATGAGAAAGGAGAGGGACTGGAAAAGGAGGGTGGCCCAGCCCCCCACTTTTTCTGGCTTGGCTTCCTTCTGACCTTCTAGCCAGCCCCCTCCTCGCCATCAGTTCCATCTGCCCTTCCCTCACTTGCCTCATGAGAGTGGGATGCCTCAGTTTCCCCTGGGGAAAATGAGGCCCAGACTCCTCTCTGGCTAACATGGGAGAGAGCCTGACACCCTGTAAGCACCAGCCTCTCTCCCTTGGCTCCTCGAACCTGGCTCTGCTGTGGACATGTGACAGGTGAGGGCCATACCTGGGCAGTTGGCCGTGATGAGCAAAGGTACTTTGGCTTGGAGAGGGGGGCTGTGGCAGGGGCAAGGGACCAGATGGCCTGCAGCTCTCCCCACCCCTTTTCCTCCCTGGGGCCCAGGGCCTCACAGCCCAGCCCAGATCACAGACTGGTGGCTCTGCCAGTCTTGCCCCTGCCCTCTCCCCTCTCTGTCCCCACGGCCACCTGGAGACACGGAGCAGGGCCTGGCCTGTTGTCAGCGAGCAGTGAGGCAGAAGAGGGCAAGGGATTTCCAGGAGCAGAAAAACCACACAGACAAATGCGGTGCCGAAAAAGGGACCGTGAGATGGGAAGGGAGATAGAGAGACCAGGAGAAGGAGGGGATGCGAGAGAGAAACAGAGAGAGAGGAAGATGGAGCAGCCTCTAAGGAATGCTGATCTTTAAAGCTGACTGATAAAAAGCTTGTTCCAAAGACAAATTCTTTCAAACCAACAGCTCCAAAGAGACTTTCCGTCATTCTCCCTATCACGGCCTGGCCCCTTCTTGCCAGGAAGAAGATGAAAGAACATCTTCATCTGCCCTCCGCCTCCAGAGTCCTAACCACCTTCCTCCTCTCAGCACTGCTATAGCCAAGCTCTGAACCTCCCTCCCTGGGAGGCCCTCCCCCATCCCCCACTATTCTGCACCCCTGCCCTGCTGTCCCAACACCCATTTCCCACTCCCCCCACCCTAACTTCCTGTTTCTCTGGGTCAAGGGGTCCTCTGGTCCCTGATTCTCTTTCCTTCTCCCCACTCTTGTTTTCCCTTCTGCACTGTCATTGCTTCTGACATCACCACTGCTCCCCACCATGGCTCCTGAGTGATGGCTCTAGGCTTTCTGCCTTGGATTTCTGAAGCAATCCTATCAGCCCAAGCTTCTTGCTGGGGAAATCGAGGCCAGGAGGGCACCTTCATCTCATCTCCTCCTCCATCCTTACTATCCCAGCCCCTCAGAGGCTCTGGGCACCGGGCCTGGTCCCTGCCTGGCCGTGAGCACCTAAGCTGGGTCTCCTTTCAGGGATAAGGGGTGGGCATTCTCTCCTCACTCTCTCCCACTTCCCAGCTACAGCTGAGTCCAGACACCTCCCCACCACACTGCTCCAGCCTCTCCCTGCTCCCCACAATTAGCTCTACCCGTGCCCACATTTGAACACATCCTAGATGAATCCCATCCCGAATTGCTTAACAATAGCATCCTGGCCCAAGATCCAGGAAAGAATTCTGTCTCTTGGTGTTCCCATTCAGGGTCTCTCCCCTGTCAAAATATCCACTCTGTTCAACATCTCTCCCTCTTCCTCTGGAACAATCCCTACTTATTCTTCAAGACCCTACTGACCTGCCACCTCCTCTAGGAAGTCCTCCTGACTCTCCCAGCTGCTCCTTCTGAGCTCCATTTGCACAAAATAGCAGCATGTGCATTGACCCCTGATAAGACTGAATTCCTTGAAAGCATCAACTTCATCATTTTATTTAATAAACACGTATTGAGCACCTAGTTTGTGCTAGGTGTTGGTTTGGTTATACAGAGATTCATTCATTCAACAAGCATGTATTGAGCACCTAATATCTGCCAGGCTGGGGATATAAAGGTGACCAAAACAGACACAATTCCTCTTCTCCTGGGGCTTGGACTTTAGTAGGAGATACAGACGTACCAGTTACCATGTAGGATGGTAAGCGGTGTGATGGGAGGAAGTAATGGGCACTCCAGACCCTCAGGGAGGGCACCTGACACAGCTCGGAGGGTCGGAGAAGCTTCCTGGAATGGGGCTGAATGGGATCTATTCAGGTGAAGCAGAGGGGAGAGGAGGTCCTGGGCTTAGGGCATGGAAAGTATGAGAGAGCATGGCTTAGATGGAGGCCACCAGGAGGTGGGTAAGTCCTGCCTTTGGCAGGAGTGGCAGATGGGTAGAGGTGAGGAACCATATCTGAATCATCATCTTCCTCCAGCCCACGGTAGGAGCTGGGTTAATGTCTTTCTTTTTTCTTTCTTTCTTTCTTTCTTCTTTCTTTCTTTCTTTTTTTTTTCTTTCTTTCTTTCTTTCTCTCTTTCTTTCTTTCTTTCTTCTTTCTTTCTTTTCTTTCTTTCTTTTTTAGAGATAGAGTCTCGCTCTGTCATCCAGGCTGAGTGCAGTGGCATGATCACAGCTCACGGCAGTCTTGAACTCCTGGGCTCAAGCAATCCTCCCACCTCAGCCTCCAAATAACTGAGATTATAGGTGTGTGCCACTGCACCAGGCTCAGGTAAATTTCTTGCCATTGAATGAAGGGAGTCCAGCTTATATACACTAATCAAGTGTCTGCCATGTGCGGGGCACCAGAGCTTGGGATAGAAGACAAGATTTACAAGGATAACAATAAAGAACAAAAGCCAACATGAATAAAGCTCCTCACAGGTTGTGGGTCAAGCACTGTGCCAGGGTTTCCTAGGTGTCACTTCACTTATTCCTCATGGCCACCCTGTGTGGGATGATTTCTATGATCCCTTGGCCTGGTGGGCTCAGAGAGGTGAAGGGAACTTCCCAAAGCCACACTGGAGCCAATTTTTTTTTGAGACAGAGTTTCACTCTTGTGGCCCAGGTTGGAGTGCAATGGCGCCCTCTCGACTCACTGCAACCCCCACCTCCTGGGTTCAAGCGATTCTCCTGTCTCAGCCTCCTGAGTAGCTGGGATTATAGGCGCCCACCACCAGGCTCGGCTAATATTTAAAATATTTTTAGTAGAGATGGGGTTTCACCATGTTGGCCAGGCTAGTTTGGAACTCCTGACATCAAGTGATCCACCCGCCTCTGCCTCCCACTCCCAAAGTGCTAGGATTACAGGCGTGAGCCACCGTGCCCAGCCTGGAGCCAATATTGGAACACCGGCTCAATCACAGTCCAGTAGCCTCTCCCCAGACACAGCAGGGACTGGCCTTGCCTCCTGCAGAGACCCTGGCCCCCCAGCCCTCTGAACTGCTGCCTTCCGTCCCCTGGGAACTGCAGCCTTCCCGGGAAACCCAGCACATCTCCCTCCCTCCTCTTTCTTTCCTCTGCCCCCACAGCCTGAATACTTCAGTTCCTCCCTGGCCTGTCCCCTCCCCTCAAAGAAAGAAAAAATGGAGAGAAAATGGATCTTTAAAGATACATGTATCCATCACTATTATTTACATTCTAATGTGCGTCTGTGGCTCGGCTCCAATGGGGGAAATGTAAATCAGGTGGACACCGCTCCCGAAAGCCCTAAAGAGCTTGGCTCCCCCAAATTAGAATAGAAAATGCTCTTTTAAAATGCACCTTTAATATGTAAAAGCCCGCCGACCTGGGCTCTAAATAAACCAAACTTGAACCAGATGCCAAATAGAGTAGATGAAGGACAGGTGCACAGAGGGTCCCAGGCTGGGGAATGAGGCCTAAACAGCTATTTATATTAATGCAAAGAAAGTTCAACATTCTTTCCCTTGATATATGCTGCAGTGGGAGGTGGTTTTTGTCCCACCAGCAAGAATAAAACGCACAGCTCATGATGGGCAGGGTCACGTGTGCAAGATAAAAAGCTCTGGGTATAATATATGTCTCCAGCGTGCATTCTCTGCAGGCTTTGCGTTAGATCTGTGGATGACAACAAGAAAACACTTACTCAAGGTTAGACTCCATTCGCCAGGCTTCCAATCACAGCTGTCTGTCCTGAGGGAATGCAGCTGCCTCCAGGCTGGGCTCCTGGGGCACCCACTTGCCTTGGTGTTGAGACTGCGAGTGGGTCCTGGTTGGGGCTGGAAGGGGGCTGTTGGCCAGGGCCAGGGAATGCCTGCATGTGCCAGCAAGAGGGGGAATGTGTGTCCTTTTCACTGGGGACACCCTGACCATCCAGACTCCCTGAAGACAGGCTCACAGCTGCCTAGGCAGTTTACAAAGCAGGCTTATGTGAATGAGGGAAGAGGTAATCTTTAGTTTTTTTCTGGATGTGTTACATGAATTCCTGGTCTCTTCTTTGCAGATAAGTCAGAATTCATTTATTCATTTAGTAATTTCATGAAGGCAACATTCAGTCATTCAACAGAGTATTACTAAGACCTTCTGCAGGACCATAGGGAGGCAATCGAGTATAGAGGTTCTGGAGGATCTAGAATAGGACAGTAATAGTGATTGTTCGAAGAGATCAGCTCTGAATGGTGCTTCGCCCAGTGCAGGGCAGTGGTAGGCAGTCAATAAATATTGGCCTTCTCATCATCGTTGTTGTTAGACAATGTGTTGGGGTGAGGAGAGAGATGGAAAGACGACAGAGATGCTGCTAAAATGGTTACTCTCTACATCTACATCTGGATAGATAGATAATGCATCTTTTTTTTTTTTTTTTTTTTTTTGAGATGAAGTCTGGCTCTGTTGCCTAGGATGGAGTGCAGTGGCATAATCTCAGCTCACTGCAACCTCCACCTCCCGGGTTCAAGCAATTCTCCTGCCTCAGCCTCCTAAGTAGCTGGGATTATAGGCGTGCGCCACCACACCCGGCTAATTTTTGTATTATTAGTAGAGATGGGGTTTCACCATGTTGGCCAGGCTGGTCTCGAACTCCTGACCTCAGGTGATCCGCCCGCCTTGGCCTCTCAAAGTGCTGGGATTACAGGTATGAGCCCCATTGCCCAGCCAGATAATGTATCTTATAACATCATGATATAGGCCTTAAATATACACAATACCATTTTAAAACATTTTAAAATCAGTATCTCCTCAGGAGGAGACGTGAGAGGAACAGCGTTTTAGACAAAGGGAACAGCGATGGCTTGTGACAGAGCTGATGTGATAAGGGAATGAAGAGAAGCTCAGTGTCTCTGGGGCCTGAGATGCGAAAGAGGGTTGGGAGAAGAGGAAAATGTGGTTGGAGAGAGGTAGACAGAGAGCGTAAGCTCACTGAGGGCCTTGTAGGCCAACCTAAGAAGTTATATTGCATTTAAGAAGAAGTTAAGTTACATTTATTCTGGTGAGTAGGGGAAGCTTACACATTGAAGAACTGTTTTCCCTGATTGGGGTAGTGTAGGCATCTGACCTAAAGGCAGCTAACCCTCACACTGGCTCAGTGAATGGTCAAGGAGAAAATAAACAAACAAACAAGTTCACAGGATAAGCCTGGGCAAAAAGATAAGCTGGACCAATCAGAGGCTCTTTCTTGGTGGATTAGTCAGGACAGGACAGGTTATGCTGTGGTGACAAACATCATCAAAATTTCAGTGGCTTAACACAACAAAGGTCTACTTTTTGCTTAAAAAAAAATCTTCTGTGAGTCTGGGCAGCTTTCTAGGGAAGCTGCCACCATGTGATGACAGAGATTCCAGGCCACCTCCACCAAGATATCTTCCTATCAACATGTGCTTCCATGGTAGCCGAGAGAAGACATGGAGAATTGTACCTTGGCTCTTCAATACTTCCACCGGAATGACACATACCACTTCTGCTCACAGTTCATTGGTTCACACAAAACACAAAGGCCATGACTAACCTCAGTGGGGTGGAGAAGACAATCTTGTTGCGTGCGCAGAAGGCAAGTAGAACTCAAAATAGCATCCAGTGCTTGCAATGCCTATCACCATTGGGAAGTACAGAAAGAGCTGGTTTTCACTGGGAGAAGCTGAGAAGAGACTGAGAAGAAGAGTTTCCATAGACACCTACTCAGGAGGCTGAGGCAGGAGGATGGCTTGAACCCAGGAGTTCAAGGCTACAGTGAGCTGTGATTGCACCACTACACACTTTTGTAATGTTCCTCCTGGCTCTAAAACTTGGAGACTCTCAGATTTCACAGAAGTCTTGTGACCTCCAGGAGTGGGGTGGAACACTGGTGGTATCAAGGAAGGGGACAGGGGCCCAGACAGAAGTTGGTCCTTCTCTAACCAAAATTTCAATACACCTTGGAAAACAGTTTGATTGGCCAATGGGGCTGGTAGTGGGAGACACGGGTGCTATTCCAGGCTCAGGTCAACATCTTCCAGTAGATCTTGATTCATGTTAGAAACCTCTGGATGGGGCCAGGCGCGGTGGCTCACGCCTGTAATCCCAGCACTTTGGGAGGCCGAGGTGGGCGGATTACCTGAGGTCAGGATTTCGAGACCAGCCTGGCCAACATGGTGAAACCCCATCCCTATTAAAAAAAAATACAAAAATTAGCTTGGCGTGCGGCACATGCTTTTAATCCTAGCTACTCAGGAGGCTGAGGTAGGAGAATCGCTTGAACCTGGGAGGCAAAGGTTGCAGTGAGCCGAGATCGTGCCACTGCACTCCAGCCTGGCCAACAGAGCGAGACTCTGTCTCAAAAAAAGAAAAGAAAAGAAACCTCTGGATGGTAGAAAAGGGAGATGTGGGTGGAAGAGGCAAGGGCGGGGCTGGGTTTAGAAGGCCTGAGCCCAAAGACTTAATTCCCCTGAGGCCTGAAGCCAGTGGCAACAGGCTTGGAAGGGCCACAAATAGCAGTCAGGGCCAGGATTCTCCCACTCCCATGGGTGCCAGGGCCCTGGCAGACGAGTGCAAGGCAGACATAGATCCTTTCTAGGGCATTTGGCCAGCAAGGCAAATACCACAGTCCTCTGCTTGGCCCGCAGAGGAGGAAGGGTGGTGGGAGCAGGGGTCATCACCCCGACCCCTCATCCCCTCAGACACCTCCAGATTGCTTCAGGGTTTGGCTCCCTAGGGATATAACTGATGCCACAAATCACAGGGTGGCAGGTCAGGGTGGCGGGTCAGGCTAGTTCTTTACAATGTGGATGGGAATCCAGGAGCCAGGAGCGGGGTCTGGTGGGAGGGTGAGGGAGGGGGAGCAGCCCCTGTGCCCGGCTCACTCCTGAGGGGTCACAGCGAGGGCAGGGAGGAGCCTTGTGCTGGGGGTGCGGGAAGCAGGGAAAGAAGAGGGGATGGAGGAGGAAGAGAGAAAAGAAAACAGTGAAGGAGGGCCAGGTGTGGTGGCTCATGCCTGTCATCCCAGTGCTTTGGGAGGCCAAGGCGGGTGGATCGTCTGAGGCCAGGAGTTCAAGTAACACAGCTGGGCAACACAGTGAGACCTTGTCTCTACCAAATAATTTTTATTTTTTGTTTATTTACTTATTTTTTTGAGACAGAGTCTTGCTCTGTTGCCCAGGCTGGAATATAGTGATGTGATCTCGGCTCACTGCAACCTCCATCTCTTTGTTTCAAGCAATTCTCATGCCTCAGCCTCTCAATGAGCTGGGACTACAGGCACCTGCCGTCATGCCTGGCTAATTTTTGTAGTTTGTTTGTTTGTTTATTTGTTTATTTATTTATTTATTTTTGAGACAGAGTCGCGCTCTGTCGCCTAGGCTGGAGTGCAATGGCACGATCTCGGCTCACTGCAACCTCCACTTCCCAGGTTCAAGTGATTCTCCTGCCTCAGCCTCCTGAATTGCTGGGATTACAGGTGCCTGCCACCACGCCTGGCTAATTTTTTGTATTTTTAGTAGGGACGGGGTTTCACTATGTTGGGCAGGCTGGTCTCGAACGTCTGACCTCGTGATCTGCCCGCCTCGGCCTCCCAAAGTGCTGGGATTACAGGCCTGAGCCACTGCGCCTGGCCTAATTTTGTAGTTTTAGTAGAGACAGGGTTTCACCATGTTGGCCAGGCTGGTCTCCAACTCCTGGCCTCAAGTGATCTGCCCACCTCAACCTCCCAAAGTGCTGTGATTACAGGCGTGAGCCACCGTGCCTGGCCTACAAGATAATTTTTAAAAATTGGCCAGGCGTGGTGGGGCACACCTATGGTCCCAGCTACTCAGGAGGCTGAGGCACGAGGATAGCTTGAACCCAGGAGTTTGAGGCTCCAGTGAGCTGTGATTGCACCACTGCACTCCAGCCTGGGCAACAGAGTGAGACCCTGTCTCAAACAAAGAAAAGAAAACAGTGGAGGAGAAGGAAAAAGAGCGGAGGAAAAAAGGAGAAATCAAGGGAAGATAGAAAAAAAAGACGAAGTAAAAACAAAGACGAGCAAGTCAAGGGGCAAGAAAGGAAGAAGGGAGGAGGAAAACTGTGATGGGGAAGGAGGAAGCTGAGAAAAGAAGGGAAGGAAAAAGAAAGAGTGGAGGATGAATTAAAGGAGGAGGAAGAGGCCAAGGAAAAGGAGAATAAAAATAAAGGTGAAAGGAGACAGAGAAAAGCACAAGGAAAGAAGAAGAGGAGGAATTGAAGTGGGAGAGAGAGAGAGAAGGGAGAAGCAAAGCTGCCAGGCACTTCCTGGGCCCTGGGAGCTGAAATGCAGGCACCGGAGCTGCCAGGAGGGGAGCTGGGGCAGGGCTGTTACGAAGAGCACAGTAGGCGCTATGAAGATCTATTGGGCCCCGCAGTGCCATTGTCTTCAGAAGGAATTAAAAACAAATTGCTGAGGGCCAGCACATAATTTAAAGACTCACGGCAATTTTATGACTTGCTAATGTTCCTAATTACATGCCCGTGAAAGGCTTAATTAATTGGGGGATGTAGCAAAAAGTGGAGCCTGTGTTTGTTATCATGGTTCCACTGCATTGATTTTAGTGCCTATGGAGAATTTAGGGCCTCTTTATTTGCACAAAGAAAATGCAAGTCTCTCGAAAAAATGCACATTAAGATCAACCCCTCGCTGCTATCTAATATACTTTCCTCTACTTAACCAAAGCGCTTGTAATCATATTTTGTAAATGTTGGTGCCGTTAATTGCATTGTGAGGGAAAATAGGTTCTGCTTGGCTGGTTGTGGAGAATTTTATAAAGTTCGTTCCTGGTGCCCCATTCCAGGGGACTCTTCCCAGGAAACTTGCAGAGAAGTTGGGAAGCCCAGCCTGGGAAGCTGGCACGGCTGCCCTGAGATTCTCTGCTCCTGGCCGTGTCTTGACTGCCACTCCTGCTGCCAGGGCCCTGATGGCCAAGGGGAGTTGAGCCTGTGCAGGAGTGGGATTGAGGGCAGTGGGCATGGGAGGAAGGCTGCAGATGGATGTTCCTCTCAACAGCACTGGAACAGAGGACATTTCTGGTGTGGGCCCAGCCACACCTTATCTGTGAGGCCTTAGGTAAGGCCCTTAGCTTCGCTGATCCTCAGTTTCTTCATCTGTGACATGGGGTGGTGGTGCCCACTCTGCTGACACCCTCAGATTGCTGTGATGATCAAACAAGAGAATGGAAGTGAAGGGAGGTCCTGATGTCAGGCTTGTGGCTGTTTCCATCAGCTGCTGTCTCTGCTTTTCCTTCCTCAGGGCACCACAGAGAAGTTCTCCTTCCAGCTGGGAGCTCTGTGTGACAGGGGTGACCACCCACACTCTGCCTTTCTTTTTTTTTGAGATGGAGTCTCACTCTGTCACCCAGGCTGGAGTGCAGTGGGGCAATCTTGGCTCACTGCAACCTCTGCCTTCCGGGTTCAAGAGATTCTCCTGCCTCAGCCTCCCGAGTAGCTGGGACTACAGGTACGTGCCACCACACCCAGCTAATTTTTTATTTTTTATTTTTTTTAGTAGAGATGGGGTTTTACCATGTTGGCCAGGCTGGTCTCAAACTCCTGACCTCAGGTGATCCCCACCCACCTTGGCCTCCCAAAGTGCTGGGATTACAGGCGTGAGCCACCGCGCCCAGCTCACACTCTGCCTTTCTACAGGGAGGGGCACAAGGAGGTTCAGCTGGAGATGGGCTGGGTCCCTGAGATCCAGGGGAGGAGCAGTTCCTGTCACCGTCTGAGAAGCTGTTCCTGACGCTGCTCCCTCCCTGAGAATGGGCACTCACCTTTCCTCTCCCCTCCCACTGGCCCAGAACTTTCCCCACGGGTTGTCATTGTCGGTGACTGCAAATTCCTTCAGGACAGGGACCAGGCCTCTCACCCTCCAGCCCCAGTGTGTCCCTAGAATCTGGCACCTTGGGAGACACTCAATAGCATTTTACTGAATGAATCAGTGAATCAATGAAATCACTAATTTGGGCAATGGGGCTGAGTCACAGTGGGCTAACCAGGCTCAGCTTCTTATTTCTTCCTCTCTGGCTGAGTTCGCTGATCAATGGTCTCTTCCCATCTACCAATCTCCACCTCACACACACACTCCTCAGGGACCCCTCTCTGGGCAAAGAGGGTCTTCTTCCAGAGAAGATCGGAATAGTTGGGACCCTGCCACCATGCTTCCTCCCTACAATCCATCCCTACATGGTGACCAAAGGGACCCTTTAAAAAATGCAGATTAATGGCCGGGCGCAGTGGCTCATGCCTGTAATCCCAGCACTTTGGGAGGCTGAGGAGGGCAGATCACTTGAGGTCAGGAGTTCAAGAACAGCCTGGCCAATGCAGTGAGACCCCCATCTCAACTAAAAATACAAAAATAGGTCGGGTGTTGTGGCAGGTGCCTGTAATCCCAGCTACTTGGGAGGCTGAGGCACGAGAATCACTTGAACCTGAGGGGTGGAGGTTGCAATGAGCCGAGATCACGTCACTGCACTCTAGCCTGGGTGGCAGAGAGAGACTCTGTCTCAAAATAATAATAATAAAATACATACAAATGCAGATCAACTTACGTCAAGTTCCTGATTAAAGTCCCCCACACCACTTCCCATAAAAGCCTCTCACGGGGCCTACAGGGCCTATCACTGTGGTCAGGCCCCTTCCTATCTCTGGCATCTCATCCTGTATTGCCCTCCCTTAAAATCACCCACACTGCCCAGAACACTGTTTTCCTTCTGTTCTTCAACAGGCCAAGTTCAGTCTGGCCTTGGCCTTTGCACTTGCTGTGTCCTCTGCCTGGGATACTCTTCTCCGTCTCTTTGCATGGCTGGCTCCATCTCTTCATTCAAGTCCTATCTCAAGAGTCTTCCTCCAAACCTCTTCCCTGACCACCAATCTCATGTCATTTCTTTTTTAAACATGGGAGATAGACAAATTTTTGGGGTTCTCTGTTTGATGACTCCACAATATGAAATCCACAGGCTCCCCATCGGGTGCTCACTGTTTTGGCAGACGCTCACTCATGGTTGTGTATTTCCTTGGGTGATGTGTGGTTTTGAAATGCGGGCTCAGGCTCAAAGAGCTTTATGTAGGAGAGTCATAGACACCTGTATTGAAGGTTTGTCTCTCCAGAGAGGATCTGTATTTATCTCAATCCTAAGGCTGTTACCAATGTAGGTCTGTTTTAGTTCACTTATTGCCTTGGGTTTTTCTGCTCTCCATGGGTGGTGTACAGCTGAGACCCACCCCATATGAAGACAGATCGATGGTTATAGAATTCCCAGGAGAGGCTTTTATATTTTCTTTTTCTTTCTTTCTTTTTTCTTTTTTTTTTTTTTTTGAGATGGAGTTTTGCTCTTTCACCCAGGCTGGAGTAAAGTGGCACGATCTTGGCTCACTGCAACATCCGCCCCCTAGATTCAAGCGATTCTCCTGCCTCAGCCTCCCGAGTAGCTGGGACTACAGGTGCCTACCACCATGCCCAGATAATTTTTGTATTTTTAGTAGAGACGGGGTTTCACCATGTTGGCCAGGCTGGTCTCGAACTGCTGACTCTTTGTGATCCGCCTGTCTCGGCCTCCCAAAGTGCTGGGATTACAGGCATGAGCCACTGCACCCAGCTACAGTTTCTTTTTCTTCATATGTGTGGTTTTGTTTTTTTTGTTTGTTTGTTTGTTTTTGTTTTTTGTTTGTTTGTTTTTGAGACAGTCTTGCTCTGTTGCCCAGGCTACAGTGCAGTGGCGCGATCTTGGCTCACTGCAACCTCCGCCTGCCGGGTTCAAGCAGTTCTCCTGCCTCAGGCCCCCGAGTAGCTGGGACTGCAGGCACCCACCACTATGCCCGGCTAATTTTTGTATTTTTAGTAGAAACAGGGTTTCACCATGTTGGCCAGGCTGGTCTCGAACTCCTGACCTCGTGATCCATCCGCCTCAGTCTCCCAAAGTGCTGGGATTACAGGTGTGAGCCACCTCACCTGGTCTACATTTTCTTTAAAAAAATTTCATTTTAGAGATGTGGTCTTGCTGTGTCATCCAAGCTGGAGTGCAGTGGTGCGATCATAACTCACTGCAGCCTTGACCTGGGATCAAAAGACCCTCCTGGCCAGGCACAGTGGTTCACGCTTGTAATCTCAACACTTTGGCAGGCCAAGGTAGGAAGACTGCTTAGGGAGGCCAAGGTAGGAAGATTGCTTAAGTCCAGGAGTTGCAGACTAGTCTGGGAAACATAGTGAGACCCCATCTCTACAATTTTTTTTTTTTTAATGAAAAGAGAGAGAGATCCTCCCACCTCAGCCTCCGCAGTATCTGGAACTACAGGCACTTGCCACCACGCCTGGTGGCTTTTTCATTTTCACTCGAGTCCAGGTGAAGACAGGAGCAGTCTTCTTTGTTTTGACTCCTGGAGATTTCCCTCAATTTTTTGCCACTTGACTGTACCTGTGGTAAGATGTTTGTTATATTTTTTTACCCGGCATTTCTAGGTGTTTTGTATTGGAAGGTTGTCTGCAGGGTGTCCAGTCCATTGTATTGCTAAGGAATGGAGGCCTCTCAGGCATTCTCAATCATAAGTCCCACTTCTATTGTCTTCATAACACTTGTCATACTTGAGATGATGATTGTCATTTGTTTACTTGTTTACTCCCTGCATCCTCCTGCTGGAATGGAAGCCCCATGAGGGCAGGAACCTGGTTGCCTTGCTCACTGCTGTCCTCAGCACCTAGAACAGCACCTGGCTCCCGCAAATATTAACATTGGTTGAGTGATGAAATAAGTTAAAAAACCTGGGTTCAAATTTCAGCTTAGCAACTTGGGCAAATTACCTAGCCTCTCTAAACTCAGTTTTCTCATCTGTAAAATGGGAATAGTAATGTTTACCCTTTCTTTAAGGGAGCTTTATGAAGATTAAATGAGATATTTGTCAAGAACTCCCTTGAATCAGTGCTGGACACTCAATAAGTGGTAGTTACTATGACTGATGACTTCCAGGTCTTACGTGGTCCCATCCCACCCACCTCCCAGGACTCCCACCAGGATCAATTGGAAAGATGGTTCTGCCCTTCCCATCTCCTTGCAAGAGCTGAGTGGCCCTCTCTAACTTCACAAATGTGAGGGACCACGTTCTTTCCCTCCAGCACGTAGCGGGCCCACCTGGCTCCTGTGTGGTTCACAGTCCCTCCTCCCTGCCACAAGGAAAGTCCTTGGCTTTGTGGGAGGTGGAGGCAGGAGATGAGAGAATGGCCCATATATGCACAGATAGCTGTGGGGGAGAAGGCCTGGGAAGAGAGGCCTGAAGGGTGGACAGCTGCCTGCAGAGGGCTTAGCCATGTGGGAACTTGGGGTTCCTAGCCTGGCTGTGCCACTTACTCTGGTGGTCTTGAACAAGATATTTAACCATTCTGTGCCTCAGTTTCCCCATCTGTAACACAGATGGCTACTTATAGAGTGGCTACTTTATTTTTTATTTATTTATTTGAGATGGGGTCTCACTCTGTCACCCAGGCTAGAGTGCAGTGGCATGATCTTGACTCACTGCAGCCTCCATCTCCTAGGTTCAAGCATTTCTCGTTCCTTAGTCTCCCGAGTAGCTGGGATTACAGGTGTGCACGACCACACCCAGCTAATTTTTTGTATTTTTGATAGAGACAGGGTTTTAACATGTTGCCCAGGTTGGTCTTGGACTCCTGAGCTCAGAAGATCTGCCCCCTTGACCTCCCAAAGTGCTGGGATTACAGGCATGAGCCACTGTACCCAGCCTTAGAGTGGTTACTTTATATAACTGTTTTCAGAATAAATAAGTAAAGTGCTTAGAAGTGAGCGTGAGATTAATGTGTTAATTATTATTACATCTATTTTGTTCACTGCTGAATTTCCAGTACTTTGCACAGTACCTGCCTATAGTAGGCACTCAATAAATGTTTCCTGAATGGATGGATGGACAGATGGATGGTGGATGGATGGGTGGATGGATGGATGGGTGGATGCATGAATGGGTGGATGGATGGATGGACTGGCTAGCCTGAGAGGCGGGGAGAGTATGTCCATCAGATCCCTCAGATGTGTCCTATTAATTTTGCTAACAATGTTAACAGAATTTAGGTAGACCCCGCCACATCATGGACTCCTAGAATGCTGGGAGTGGAGGGTCCTGAGAGATCATCTCAGCCAGGTGTGGGTAGCACAATCCCCAGGGGCTTCTTCAAATGCCTGCTCTCCCTTCCCTTATGGAGATGAAGTCACCTTGGCTGGGTGTGGAGGAGCTCCTTGTTGGCTCTGATAGCTCTGTCTGTTGACTCTCCTTCATCTAATCCACCAGCCTCAGATTTCAGAGAAGGAAATGGAGGGTCAGAGAGAGACAGCAATTTGCAAAAGGTCCTGCAGAGAGTTGTGAAGGAGTTGACTCAAGCTCAGGTCTTCTAAGCCCTGGTTGCATGCTCTAGTACCACTCTGCTTCTCTGCACCCTCTCCACCAGGCTGAAGCAACTTGACTATTTACAGTCTTTTTAAAAATTTATTTATTTATTTATTTAGAGATGGAGCCTCTCTCTGCTGCGCAGGCTGGAGTGCAGTGGCATGATCACAGCTCACTACAGCCTCAAACTCCCCGGCTCAAGCGATTCTCCCACCTCAGACTCCCAAGTAGCTCAGACTACAGGTGTGCACCACCATGCCCAGCTAATTTTTTCTTTTTTTGTAAAGACAGGTTCTCACTATGTCACCCAGACTGGTCTGGAACTGCTGAGTTCAAGTGATCCTTCCACCTCGGCCTCCCAAAGTGCTGGGACTACAGGCGTGAGCCACTGAGCCCAGTCTTAAAAAATTAAAAAAAAATTTTTTTTAATGAAAGAGGGGTTTATATGATAAGGATACACAGAATACTTAAGAAACCATGGGCAGGAATGCAGCTGGCCTGGGGAGGTGGTGCCTGGGTTTAGGCCTAGGAGGCATCAGAACCTTCTCTCCATTTGTGTCTCTCTCCCTCTCTCTCTCTTTTTTTGGGGGGACATGGTCTGGCGCTGTTCTCTGTTGCCTAGGCTGGAGTGCAGTGGTGCAATCATAGGTCACTACAGGCTTGACCTCCCAGGCTCAAGGGATCCTCCTGCCTCAGCCTCCTGAGTAGCTGGGACTACAGGTATACACCACTGCGCCCAGCAAATATTTTTTAATTTTTTGTCAAGATGGGGTCTCACTATGTTGCCCAGGCTGCTCTCAAACTCCTGGCCTCAAGCAATTCTCCTGCCTTGACCCCCTAAAACACTGGGATTACAGGTGTGAGCCACCATGCCCGGTCTCTATATCTTCTTAAATTGTCTGTCACCATTCAGAGCCTCCCACCCCGTTCTTATTTTCTAAATTAGCTTTTTTATTATGAAATATTTCTCATACAAAGAAAACTATAAACAATAATATAATGATCACCCATGTATCTTCTACTCAGCTTTGTTAAATCTTAGCATTTTGCTATCTTTGCTTCAGATATATATCTTTTTAAAGAAACAAAACATTATAAGTATGATGGAAACCCCCTGTATGTTTCCCCCAAGACTCATTCTCCTCCCTCCCTTCCCAGAGGTAATCACCCTCCTGAATTTAGGATTTATTCTTTTGATGCAAGTTTTAACTACAGATTATAAATACGTAAGCATTATATTGTATGAGTTTGCATACTTCTAAACTTTATATAAGTGGCATCCCATATATAAACTTCTGCACCTTGGGTGTTTTGTTCAGTATGTTTTTGGGTTTTATTCTTGTTCCTACAAGTAGCTCTGTGCCATATTTATTGAATGAAGAAATATGCCTCAATTTGTCCTTCATTTCTTGATAGGCTATAATAAGCATCCCTGTATATTTCTCTTTGTGCACACATACAAGGGTTTCTCTGGGGCATATAACTAGGAATGAAATTGCTGGGTGACAGGTCTATCAGTTATCTATTGCTGCATCATAGACCTCCCCCAAACTTAGTGGCTTAAAACAACATCCCTTCTATTTGCTCACAATTCTATGCATTAGAAATTCGGCAGGGCACAGTGAGAACAGCTTGTCTCTTTCCACAATGTCTGGGGTTGCATCCTGGGTGACTTAAACATCTGAAGCAGCTCAACGGGACCCTATGCGTGGGCCTGTGGTTCTAGCTGTCAGATGTGTTCCTCAGTTTTCTTTTCGATAGCCTCTCCATGCGGCTAGCTTGGGCTTTCTCACAACATGGTGGCCTCAGGATTCTAAGAAGTAGTGTCCCAGAGAACAAGCCACCCTGTGCAAAGTGCTTATTAAGCCTCTGCTTGCCTTACTCTTGCTAATAACCCATTGGTCAGAGCAAGTCAATGGCCATCCCTAGAGTTAATGTGTGAGGACGTGGATACTGGAAGGTGTGAGTCACTGGGAACTATCAATACAACAATACGTACAAACATTAACAGTTTCTGAGATATTGCCAAATGGCTCTCCAAAGAGGGTGTATCCATTTATAATTTCCCAACTCTTTTTTTTTGAGATGGAGTCTGACTCTGTTGCCCAGGCTGGAGTGCAATGGCACGATCATGGCTCACTGCAACCTCTGCCTCCCGGGTTCAAGCAATTCTCCTGCCACAGTCTTGTAATCCCAAGTAGTTGGGATTACAGGGGCACACCACCATAATAAAAATAAATTTTTATTTTTTTTTTTAGTAGAGATGGGGTTTCACCTTGTTGGCCAGGCTGGTCTCGAACTCCTGACCTCAGGTGATCCACCTGCCTCGGCCTCCCAAAGTGCTGGGATTACAGGCGTGAGCCATTTCACCCGGCCTAATCTCCCAACTCTTGAATAATCTCCTTCCAACAGTGTTAGGTTGTTCTACGTCCACACCAATACATGGGTATCGTCAGACTTTCAGTTTGCCAGTCTAATGGATCTGAAATGATGTCACACTGTTGTTTGTCGTTCTTGTGTTGCTGTCTGTTTCTTGGGGTTTTTGTTTTTTTTTTTTTTTTTTGAGCCAGGATCTTACTCTGTCACCCAGGAAGGAGTACAGTGATGCCATCATGGCTCACTGCAGCCTCAACCTTCTGGGCTCGAGTGGTCCTCCTGCCTCAGCCTCCTGTATAGCTGGGAACACAAGTGCATGCCACCACGCCCAGCTAATTTTTTGAGTTTTTGTAGAGATGGAATCTCCCTTTGTTGCCCAGGCTGGTCTCAAACTCGGGTTCAAGTGATCCTCCTGCGTCAGCCTCCCAAAGTCCTCGGATTACAAGCATAAGCCACTGTGCCTGGCCTCACACTGCTGTTTTAATTGCACTGTCCTGAACTAATGGAGTGGATCATCTTTCTCTATTTGTTGATCATTTATTTGGGTTTCCTCTTTTTTGAATTGCCTGTTCCTATCTTTTCCCATATTGCAGTCACTATTTTTTCTTTCTTATATTAATTTATAGTTTGTGTTTTTTGGATCCTTAATTTATAAATGTTTAACCTGACCATGGAGGGGATATCTTCTCACTCCCAACCACCTGGAACAGGATACTGTTACTGAGGACCTTGGGGCACAGACTTAGGTGGGGAGTTTGGGGCTCTAAGGTCCTTTGGGTTCTGATTCTACCTGGCCTCAGCATCTGTCCCACCCTCTGGGTGTCTCTTCCAGAGTTAGAATGTGGATGGGGAGACCCAGAGCCCCTCCATCACCATGGCCCATTGACACTGGCTGCCTTCCTTTCTTGCCCCTTCCCTTCCCATGGCTTCAGATGGGTCTTCTCTTCCTCCAGCAGAGACGGCCACCATTGGTCCTCTGGGAAAACTGGACAATGATCTGAGCACAAGGTGAAAGAAAACTGGGAAATCTTTGCAGCTCAGAAAACTGGGAAATCTTCATGTCCTGCTGATCCTACATATATCCTGTGCACTAGACACTGACCCTGAGCATACTCTATCTTTCCTGCCTCTGTGCCTTTGCTTATGCTGTTTCCACTGCCTGGATGCCCCTACCTCTCACTAACCTCCCCTGCCCGGATCCTCCAAGGTCTACTTCACTGCCCTCTCCATGAAAGTCCCCCTTAGGTGGCCCTCCCATGCCCGCCACGATGTAATCTATCTCTCTTTTGACATCATCCCATAGGATTTTTCTTTGTATTTGTTCCTTTTTACAGACCCAAATATGGGTTCTAGAGAGGACATGTTTTCTCAATAGTTAAGACTTAGTGGTTTAGGGTCCCTCCCCCCTCCAAAAAAACAAAACCCAAACCAAAAAGTTCAGTTTTGATAAACTTAACCAGAATTTTGCAAGCAAAAAATCTAGAAAGAAGTGATGTCAACTTAGCATGATCACATATCATGCGGCTATATAAATGTCAATTAAAGTGAAATGAAATTAAGTTTATCTCCTGAGTCACACTGGGCACGATTCAAGTGCTTCATAGCCACATGTGGCTAGTTACTATCATATTGGACAGTACAAATACAGAATAGTTCCATCATTGCAGAGCGTTCTATTGGGCCACGAGCGGTGGCATTCATGCCTGTAGTCCCAGCTATTTGGGAGGCCAGGAGTTTGAGAACAGCCTGGGCAACATGGTTAAACCCTGTCTACACACACACACACACATGAAAAATTTAGAAAGTTCTATTGGACAGAGCTGATATTTATTAGCTCTGTTTCACAGCTTCATATTGTTTCTATTTTGAAACACCTATATCAGCGGGAGAAAACAAAATTTCTTCATTGTTTAGGCTTCCAAAGATCTAAATATTACCCTGGTCCCAGCTCAGCCACTAATTTGTTGTGTGGCCATAAGAAAGTCACTATCTCTCTGGGTCTCAGCTTGAGGGAGCTGATGTAGAAGGGTCCTTCTGCCTCTGCCACGCCTGTTCCGCCCGGGAGAATTGCTTATTTATGTCCTGGCAGGAAGAGCAGGGGAAGGGGTGGAGAGGGGAGAGAGGCGGAGGAGGAGAGGAGGAGATCATTAATGGCTCCCAGGTTCTTGCCTTTGATCAGGTTGTCTGGAGCGAGGTAAGCGGCCAGGAGATGGGGTGCTGAGAGGAAGCGGAGGGCCAGGTGAGGGTTCAGGTGACAGAGGCTTCAGCCTGCGCTGGAGTGGGGGAGGTCTTCCGCTCTGCCTCTCTCCACCTGGGAAGGAGCGCATGGGGGCTGGCCCCTACCACCCCTCCATTATTCTAAGGGGGAACTCAGTGTTGAGACAGGGGTATTCCTGTTCTGTGGGTTCTCCAGTCCTTGCTGCCAGAAATTCAAAGGCAAAGTGAGAGTTGATGTGCCTGGAGAAGAAGAAAACTGAGCTCCCTGGCAGACACCTGGCTGCCTGTCCATCCTACCTGTGAAGAGGAGGGGAGGAAGGAAATTAGCGCACGTTGAAATAAGAAAGGGGCGACCTTTTATGAGATGCTGGCTTTGCGGACTGAAGCATATCACTGGATTAGTGGCCAGGAATTGGGAATTGTCTTCTCTTTAGGGTGGTAGGACTCTCCAGTGGGGAGACAGCCCTGGATATGGGATCGGAAGGTTTCCAATCCTAACTACTGGGATAGGTTATTTAACTTCTCAAAGCCTCCGTGTCCTCATCTGTAAAAGGGGACCCAGGACACAATGATGACTGTGAGGAAGAATGAGGCCATCCCTATGTGTGAAGACATCTGGCAGATAATAGATGCCCGATGCATGTTTGGGAGTCCTCTGAAATCTGTGTTTGTGCTCTGGTCCTGACAGTTGTCCCCAACCCAGGGTCCTAGACTTCAGGTGAGGAGGGGGCCAGGACCCTTTGATCTCCCAACTGCAGCATCAATGGAGGGCTGAGTGGGCTGGGTGGGGTGGGGGTACTGGCGTCTGGGCCTGATTGGCACAGACCCAGGAGTCCAGATTTCAAAGGCAAGCTTCAAAGGCAGGGTTACGTGAATGTGGCTTCTTTTGTACCTGCTCAAGGAAGGAAAACAAACCAGTGCCCCCTCCTGCCCCAGGATGGCAGCTCAGATCCTGGGAGATACTCCCTACCCCACCTTCCTGCCCCAGGACGGTTAGTTTGATCTCTTCATCCATCCGCAGGGTTTTTGTCTCATCAAAGCAGTGATAAAGGAGCCAATTGTGGTGGGCCCTGCCCGGTCTCACCTGTGGCCCAGGGCACCCCACGGAGGGGAGCCAGCACCGGCACCGGAGGTTATGGTGACATGGGGTGGGGGGAGGAATGAGAGAAGGAAATCCAGGAGGTGCAGCTTTCATGGAAAGGGGAGCGGCAGCAGCGGTGAAGCAGAGCTAGCAGGGAGAAGTTTGAGGTTCAGGAAATTGACTGGGAATGTGGTATGGGCGGTGCCCATGGGTGCTGCTGGAGCCTGTAGGCAGGAGGGAGGCTGAGAGGGACTCCCCTCACCCTCTTCCTTCCTCCAGCTCTCAGAGTAGGCCAATTACCTGTCACCAGTCTGAGAGGGTCCCACCTCCCTCTGCTGGCTAGACTCACCCCTGCTGGCCCAGGATGGGGGGCGCTGCCAGTTCCTGCACCCCAGGGGTCAGCCGCGCCAGCATCTCTGTGATCTCAGCACAGCTCAACACTGCATCTAGGTGACCCCCCACCCCCGCGCTGTGCCTTGGCTGGGCCCCAGCAGGGGAGAGGGGTGAAGGGAAGGAGAGTAGTCCAGCCCCTCCCACAGTGGAGCTAAAGCTCTTCCAGTGGAACAGGCCGGGGCAGGAGGCCGCTGGAAGATGAAGGACACACTTATTCTTGTCAAGTTTCCCACGCCTTGGCCTGAAATCCTGGGGCCTCAACCATGTGGATAAACTCTGCCCCTTGAAGAAAAGCCTCCACCACCTCACCTGCCTCCACCCTTCCCAGAAGTTTCAAAAGCTCAGGAACCTTGGATGAGCAGGACTCTCTTGGGTTTGGTTTCCCGATCTTAGGTGTCAAAGTAGAGCACCAGGTGTAAATTCATTCACTCATTCATTCATTCACTCATTCACTCATTCATTCATTCACTCATTCACTCATTCATTCATTCATTCACTCATTCATTCATTCCTTCAGCAACATTTTACTGAGCACCTCCATGTGTTAGGCATCCTTACCGAAAGTCTGCAATTTAGGCTTTTTTTTTTTTAATTTTTGACTTTTTTTTTTAATGGGGTCTCACCTTGTTGGCTAGGCTGGTCTTGAACTCTTGAGGCTCAAGCAAACCATCTGCTTCAGCCTCCCAAAGTGATGGGATTACAAGCATGAGTCACCGTGCCCAGCCTAGGCATTCTTAAATACTTGAGCAAATGGAGAGTCTGTGAGGTTAAGCAACTTGGCTGAGGTCACACAGCAGCTGAGGGGCAGAGCTCTTTGCACCAGTTTTTGCCCCTGCCCCACCAACTCCCAGCTGGAGGCTGAGGGAGGAGGGCTCTCCCAGCCCGGCTGGGAAGGGGCCTTTGTACTCCCTCTGCACCTGCGCCTGAGCTTGGTAGACCTGTCAGTGCCTGGTGTCTGTTGCGCTGCCTGGGCAGGTTGTAGTCTGGGCTGTGCTGTGAGACACTGAGTAAGCCCTTCCTATGGGGTGCAGCTGTATTGTTGTTACCTGGGCCACACTTCCTCATCGGCAGTGAGGTGGGTAGACTGGCTAGGTGGCTGCACTTGAGTATTTAAAGAAGACAAATGCCTCTTCCCCTACCACTCCCACCTATCCCAAGAAATTCTGATTCTATTGGTCTGGGCTGGGCCGCATGCCTCTGTACTTTCGAAAGTTCTCTAAATGAGTTAGGTGTGCAGCCAGGACTGAGAACCTCTCGAACTAGATGATGACTACTTCTGTGAGCTAAAAGTGGCAGCCCAGCCCCTTCCCCAGGCTTGAGACCATGGGCACAACTCTTCGCCATCACAGCCACTCATGGCCTCTGAGTCTCTGTTCTCAGGGTCTCTTTAAGGAGTTGTGTGCTGGGAGCCAGCCGAAGGCCACACCTGCTAGGTTCTGATGGTCAGAGGGACTGGCCCTGTGAGCCAGGTGTCCTGGAGGAGGCTGTGGGGAGCAGGTGCTTTAGTAGGAGTCGGCGGAGGAAGGAGGAAGGGAAACTCTCAGGCCTGGGGCAGGGAGCAGAGGGACTGAGGTCCTCCTTATTCTGGAGAGAAGCAGCTCCTCGGTCTGACCCTTTGGGGCCAGCAGGGGCAGGGACGGGCATCAAGACCATGGTGCCTCTGGGGAAGGTGAACCTGGTGCCCTTGGCCACCTGCCCTCCATCCCTGCACACAGCGTTCTCACACTCACGTGGGAGGGGAGGGAACTAGGGGCACCTTGACTCTCCTACCAGAAAGATCTGCTGACAAAGACAAACCCCCACCCCCACCCTCTCTGGCTGAGGCTGGCAGGCGCCTCAAGCAGTTCAGGTGGGGGAAGGCCCCTCCCTCCCACCTTCCCCTGTACCCACAGCCACAACCTCTCAGGCCTCAGCTCTCCCAGAGTCTGTGTGCGCCGCTCAGATTTGGGGGCCCCAGGCAGCGGGAGGAAGGCCTTTGAGACCTGGGCCTGTCCTTCCTCTTTTCAGATTTCAGCTGGAGCAGGGTTTCTCAAACTGTGATGGATAGACACGTCACTCCCAGCTCCTGTTCAAGCAAATTCTGATTCAGAAGGCAGGGCCTGACACTCTGCATCCCTAGCAGGCTCCCCTGGGGTGCTGTACTGCTGGTCTGTGGACCACACTTTGGGCAGCAAGGAGTTAGAACACCCACACAGGTGTTCTCTGAGCCCAACCCTCTCATGGGCCTGGCAAGCAGCTGGCACCCACCAGGGTAGGGCCAGGCTGGGCCAGGCTGGGCGGACAGCCACCATCCCCTGGTACCCCTAACGAACAAGTGGTCCTCACTAGCCTGGCACGTGGCACCATTGACGGCTCAGTGCCCAGAATAGGGAAAACATAAAATCTCATTTCAAGCCCCAGTGATGGTTTGGTTCAGCTTTCCTACCTTTTTAGGAACTTAATTCCATGCGTTTTTCTTAAATGCAAGGCTGCAAGGCACCTGCTTAAAATGATATTTTCCCCTCTGCATTTGAGTAGAGACAGGCAGAGGGAGGGAAATGCTTTTTTTCCCTTTTTCAGGCTGTGTGTCACTCTGTCTCTGCTGTGTCTGTTTTGATGTCTGTCCATGTTGGCTTCTCTTATCTCTGTTTCTATTTTTCTCTGAAATAGTGCAGGGTTTTGCATCTGTACAGACCTGAGTTGGAGTCCTTCTTTTGCAACAGTTGATTAGCTCTGTGACTTTGGGCAAGTCTCCTAACTTCTTTGAGTGTCAGTTTCTTAATCTCTAAAATGGGCTCATTATTAGATGCTTGTTGGAGTGGCTGTGAATATTTTTATTTGAAATCATAAACACGAATATCCTTTGTAAGGTGAAAAGGATTGGCCAAGGATACAGGATCATTATAAGGCAATGATTAAGAGCACATGTGAATCGTGACTTTACCAGGTATTAGCTGTGTTGGGTGAGTGACCTAAATGCTCTCAGCCTCAGTTTCCCCATTTATAAAAAGAGGATAATTATGCTATCACCCCACAGGATTACGAACAGGGGTACACAAGATTACCTGTGGCTACTGCTCAGCACAGGGCCTCACGCGCACACACACACACACACACACACACACACACACACAGACTCCAAGTTGGGCTCATACTGCTTTTCCCCTTTAACACTATATCATGGACATGTGCCTATGTTTTTATGTATTGTTGATGCATATATCCTATAAGATGAATGGATGAAAATTAGTGGACTGCATGCTTCATTGTTGGTCATTATGGTTGTTGGGCTGAGAATCTGGAGTAAACATTTACAAAAAGAAAGAGGGCCTTATAACCATTTCCTTTCCCTTCTTTTTGGCCAAACAGGTAAAAGGCCACCTCCCTGGCCCACAAGCCCCTCACCCAAGGCTTTGGCCAGTTGGCCTCTTCACTCAGTACATCCTGCTAGTTAGGAGCACAGAATCCTTTTCCTTCAAGGGGTTCCTCTGTTAACCCCTGGTGCTGCAGCGCTGGCATTGGATGTTACAATTTGCCCATTGCTGTCAGAACTGGACAAGTGACCCAACAGGAATTCTTGGGATACTGAGGCAGATATGCTAGCAAGGAGGCCTTCTTGACATTGAGAAAAAAAGCGCAGGTAAGGGTGAGTGACTGGGGTGCCCCAGGGCTGCTGGCAAGCCCTCACTTCTGTTTCTGCTGGAGAAGGGCTGCCCAAAGGTGGAGGAGGTCTTTGGGGCATTAGGGTGAGCCCCAGCTGAGCAAGGAAAGCAGGTTCCCTTTCCACTCTTCCTCTCAGGAAGTCCCACCACTTACTAGGTTGGAGGAGACCTTAACTCATCTATCCCTCCGTTTTCTTATCTGCTTTAGGAGCATAAAAGAGCATCTATTTCATCGGGCAGTTGGGAGAATTTCATGAATCCACATCTTAAAACAGCACGTTCTGGCTGGGCACGGTAGCTCACGCCTATAATCCCAGCACTTTGGGAGGCCGAGGCGGTGGGCCACTTTAGGTCAGGAGTTCGAGATCAGCCTGGTCAACACGGTGAAACCCCAACTCTACCAAAAATACAAAAATTATCTGGGTAGGGTGGTGCATGCCTGTAATCCCAGCTACTGGCTGAGGCAGGAGAATCGCTTGAACCCGGGAGGTAGAGTTTACAGTGAGCCAAGATCCTCCCATTGCACTCCAGCCTGGGCAACAAGAGCAAAACTTCATCTTAAAAAACAAACAGACAAATAAACAACAGCACATGTCCTTCAGTGAAGGTTCAAATAATACAATATTAGAAAGTTTCGTGGTTCCCAGTCTCAGTCTATCTGTGTCCTCTCTTTGCCCCTTCAGCCTTCCCAGCATCTCATGGTCACCCACACCCCTAACAGCCTTCCCCTCCAGGAAATGTAACCTCTCCAGGGAAGCTTCCTGAGCAGCAGGGCTTACTCTGGAATTATGTAAAGAGTCGCCACAAACCTACAAAGTGCCACCCCACCCCTGCTGAAGCAATGTGTCCAGAGGCCACAGGGACACAGGGTGGGTGACGGAAAGAAATATGTCATTGTGGGCAGAGTCCCAGAAATTGGAGGTTCCCCAGCTTCAAGAATACAACCTTTGTTGTCGGGGGTGTTGTTTCATGAAGGGCCATATGAAGCAGCCTTCTACATCCCTAAAAGACCCAACGAGAGTCGGTGGATTAAATTAAAGCAGCAGAGATTTGAGTGAGATACAGGGAAGGCTCTCTTGATAGCCAGGGATAACACCCAGGAGAGGCTAGGGGAAGATGGCTGTGTTGCCCTGTCCCAGGAAGGGAGCCTGGAGAGGATTAGGTCTCAGAGCTGGTGTGGGTGCTCAAGAAACGCTGGTCAAATGAAGAAACTGGTGCAGGAGGGTGTGTGATCTCGTCTCTCCTGGTCTAGAACTCAATAATTTAATTTTGATGTGATTCCTAAATTTCCTTTAAGCTTAAAGAAAAAATAATCCATATGAGCTTGAAGGTGGCATTCAGCAAAGGGCTTCACTGACAGGGGCCCCCACCTGCACCCTCCAAGCTTCCCGAAGGCACGTTTGGCTAAGAGACAAAGTTCGAGGTGGGAAACCCGGCTGTCGATAGAGTCACTCTCTGCAATCAGGCAGAATTAATTGTATGAACACCATTGATCAAACCACTTAATACTTACAGGGGCTGAGAAAGAGCTGAAATGTAATTTCATTACCAACCTGCTCACCCCTAATCAAATTCCTAATAACTCTCTAATTTTTCCTTTAGATAAGGGCTGATAGGTGGAAATGGGGGTGGGGCGGGGGATAGACATGGAAACTTATTTTCTCTTCTTTGCTAGACTCTGTCTAGATAGATCCAAGTTAAATGCCTACTTCCAGAGCACCTTGTCGAAAGTCGCTGTAAGGGTTGTGGCCAACTTTGCGATTTATGCCTGGGATGGGGTGTGGGTGGGGGGCAGGGTGGAGGATGGGTGCAGATACCCTGAACTGCGAGTGAAGTTCACAAAAAACAGTTCTTTTTTCTTTCTCTCTTTTTTGAGATGGGGTCTCAGTCAGTCATTCAGGCTGGAGTGCAATGGTGTGATCTTAGCTCACTGCAACCTCCACCTCCCAGGCTCAAGTGATCCTCCCACTTCAGCCTCCTGGGTAGCTGGGAACACAGGCATGCGCCACCAAGCCCGGCTGCTTTTTTTTGTATTTCTGTTAGAGATGGGGTTTCACCATGCTACCCTGGCTGGTCTTGAACTCCTGAGCTCAAGCGATCCACCCACCTGAGCCTAACAAAACTCAATTCTGATTTGACTTAGGGTGATTATTCAGTGACTCAAGATCAGCAGATACATTTTTAGGCAGAAAACAAAACACATATAGGCTCCCTTGGCCCACAGCAAGGGGTGGAGGTGGGCAGTGCAAGCAGAAGTAGTCACAGGTTCAAAAATATCCAAGGATAGTAATTCCAGGAGAATGATTGCAAGGTAGGAGACTTGGTTCAAGTCCTGAGTGGGCTGGCGAAAGCTCCGTTGCAGGGCCTGCACACGCACACACAGACACATGTGCACACTACACAGACACGTATCACATGCCCACACACATGTACACAGGTGAATGTCATGCTTGCTGTTTTGTCCTGTGTCCATAGGGTGTTTGAAATGTAGCAGACCCTCAACTGATATTTGGAAAATATGCTCAGAGCACATAGGCATACATACACATGACCTGCACACATACAGGTATGTATACACATGCGTGCACACGTGGTCTCTCACTCTTTGCTCTCTGGGAGGGCAGGGAACCTGGCAGTTTTATTTGCCTCTGGCACACAGTGGGCACTTGGAGGCATCTGTGCAAAGAAGAGCTGGAAGCAACAGTCCTGGGGCAAAGCTGCCTCCTCCGCTGCCATAGTTGGATCATCCCTTAATTTAAAGCTCTGGTCAAGATTCTCGTCTCCTCGGAGGCCCTGCCTGCTCTGTGGCATTCTCCAGGACCATCCACACACTTGAATGATACCTGTTCACACTGGTGCTGTGGGCGTCTTTAGTGTGTACCTCCGTCATCAGACTCCTGTCTTCCCAGACCACCTCCCGTCCCTCGCTCTATGTCAGGAATTTCTTTAGAGGAGGGACCCTCTTCGCTATCAAAGTGGGAGCCCCTGGATGGCCCTCCCATCCCCTATCAGACCAGAAGTCACCCTATTTGAGAGTTCCAAAGGCCACAAGCCTCCCTCATCAATTCTTATGAGAGGTAGGTGCCTCCCTTCATTTTTCTAGGTTGGTGAGATGACAGCTCCTTCTTGTTTAGTTTCTGCCTGACCCCCTGAAGTCTCCCTGTGCCGAACAGATGCCAGAAAGCCTGCCCAGTGCCCAGGTGCCAGGGCTGAGCTCACAGGGTGGGTATGTAGGCAGGTGAGGGGAAAACAGCATAAATAACTAGATCTGGAGAGGTGTGCATGTGTACCTTTGTGTGTCTGTGTTTGTTCCTGCGTGCAAGAGTGCGTGTGTGGAGGTGGGTCCTGCCTTCCTGGACTCAGCCAGTTTGGGCAGTAAGATCATTGTTTATGACCCAGCCCACCATGCTCTGCCCAGGGCTCCCCCAGCCCAGCCCCAGCCCACCCCAGGGAATTGTAGCCTTGCAAGGATGTAGGAGGGGCATCCCCCGCCAACCAGGTCTTCACTCCCACCTCTCCACAGTCTTCTTTCCTGTCCCAGCTACTTTACCTGGCTTCTGAGACCTGTGAAGGAGGAAAGTAGGCGGGGAGGGGTGGGGTGAAAGGTGGGGGCAGTGGAGGGTAGTTATTTACAAAGCCTGTGCCCTGGGGACCCTTGTCCTGTACAACAATTACAGCCCCTTAATTAACTGAAATGCAGTCCACCTGTCGATGGAGGCCTGTCCCCCACTGAAGTTAGCCTGTGCCTGCCGCTGTCTAGTACTGGTTAATGAATATAAATCAGATAGTTTATAGTTAGCGAGCACGGAACAGGCTGGCAAGGGCCTGAATTCCAATGCAGAATGCCCAAGGATAGGAACATGCCCTCCATGGGCATGGGGGCCTGGACACCCACGGGGGTGGCACCAGGTGGGTAGGGGAGTGGGCAGTAAGCCAGCCTACCTTGCACTTGGGCTGTGAGTGCACACACAAGTGTGCAGTGCACACATGAGGCACACAGCACAGGCTTTCTTTGCATATACAACATTACATACCCACAAAAGTGAACAACACAGGCCCTCTACAAGATATACGGAAACAAGGAGGAAGTACAGCTCCCAGAAAACCCTGGCTCCTGCCTCTTCTGAAATCCGCAGAGCCTTAGCTCTGAGCAGCTTCTCTCTTCATGCTAGAGCCTATGCCCACTGCCCGCTGCAAGAGACAGGTGCAGTCTCACCCCCAGGCCAGCTCGCCACCTGATTCTGGGGATCAGCCCAGGTCCAGAATGCTGACTCAGTTTCCCCTCCCCAGGCTGGAGTCACTGAGCTGACTGCTGTGGTGGGGGTGGCAGTGGCTATGGAACCCTGGTACCAGGCAGGGAGGCTTCTAGAATGTGTGTGGGGATTTTACCCAAGGTCTTCACAGCTGCAGAGGAAATAGATTGACAAGGTCCTAGCCCAGGGCCAGGTTCATGGGCTGGTGATCTGTGTACAGAGCCCTGTGGTTAGAAGGTTTAATGGTTTAATGCTCTTCTGTCGCTATCTTGAAAGCCTTAATAATGTCTGAACAAGGGGCCTGCACTTTCATTTTGCATCGGGAACTACAAGTAGTGTAGCTGGTCCCATTCTCACCCCAGACATAGGGCCAATGGGAGAAGACTGTGTGAAAAGTGTGGGTATGGGGTTGTGGTGTTTACAGGGTCTCTGAACAGAGATCTAGCAATAGGGGTCACTTGTGGAAAGTACACTTTACCCAGACCTGAGGGTTCCTCCTGCTGGCTTTGTCACCTGGGGAAGGTCCCTCACCTCCCTGGGCCCCAGGTTCAGGCTTCCAAGGAGATGGCCTTTCAGCTCCCTTCTAGCTCAGCCTCTCCTCTTTGGGAAGAGTCCAGACCTCCTTGGAACCTTGGTTCACACACACATGCATGCACGCACATGCATGCACACATGCACACACACGCGCATACACGTACACACGCAACACATGCACACACCCACACACGTACGCACATGCACACACACACACGCACATGCACGCACACGCACACACGCAGGTACACACACACACAGGCACACACATGCACACACACGCACACACACGCACGACAGAGCCAAATCTGCAACATAGAGTTGCATTATTGCCTCTGGAGAGATGGAGTGGGGTTGTCCCCACCCCCAGACAAGTCCTCACAAGCAGCTTCTAAAATCCAGAGACCAGCCAACACCTCCCCCTGAGTGGGTTTGTTTACTCCTCTACTAGCGGAGAGGGAAGGGATGGGGGTCCAGCAGCGGGGCGGGGCGGGGTGGGGGGGTAGGTAATGGCTTGGTGGGGGCAGATAAATAACTGTCATCCAGGGCTCACTGACACCCCTGCGTTCCGCCTGGCTAGTCTGCTTCTCCTGGGCTCCCCTGCTGGTAGAGCTACGGGGAGGAGGGGAGGGTGTGTGGGTTCTGGAGACAAAGGAAAATGATTCTATGACCATGGTGTGAGTGGTGGCGAGTGGGGCAGGGCCCAGGATGAGACAGTGTGGCCTGGATACCAGGCAGGGTGGCTGGGGGTGCGGGGCGGGGGGGTGGCATGCACAGGCAGAGCCCCCAAGTGGCTGAGGCTGGGTTCTGGTGCCGCAGACACAGACGAAGGCACCTGTCATGCGGTGGGGGGCTGAATGTCTGTCGCCAAGGGGGCCTCTCACACCTTGGGTGGCAGCAAGGGCCCCACAGCTGGCTAGCTCAAGGCTGCCCACAGCAGAGGTCTCTGGGCAGTGGCACAGGGCACTCCAGCCTCTCTTCCTGTGTGACAGCCCAGGAGAGGAGCAGTCACTTGGTCAGGCAGCTCTTCCATCTTGATGGCGCCAACGCAGGAGGTGGGAGGTGGTGGATGCCCAGCTAGGCCAGAGTCTCAAGCCTCACGGAGTGGGTCTTTCACAGAAGCATCTCTCAGTCCCGGCTAAGCTACTGTGAATATACCCATTCCATAGACGGAGAAGTAAAGAAAGAAGGCACTCACTCCCTGGAGACCTACAGTAAAACGAAGGTCAAAACCCAAGTGACTCCTCCCTGATTCCGGATTGGGGCCCTGCTAAGAAAGTAAACACCCCAAATCATCCCCAGTCCTCCCCAACAGACTCATCACATACACATCACATACACACACACACATACACTCATCACATACACCCAAGAGGTGGACAGGAAGTCCTTGTTCCTGTTAGACTTGAGAGAGGAGCCTGGAAGCTCCAATTCTTTGACAAGATTCCCCCTAACAATGTGTCCTGATAAACACTTTCCTGGGCCCGGAACATCTGCTGATCTTCACAGCCCCTGGGTGAGGAGGACTGGGAGGATGTCAGGAACTGAATTCACAAAGATTGCAGCCAGAGAAGGGGCCCGAAGGGGTTTGCACTGTGACTTAATTGGAGGTGAAATCCACCTTGACTCCCAGCCCAGAGCACCCCCATATCTGAGACACCCGGAGGATGCCCCAGCTTAGGAAGCTCAGCTCCCCGAGTTTGGAGTGGGGGCAGGCACAGGCAGGAGAGGTTTTTGTTTATTTGTTTCGGTGAGGATCTGGCCACCCTCCCTTCTGTGATAGAAAGGCCCAGTCCTCAATTTGGGGACACCACCTAAGATCAATCTCTAAGACACTCTCAGATGCTAAGGACTCTGTGGTCTTAATCAGGGAAGGCTCCTTGGGGGAGGCAAAATTGAAGGATGCTTTGATCAGGGCAAGGACAAGCCTGGGCAGAGATAGGAGATGTGTGCACAAGTGGCCAGCCCCTCGCTTTCCGCAGTCTCTGGGCTCAAGGGCAGCAGGCATGAAGCAGCCTCTTACCTTGATGTGAAATGAGGAATTGGGAGCTCAAGAAACCTGTGATCCTATTGAGGATACTGACAACAGCCCATCAGACAGAAAGATGGATAGCATGGGAGGCCCGTTCAGGCTCATCCCTGGCTCAGACTAGCAGACACAGGACGCCTTGGACAGGCTCCATCCAGGGCATCTGTGGGCACTGCCCCCTGGCTGAGGGCAAGCCAGCTTTGGTTCAGGCCCTTCCATTCCTCTTGGGAGCCTTGCTTAGCGCTCACTTCTTCCCCAAGGCCTCCTCAGACTGACCCCAGAATCCGCCCCCCACCCAAGCTTCCGCTTCGTCTCCTCCTCCCAGGATGCAGGGAGGCCGGGGGTACCACCAACACTCCCAGGCCATACGTGAATTCATCATCTTCGCGTCCTCTGTAGAACGTGGGAGAGAGGCGAGGGAGAGAGAATGAGAAAGAGGAAGGTGCTTGTCCACCCAGGTGTGCCGGGTAGAACTTGACGAGCCAAATTCTCCACCTGTGGGCTGGACAGAGCAGGACAAGCAGGACTGGAGAGCAGAAAGCCTAGGTTGATGTCCAGCCCAGCCACCCTGTCACCCGGAAAAAGCACCGTGACCTCAGAGGCTCTCAGTTCGCCCCCCTGTGCTGAAGCCCCCTCGGCAGGGATGTTGGGAACCACAGAGATAATATAGGGGAAGAGCCCGGCCATGGCCCTGGTTTATTATTAATTAGTTCTAATCGTAGAAGCGTCCACTTACACATGGCGGGAGGGAGGCCCTTCTTTGGGCCATGCAGGTCCACAGTGCGATGCCAGCCCAGCCCAGCCCACGCTGCAGAATGTGTGTTTGGAGAGAGGCAAGGGAAGGGAGGGAAAGGTTGACTGCTTTTTTTCCCCTCCCTCCTTTAGCGTGGGTGACACTGGCGAGAAGCAAGCAGCTGACCCGGGTTTGAATTTAGAGTGTTCATTAATATGATATTATGCCATATGCTCCGCACACTGTCTCCCTCGAATGCAGCCGCCAATTTGCTGAGCAGCCCTAATTAGTAATGGTATAATGAGAGTATTCAGAGGGTAATGTGGTGGGTGGGGATGGAGGGACGGGACTGAGCCTGGCCGCCGGGGGAGGGGCAGATCTGGCTGCAGAGGGCTGGGGGACACTGCGGCAAGGGGTCATCTTGACCCAGGGCTGGCCGAGGCCCAGGAGATGAGATACCTCCCCTTCCTTCCCAACGCCCACTCCGCTCCTCAGGGAACAGAGGCTCAAGGTTGTGGAGTGGGGTGTGTGGTGAGGGGGTGGACAGGGTAGAGGGAGAGGTGAGAGAGCCTGGGTGAAGGAGGAGGCAACGGGTGGTCCTTTGTTTTCAAACCAGAGGTGGATGACAGAGGAGAGGTGATGGTGGGGCGTGTGTGTGCCTGTGTGCATGTGTATGTGGTGTAGACTGTAAATCCCCTGAGTCTTTATCATGTGCCAGGCACTCTGCTGGCCCTTCAGAATTACCCAGCCAGGTGGTATAACTAATGCTATTTTTCAAATGGGGAAACTGAGGTTTAGGTAGATTCAAAGGTCAGTCAACTGGTGAGGGAGCAGAGGACTGGCAACCAGGACTGGCAGCTTCCAGAGCTGGATAAGCTTGCCTTGGCCATCATTGGCTGCTGTGGCCACGGAGGGGAAGGGTGGAGAGCACAGCGTGGGGCTGGGGATGGGCACAGGGCAGGAGCGAAGTGAGCCACATGCTCCTCATTCCTCCTTCTTCCTCTGTGCTTACCTGTCCCTCCCTTCCCTTCTCAGGCTGTAGCTTCCCAGCCCCCATCCCCAGGGGGAGACAGTTCCCAGGACTCCTATTTGAGGGGCCACTATATGTGAGGACCAGGATGTGCTCCACACCTTCAGCCATAGTCATGCCAGTGGCACCTTCAGCCTGGACATCTCCTGAGTGTGGGTTCGTGGGTGCGCAAACCTCAGAACCTCAGAACCCTGGTATTGTTCTCTCCCCTCTCCCTCTCAGCCTCCCTAAGCCTCATTTTCCCCATTTTTCATGCATCTCTGGGCTCAGGAAAACATCTGCCCCTTGCCACAGGCGAACCCCAACGAAGGACTGGGAGCCCCATGGGGCACGAAGTATTTGTGCCTCAGATTCAGGCTGCCCTGACCTCTCTGAGCCTCCCAAGGCCAACGGTGTCGGCAGGAGCAGGTGGGTGGACCCTAAAACCTGCCTTCTTCAGAGCCTATTGCCAGTGCCCCTCTCAGCCCCCCTTCTTCCCAGGCACGGCTGGGCAGTGCTCCCTCCCCAGGGGATCACAGCTCTCCCGCAAACCCACGCTCAGGAGATGAAATATTCATCACGTACATATTGGCTCCTCCAGCGGCTTTTAGGGAAAGCAAATGAGACTGACTCCGGGAAGGAAATGAGTGTGAGGCATGGGGGTGGAGGGGGGCGTGGCTAGGACAAGGGTGGGCAGTGCCTCCCAGCCTCCCTTTTCTGGAATCCAGCTTCTGGGACTGGGCTGCACCTTGCATTCCTGGTGCCCCCAACCTACCACATCCCTGCCTTCCAGCCACCCCATCTCTTCTCCTGGAAGACAGGAGGTTCATAGTTTTCCTCTAACATACCCAGGCAGAGCTGCAAGGCATGGATCCATCCATCCAATAGTCACTCTCAGCCAGGTGCGTTCCAGAGACCTAGCTTATAGGGCCAGACAGGAACCCTCAGGGAGGACACAGGCAACCAACAGGCCACAGACATATGAGACCGTGTCAGGTGGTGTCTGAGGGAAATGAAATATCTATTTTAGCTTGGTGGGCAAGGAAGGCCTCTGAAAAGGTGGCATGGGAGCTGAGATCTGGATGGCGAAGACAAACTTTCCAGGCGGAGGAAATAGCAGTGCAAAGGCCTGGAGGAGGGAATGAGCTTACAGCGTTCAAGGAGCAGCCAGAGTCCAGTGTGGCTCTGATCCAGGGGGGCGAGTGAGTTTGAAGAAGATCTCAGGGGCATGATCACACAGTCTCACAGGCCACAGAAGTCTTGGGGTTTATTCTAAGAGCAAATGAAAGCATTTGGGGGCAGCAGAAAGAGCACTGGATTTGAAGCCAAGGACCTGGGTGTGAGCTTGATCAGGTCACTTAACCTTCTAGCCTCAGTTTCCTCATCTGTGAAATGGTGATGGGGAAGTGCAGGCCACAGGGCTGTTACGAGGATTAAATAATGTCATTTATGTGAAAGTCTGCCACTCTTCAATGTTGGTAGTGAAGCAGTTCCTTCTGCCTGTCCCTGGGTAGTCCCCCAAATGTCTGCCTGGACAATACCAAGTTGCAGAATCTCAGAACCCTGGCATAGAGCAGGGCTTTAGAAGTCTGTCACTCAGTGAGTATTTATTGAGGAACTATGTGCCTTGTGCTATGCTTGGTGCAAGATGCAGCCGTGAACAAGATAGATTCAGAGTGTGGACTGGAGAGATCTGGACCACCCCATTTCATAGATAGGCAAGGTCAAGGCCACACAGTGCTGACCAGAAAGAGAACCCAGGCCCCCCGACCACCAGTCCAGTGTTCTCCCCAAGATGCAGACAATGGGTGCCCTTCCTTTCCTTTGCCTGACATTTTCTCCCACACTAGGGCTTGCTTGGGAGAGAAGGCAGCTCCCTGTCCCCGTGGCCTTGCTTGGATGAGGAGGAATTCTGAAGGGACCAGGATCGGCTGTGATGGGCCTTGAAGGATAGATGTGATTTGGCTGTGAGGAATGGAAGGACACTGGGCAGAAGGGACAGCAAAGCCCTGGAGACAGACAAGTGTTGACCTGCATGTTAAATAGCAGGCGGGGCTCTCAGAGAGGAAGAAGAGGCCAGCATGCCAGATCTGGAAGGGCAGGCGGGCGCCATTTCTCCAGCAGTGGGGGCCGCTGGAGCTGTAAGTTAGGGAGTGGTGCTGGCAGGATGCTCCTGAGAGAGCGCTGGCAGCTCAGGGCGACTGCATCAGAGGCGGGAAATGGAGGTAGAGAGACCTCTGAGCAGCCTAGTGCAGTGGCCCGCGTAAGTGCTAGCAAGGACTCCACTAGAGCAGCAGCAGGGGCAAAGAAGAGAAAGGAGCCATTCGAGAGGCTTTCCAGAGGAGGAGGCCACCAGCCACCCTGATGGAGTGTGGGGAGCAGGAGGGAGGGAGGAGACAAAGAGCTTTCAGAAGATGGGAGATTTAGCTGTCCTTTATTGATTCCACGAACATTTCCTGAGCACCTGCAGAGGGTCAGGCCCTGTGCCATTCAGGCAGGAAATTGAGCAAAATTGTGCAAAACCTGAAGGCTCGTGATTTGTGCTCTTGTTGGGATGGGAAAGGGGAAATGGGGGCGAGGGGTCGTTAGGCAGCTGGCACCACTCTCAGAGCCTTGATTTTGCTCTCTGTGAAATGGACAGCTCTGAGGGCCAGGGAAACACCGGCTGGGCTGGGCGCTTCAGGAAGGTGCTTCTGGATAGATACCACCATGGAATTCTGGAGACTCAGCCTATGGAAATGAGAAGGGAGTGGGTGAGGAGAATGGGACTCCCCTTTGAGGCTGGGGAAGCAGACCCACGTAGGGGAGGGAGGAGCCTTGTTGGGGGTTGTGTTCCTCTCAGGATTGTGGGGATGGGGTCTCAGGGCCTCCCACTTCCCACCTGGGGAAAAAGACCCAGAAAAAGAACACCCCAGGAGCAGGGAATCTGGCAGTGATTCTTTCAGTGACAGCAGCAGCAGCAGTAGCTAATGTTTCCCGGGTCCGTTACATGCATTAGGTCAGCCAATCCTCACTGTGTCTCTGGAAGCAGGTGCTGATAGCGTTCCCATGTTCCAGATGAGGACACTGAGACCCAGACTGCTGAGAATATTCACAGAGCCAGGACTGGAACTCAGGCTGCCTGACTCCACGTTAGGCACATTAGCTCTTCTCAGATCCCCTCTTCTTCTTCTTCTTCTTTTTTTCTTTTCTTTTTTTTTTTTTTTTTTTTTTTGAGACAGAGTCTCCCTCTCTCACCCAGGTTAGAGTGGAGTGGCGCGATCTTGGCTCACTGCAACCTCTGCCTCCCAGGTTCAAGCAATTCTCCTGCCTCAGCTTCCTGAGTAGCTGGGATTACAGGTGCCCACCACCACACCTGGCTAATTTTTGTATTTTTAGTATTTCACCATGTTGGTGGGGCTGGTCTCGAACTCCTGACCTCAAGTGATCCTCCTGCCTTGGCCTCCCAAAGCACTGGGATTACAGGCATGAGCCACTACCCCCGGCCTCAGGTCCCCTCTTCTGATAACCCATCCAGGACCTGCAGCCCACCTGCCCTGCCATCCTCTCTAGGGCCTGCCCCACACCAGCGAGCCAGTAACCGCACCTTCCCACTGCAGTGAGAGGGCAGCAGAATCCAGGGCGCCTTTCTGGGAGCAGATAGCTTTGAGGAGAATGCTGCAGGAGAGGTCAAATGTGAACTGGCCACGATGGGGGCACGGAGGGGATCCCAGGAGTGCCTTTGCACCACCTGAGCAAAAGTGAGGTGTTCCCTCCCTGTGCTCTGGGGCTGGGGGGGCTGAGCCCCGAGGGGCCCCCTTTCTTCTCATCCTGTTACCAGTTTTCCAGGAAGTTTGGAGTCTCCCCCTGCCCTCCCCCACCTACCAGGGTGAAGGTTTGTGGGGAATGTTCTCCCGCAGAACTCGGCATGAAATAAATTCCATTCTTACTCTGCAAATGACACTGCACATAAATATTCAGTAAATTAGCAGCACGCTTTTATAGATTTATCAGTCATTGCAGGCACAAAATGACAGGCAATGTTGTAGCTGAAATATTAATGCTGACAAATTAATGATTTCTGAGTAAATGATGTCATTTTTGCACCGTTTCATTAAAATTTACTCACTTCTGCTTCATTTCTGGACCTAAAAAAATTAAAATCATTTCCTTCTCTCTTTCTTCTTTCTTTTTAGTGTGGGATTGGTTCCCAAACCTGAGAGGGATATAAATTTTCCCCAGAAGCACCCCAAAACAGAGGTGGGAAGCCAGGCAGGGCTAGCATTCCTCACCCCAAGCTCTAGGGAGGGGCTGGGGAGAGACCCCCGCTGGGTCCCAGAGATGGTTCTTGGGCCTCCACCATTGGTCTAGCTGGAACATAGCAAAACAGTGTCTTTGGGTCAAGCCTGGATTGGGGTGGGGGGTTATAGGGGGAAGTGGGGAGGAAGCTTGGGAGGGGGTGTGTCCTGGGAGGGCACCTGGGAGAAGAGGGTTTGGAAGGAAGTCATGCACCTGTCTTTGCAAGCTTTAAGTGCCTCCATCATCCTCATCATATTTGGCCTCCTTCTTGCAATAAATGTGGGGAATAATCAATTCTCGCAACCTCCCATAGTAGGTAAAGGGGAAATGCCAACTGTGTAAATATGCCCGACAACCCCCCTCACCGAGGCTCTAGGGAATGGACAGATGACCACTTACTCGCAGCGTGACCTTGGGCGAGTACTGTCGCCTCTCTGAGCCTCAGTTTCCCCTTCTCTGACGATCTCCTCATTTCTCAGGGTTCTTGGGAGGATGAATGTAATGGCATGGACAAGGCACAGGACAAGTTCCCCAGTCGGACAGCCCCTCCAGACGCAGCTCCCAGCTGCTCCCCGCACACGGTCCCCGGGAGGGCGAGAGGGGCTGCGGGGGAGGAGCAGCGAGGCCCCTGCCCGCCTGGATCGGCCCAGGTGACCCGGCCGGACCCTGAGGAGCTGGGGGCACCAGGAGCAGACGGGTCCTGGAGCCCCGCGCCCCCGGCTGCCTCGGCGCGCTCAACGTGGCCAAAGGCAAAGCAGTTCGCTCGGCCCGGGCCAGCGCCGCGGGAATGGAGCGCGGCGAGGCCGAGAGGCGAGGCGAGGCGGACACAAAGGAGAGGCGAGGGAGGCGAGCGCGCGGCGCCGGCGCCCTGGCCAAGGCGTATCGGACAATCTCCGGGCTAATTCGTGTCAGGGCCGGCCTCCTATCTCCCGCCCGGCTCCCCGGCCGCTGATAAAATTGAAGTGGAAATGAAGTTGGATGCTCTGGAGCACCCGCGCGGCTGTGGGGGTGGCGGGGGCTCCGTCCGGGGCAGCTGCGCCCTCCGCGGGCGCCCTTGGCGCTGCCCTTGGCCAGGCCGCGGGGATGGAGCGGGAGAGCCGGGCGGGGAGGGGAGGACGCCGCCGCGCAGACCCCCTGCCCGGCGGTTCCCGATCCTGTCCCCGTCCAGATGAACATTTACCCAGCAGTGGGAGCGGGGTGGAAATGCGGGGAGCGGCCCGAATGCGGGAGACGGCAAGGCAAGGACACCCTCGTTTAATGAGCGCTTATTAAGTGCCAGCCTCGGAGCCAGGTGTTTAAAGTGAGTTATGCGCTCAGTTACCCCTCCCCCCACCATATGAGGTGGATCGAGTGATTGCTTCCATTTTTACGGATGCTGACTTGGAGACCCAGAGTCTCAGCCGGCCCAGGGACAGCTAGCAGAATGGCTGCATTCGCACCCAGGCTCTGGCACACTGCAGCTGCGGCGCGTCACCACCGCACTAGCCCGCACTTGGGAGCGCCCCGAATAGGCAGAGAGATGACACAGAAGCAGGGCCGGGCGCTGGCAGTTCTGCAAGCCCGTTAGGACGCAGGCCTTGCAGCCATTAGGTCCATCCCCTGAGCTCAGAACCGCCTGAGGGGTGGATCTTACTCCCAGGTGAGGAAACCTGAGGCTGAAAGGTGGTGGAGGGAATCGAGCTGGGAACCAGGGGAGGCGGACTGCACTGGCCCGCTGAGTTATCTTTCTGACCCCCAAAGTCCAAATCAGCTCGAGATGAAGTCTCCGCTGCCCTGTACTTTCTTGAGGGAGACCAGTGGGGGCCTGGAGGTGATGACTGGCTCTTGTAATGCTATTCGGCCATTATTCACGTATATTATTTTCCATTTTATTTATTTATAAATTGGCCCCTGCCTACTTCACCCCTATCAGTGTCTGCCCGCTCCTGACTCTCTCTGGCTACAGCCTCACCGCCAGTCTAGGCTTTCAATGGTTCCTTTCTGCCCCAAAGCCTTCACACGTTTTCTTCCCTCAGCTTCTCTCCTGGGCAGCTTTTTCATCTCTCCATTCTCATGATCTTTTTAATAATCCTTTTAATGGCATTGATATACGTTGATATACCAAAATGTATAGACTTTATTTTTATTTAGTTGGACGTGGAATGGTAGCCCAGTGTGGACAATTATTAGGTCACAAGAGACGTCTTAAAAACATTCCAGAGAATTACCATATACAGAACGTTATGGTTCTCAGCTCATAATGCAATAAAATTAGAAATCAACCACCAAAAGAGAGTTACCAAAACCCTACATGTTTTGAAATGAAAAACTTCACCTCGGCCGGGCGCAGTGGCTCATGCCTGTAATCCCAGCACTTTGGGAGGCCAAGTGGGCGGATCACGAGGTCAGGAGATGGAGACCATCCTGGCCAACATGGTGAAATCCGTCTCTACTAAAAATACAAAAATTAGCTGGGTGGGGTGGTGGGCGCCTGTAATCCCAGCTACTTGGGAGGTTGAGGCAGGAGAATGACTTGAACCCGGGAGGCAGAGGTTGCAGTGTGCCGAGACCACGCCACTGTAATCCAGCCTGGTGACAGAGCAAGACTCCGTCTCAAACAAACAAACAAAAAACAAACAAACAATAACTTCACCTCAACATTATCTGTGGGTTAAAAAGAAATCAACAAAAATTATTAAATATTTAGAATTGAATGATAATGAATGCACTTAATGTCAACATTTACAGGGTGCAGTTAAAGCAGTGCTTACAGGGAAATGTATAGACTTCAGTGCGTGTATTGTGATCATTAGAGCTCTTACTAGCTCTGCATTCTGTGCAAATCTAGAGTAGGCATCTTCTGTTATTTTTTTCTTTCAAAGCTCTTGTCACACGTACAATTGCCCCTTGGTATCTGTGAGAGGTTGGTTCTAGGACTCCCCTCGGATACCAAAATTCGAGGATGCTCAAGTCCCTTGTATAAAATGGTGTAGTATAATATTTACATATAATCTATGCATATCCTCCCTTAGACTTTAAATCAAGTCTGACTACTTATAACACCCAATACAATGTAAATGCTATGTAAATAGTTGTTATATTACATTGTTTTTTATTGCTGTATTTTTTTTTTTTACTTATTTATTCTTGAGACAGTTTCACTCCGTCACCCAGGCTGGAGTGCGGTGGCGCAATCTTGGCTCACTGCAACCTACACCTCCCAGGTTCAAGCAATTCTCCTGCCTCAGCCACCCCAGTAGTTGGGATTACAGGTGCACACCACCATGCCTAGCTGATTTTTTTGTATTTTTACTAGAGACAGGGTTTTACCATGTTGGCCAGGTTGGTTTTGGACCCCTGACCTCAGGTGATCTGCCTACCTCGGCCTCACAATGTGCTGCGATGACAGGCGTGAGCCATTGTGCCCGGCCTATTCTTTTTTTTTTAAGAGTATTTTTGATCCATGGCTGATTGAACCTGTGGATGCAGAACTTGCAGGTACAGAGGAACAACTGTATGTATTTATTTATAAGCATACTTCTTAGTGTCTGCTCCCCTGACTAGACTGTACACTCTATCAGGGTAGGAACTGTAGCTGTTTTGCTTGTCACTGTATTGCCAGCGTTTAACACAAAGCTACACACATAATAGGTGTCCAATAAATATTTCTTAAATATGTGTTTGTCTAAGAAATATGTGTTTATTATTAATGAAGTCACACCCTATTCTCTTTAAAAATGGATTTGAGATTGTCTGTAATAAATACATATAACATGTTAGGCCAGGCACGGTGGCTCCCACCTGTAATCCCAGCACTTTGGGAGGCCAAGGCAGGCAGATCACCTGAGGTTAGGAGTTCAAAACCAACCTGGCTAACACGGCAAAACCCCATCTCTACCAAAAATACAAAAATTAGCCAAGCACGGTGGCAGGCGCCTGTAATCCCAGCTACTTGGGAGACTGAGGCAGGAGAATCACTTGAACTCGGGAGGTGGAGGCTGCAGTGAGCCGAGATCGCACCATTGTACTCCAGCCTGGGTGACAGAGCAAGACTCCATCTCAAAAGAAAAAAAAAAAGCCATATAGGATGCCAGTTAAAAGGACAGCTTAGCAGCAGGATGAGAAAATTGGGAGAAGAAGTGGGAGAGTCAGTAACTGAGTGTGTATTGTGGGGCGGGGGGGCGGGGGCAGCATTGGGAATGCTAGTTCCCAGGTAACCTTCGCTCCTCCCAGGGCCAGGCTTGGGGGCAGCTAAGAAGGTGGCAGGAGGAGGGGGATAAGGTACTGGTTGAGAAGTCAGACTGAAGAGGTTGAGTAGATTCCCTGCAGATAGTAGAGGAGAGATGTTGGGGGTTGACCTTTGGGAGTGGAGAACAGGGCTCTCACACCAAGTAGGCGGGTGGTGGGGAAAAAGGTGGAGGTGAGAAGCAGAACATTTTTGTTCATTCATTCATTCATTCATTCATTTCACAGTCTGAGGGACTATGTGAATAGAGGCTGCAGAGCTGGGTTAGAATGGACCAGTGGCTGCATTGGCTTTGAGCTCCCAGCACCAAGCTCTGGTGCCCTCTGGGGTAGCTGGATGGGCCCCTTCTGTGCTCAGCAAAGGACAAGAGTCTAGTTCCACAAAACACCCAATTCAGTTTTAGTTCAGCTCAACCGTCCACCTAGCTTGACTTTCTGGTCCTCAGTTTCTGTGTTCATAATAGCTCCTTCTTGAGAGGACACTTGATACTATTCTTCTCACTGAGCGGGACAGCTTTGATGAGCCATTTTTATGGCTCTTTTTAAGTGCATTGCCAAAGAGTTATTTTCAAAGAGGGGTTTACATGAAGAAACCTCCACCTGGAGCGAGAAGACTAGTATCGGAGTCCTGGCTCTGTCACTTTCCAGTTGTGTAACTTTGGACAAGTTGCTTTCCCTCTCTGAACCTCAGTTTTCAACTGTAAAAATGGGTATAAAAAGAGTAATGTCTGCCTCACAGGATAAATAGCATAAATATAGGTAAAAAGCAATGAACTTGTGTGTGTGTGCATGTGTGTGTGTGCTAGGAGGGTGTGTAAACTATAAAATCTTATGCAAATATCAAATTTTAGTATTATTCAAGGTCTCCCCTTTGCCTGTAGTTCCTCCCTGTGTCCACCCCCTTGAGATCCTTTGTGAATCCCACCATAAACTTTGCATACCCTCTTCTCCCCTGGCTGAGTCTAAATTAATTTCTCCCAATGGTGTCTTCCAGCCACACCATATATGGACCTCTCTGGGGCCCTCTCACTAGGTGCCCTGTATAGGAATTCCTTGTGCTTGGTCTGCCCTTTCTGAACTACATATCCATGACATTTAGAGTTAGAAACTGAAGAAAGTGACCTCGACTTAACATTTCTGGATCCCTAAGATCTAGCATGGTGCCCTACACATAGCAAGAGCTCAAAAAATGTCTGTTGGCCGAGTGTGGTGGCTCGAGTCTATAATCCTTGCACTTTGGGAGGCCGAGGCAAGAGGATTGCTTGAGGCCAGGACTTCAAGACCAACCTGGGAAACACAGTGAGATCTAATCTCTACAAAAAATTATAAAAAATTGGCCAGGTATGGTGGCATGCATCAATAGTCCTACCTACTTAGGAGGCTGAGGCAGGAGGATTGCTTGAGCTCAGGAACTTGAGGCTGCAGTGAGCTGTGATCACGCCATTGCACTCCAGCCTGGGCAACAGAGACCATGTCTCAAAAAAAAAAAAAAAGGCTGTAGTACTAAATGCTCTTAAGCCTTTGTTAATTTATCCAAACCAATATTTTCCAGGGTAAACATTTTTTAGAGTTTTGTGAATTACAGAAACAGTAAAACACATTAAATACAATTTTGAGGTAAGAAAAAAATTATCTAGAATCCTACCACTAGTAGTCAATGCTTATTTTCATTCTTGTTTATTCTTTTCCAGTCTTTGTTTTTATGCCTGAAGATTTTACATTGCTGCTAATATCACGTGTTTCATGTTCTTTTTTCCATTTCACATTATCTCAAACATTTGTGTACTTTCTACATTTTCATAATGATGTTTTTAATGGCATAGAGTAGATGTACCAAAATTCATATGTTTTTCCCCAATCACACATGGAACTGTTACTAGAATTACGTATTAGATCACAGAGGAACTCTCAAAACATTCCAGAGAATCAACATTATACAGAACATGTTTTCAGACCACAATGCAATAAAATTAGAAATCAACCACAGAGAAAGCAAGCTATCAAAACCTTCTACGTTATGAAACAAAAAAACCCCCAAACTTCTAAATAATTCATAGTTAAAGAGTAAACCAATGTCAATTAATTAAATATTTAGAATTAAATGATAATGAGGCCAGGAGTGGTGGCTCACGACTGTAATCCCAGTACTTTGGGAAGCTGAGATGGGTGGATCACCTGAGGCCAGGAGTTCAAGACCAGCCTGGCCAACACGGAGAAACCTCATCTCTTCTAATATTATGAAAATTAGCCAGGCGTGGTGGTGTGCACCTGTAATTCTAGCTACTCGGGAGGCTGAGGCAGGAGAATTGCTTGAACCTGGGAGGCGGAGGTTGCAGTGACCTGAGATTGCACCATTGCACTTCAGCCTGGGTGACAGAGTGAGACCCTGTCTCAAATAATAATAATAATAATAATAATAATAAAAAGGTTAGAAATTCGAAACCACTATATATGTATACTGGAATTAAACTTTTCTTTAACCTTTATTTTAGGTTCAGGGGTACATGTGCAGGTTTGTTATACAGGGAAACCCATGTTACGGGGGTTTGTTGAACATTTAAGTAAACAGATGGGACCCAGAGTTTCACTGCTCCCAGCAAGTGGTTGTAATGGGAGGTTATACATAAGCAAAGCATTGAACTTGAAGTTGAATGATCCATGTGGTAATGGATGAGAGTTGGAGACAGCAGATGAACTTATGTTTAGCTCAATAGAAATACAGATGATTACATATAGAATTTTGTATAGATATGTGTGGATAAATGGTCAGTATACACACATATATTTCTTCGCCTTGCCAACTGAGGGCCTAGAAGCAATGACCACCAGTAGCAACAATCACACCTAGTGCTCAGATCTTGGTTTCTAATACCATTCTCCAGTGAAAAGAACCAGGGTTCTTGGAAAAACGTCTGATTCTAGGACTAGACAGGAAATATACAAGATGAGCCTGGAGCATCTTTTAGTGCCAAAAAATAAGGAAATGCTCAGATATAAAACAACTCACATTGATGAGGGTATGTCTAAGACACACAGGAGCCCACCGAAAGTGCTCCCAGTGGCCAAGGCTGGAATAATTTGAGCAACAAAATAAATAACACAGTATTGGATTATAATCCAAAGTAAATAAATATCCATGAATCCATACTGATACAAATACATGGTTGAATAAATAAATTAATGGGGAGAATAGACAAGCCTCCTGTGCAGAGGAATTTCAATTATGTAGAGGCTCTGCCTTCCAGGAGGTGGAACATAACTTCCTATTCCTTATGTGTGGGCTTAGCATAGTGATTTTCTTCCAAAAAGTACATTATGGGTGGGGCGTGGTGGCTCATGCCTGTAATCCTAGCACTTTGGGAGGCCGAAGCGGGTGGATCACTTGAGTCAGGAGTTCAAGAACAGCCTGGCCAACATGGCGAAACCCTGTCTCTACTAAAAATGCAAAAATTAGCCAGGCCTGGTGGCAGGTGCCTGTAATCCCAGCCCCTTGGGAGGCTGAGGCAGGAGAATTGCTTGAACCCAGGAGGCGGAGGTTGCAGTGAGCTGACATCGCGCCACTGCACACTAGCCTGGGTGACAGAGCAAGACTCTGTCTAAAAAAAAAAAAAAAAAAAGTACATTATGGAAGGGGTGATGGAGGACGAGTAACTTTACAGTAGAGAAACCTGACAAGCACTACCTTAGCTGTGTGATCAAGGTTAACATCAACAGCGATATCCTATCAATAGTATAAGCCCTTGGTATGATGTCATGAGAATGACACTTTACTTCTGTGATCTCCCTCTCAAAAGAACCATAACCTTGTGGCTTGCACCTGTAATCCCTGCACTTTGGGAGGCCAAGGTGGGCCGATCACCTGAGGATCACCTGAGGTCAGGAGTTCAAGACCAGTCTGGCCAACATGGTGAAACCTCATCTCTACAAAAATACAAAAATTAGCCGGGTGTGGTGGCGGGCACCTGTAATCCCAGCTACTCGGGAGGCTGAGGCAGGAGAATCACTTGAACCTGGGAGGCAGAGGTTGCAGTGAGCCGAGATCATGCCATTGCACTCCAGCCTGGGTGACAGAGCGAGACTCCATCTCAAAACAAACAAACAAACCAACAAACATACAAATATAACCTCAGTGTAAACATGAGAAGACTATCAGATGAATCCCAGTTGAGGAACATTCTACAAAATACCTGACCAGTACTCCTTAAAACTGTTAAGGTCATGAAAAACAAGGAACACCGGAGACACTGTCGCAGACAAAAGGGGCCGAAGGAGACATGATGATTAAATGTAACGCAGCATCCTGGATGGGATCCTGGAATCGAGAAAGGACATTAGGTTCCTTCAATCCCATCCATGTTGTTGCAATTGACAGGATCTTCCTGAGGCAGGAGGATCATTCTTTTTTGTGGCTGAATAATGTTCCGTTGTGTATACATAATACATTTTCTTTATCCATTCCTCTGTTGATAGACACTTAGGTTGATTCCATGTCTTGGCTATTGCGAATGGTGCCACAATAAACATGCAACTGTGGGTGTCTCTTCAAAAGACTAATTTTCTTTCTTTTGGATATATACCACTAGGGATTGCTGGATTTTACATTGCTCCTTTCTCTCCTGGATCTCATATAATAAATAAAATAATAAATATTCCAAAAAGAAAAAGGAAAAGGACATCAGGTAAAAACAGAGGAAATCTGAATTAAAGTATGGGTTTTAATTAATAATAATGTATTGGAGCTGGGTGTGGTGGCTCACGCCTGTAATCCCAACACTTTGAGAGGCTGAGGTAGAAGAATCACTTGAGTCCAGGAGTTCAAGACCAGCCTGGGCAACATAAAGAGACCCCATCTCTTAGCCAGGTGTGGTGGCGTGTGCCTGTGGTCCCAGCTACTCGGGAGGCTGAGGCAGGAGGATCACTTGAGCCCAGGAGGTCAAGGCTGCAGTGAGACGTGATTGCACCACTGCACTTTAGCCTGGGTAACAGAGTAATAATAATAATAATAATAATAATAATAATAATAATAATAATGTATTGTGGTTCATTAATAATGACAAATATATCATACTAATATAAGATGTTAAGTAAGGGAAATTGAGAGGGGTTATATGGAAACTTTCCAGTTCCTATCTTCATAATTTTTCTTTAAATCTAAAACTATTACAAAATGAGATGCTTATTTTAAAATGATAATGAAAGTCTTGGGTAAAATTTCTAAGGAGCAGTTAAAGCCGTATTTCGAGGGAAATTTATAAACTTAAAATGCATGTGTGTTATAGTCATTAATACTGTTCCCCAAACATTCCCAGCTCTTTGCCTTGTGGCACATGATAGGCCTGCATTTCCTGGTCTCTTTCAGTTACATGGGGCCAATGAGTTGTGAGCTGAAGTGAAGTGTGTCACTTCTAGGAGGACACATTTAATGATTGGTACAAGACCATCCAGCACTCTCTTTCTCTCTTCCATGGCAATCACCAACATTTCAGATAGTGGCTGCTCCATTAGCTGAGGTCCTAGCATGGACATGACAAAGAGCACAGCCCCTGGCCAACCTATGTTGGGCCAGCAGCATGAAGGAAAGGCTCCACGGAGCAGAGCTCACCTTGCAAGGTTATGTGCATAAAATATAAACTTTGTTTTTTAAGTCACATGATTGTTGGAACTCTCATAATAGCAGCTTGGGTTCTTAACATCCTAATTAACACAGGAATAGATAAATAAACCAATAAAACAGATCAGAGGACCCGAGAACAGATTTCTATCTATATATAAGAATGTAGCATATGTTAGAGATGTCACCACTAATCATTAGGGAAAAGAAAGACTATTTAATAACAGAGCTGTGACATGTCATTAACAAAAGTAAAATATAGATGTTTTAGTGACCTAAACATGAAAAACAGTTAGAAGAAATTATAAGAAAATATTTTTCATGACCCAGGATAGAGAATGATTTCTCAAACAAGAAAGACACAGTAAGAACATCCTATAAAATAAAAAAATAGATTACTTAACTTTGCTAAAATTAAATCTTATCTCAGGCAAAATATACCATGTGCAAGATTAAAAGGTGAACAATTTACTGGGAGATATTTGCAATATATAATGTATCTATCAGAATATATAAAGAATTTCTATAATCTGTAAGAAAAAGACAACCCAACAGAAAAATGAGAAACATATGAACAGAAAATTCATACAAAGGAATATTCAAATAGCCACTAAAGCCATGAAAAGAAAAGTGAGATACTATTTTTTGCCCAGTCCACCAGATTGGGAAAAATTAAAAGGCCTAACAATATAAAGTGTTGCCGGATGCAGGGGTTCATACCTGTAATCCCAGCACTTTGGGAGGCCGAGATGGAGGATTGCTTGACCCGGGTGGTCAAGGCTGCAGTGAGCTATGATTGATTGCACCATTGTACTCCAGGATGGACAACAGAGCAAGACCCTGTCTCTAAAGAATAAATAAATAAAATAAAGTGTTGATGAGGGTATTGAGAAAATGATAGCATTATTACAAATAAGCAGCAGCTAATAACATTTAAAAATGTACATCCTTGCCATGATCATGCCACTGCATTCCTGCCTGTGCGACAGAGTGAGACCCTGTCTCTAAAAAAAAAAAAAGAAAAAAGAAAGAAAGAAAGTACATCCTCTATGAGCTATTCAAAAAATCCCATTTCTAAATATATTCCCTGGAGAAATTCTGTCATGTGCATATGCCAGATGTATATTGCATCGTTGTTTGCAACTGGCCAAATATTAAAAACAATCTAAATGACCATCTATAGGGGAATGAATTAATAACATGATATGTTTATATGATGGGATATTATACAACAGTTTTAGAGGAATTAACTAGATCTACATATATCCACATGCATAGTTTTAAGTTATATAATGTTGGGTAGATAGAAAAAAGATTCAGAATGATATGAAAAGCATATCACTCATATACATTTTAAAATGTAAAAATAGCATGCCTTATTTGTGGATACATATGAATGGATGGAAACATTTTTAAAATATGAGGATTTACCTCAAACTCATAATAATGGTTCCCTCTTGGAGAAAGGGTATAGAACCAGGGATGGCCATTAGAAGGGACTTTAGCTATATCCGTAATGTGTAATTTCCTTAAAAGAAAAAAAATAACAGCAAGCATATGTGACAAAAATATGAACTTTGTTAAATGTATCAGTCAAGGTCCAGTCAGGAGACAGAAACCACACAGAAAAAAGTAATATAAAAAGCAATTAACTGAAAAAATTAATAAAAGGTGGTTACCAACTAAGAGGGGAAAAGGTACCTTTAAAGAGGGGTAGCAGACATGGGGGGCAGTTACTACCTCTAGGGCTCAGGAAGCACACCCAAGGAACCATGGCACTTGGGAGAAACCCCCAACCCATGTCTGGGAGTCAGACCTTAGAGAGGGTGGGGCTGTGGACCATGTGGAGAGGTTCACCGAGGTGCTTCAAGCCAAAGCTGGGCCACAGCTGACAGGCCAGGGCTGGCAAGCAGAAAGCCAACCACAGGGGTGCCAGTGTAAATTGCCAGAGGGTAAGCACCACTGGGTCTCCCATACGCTGCTGGCAGCTGTGTCCTGGGAACAGGAATTGAACTCAGGAACCAGGAAGAGAAGCCCATTCTTCTGCTGTGCCTCGTGATGTTCCTCTAGAGCCCTCTATCCACAAAACCAGTGTGCGTAGAGGAGAAGTGTTTACAGGGTCCAGCTGCAGTAACATGAAGCAGGCAAATGATGGCAGGTTTGGTGCCAAGAGGCAATACATTGATTACTGGCACATTAATGATAAATGGTAAGAATATAGGTGTTGCTTGTATTATTCTTTATTTCTTTAGCGCTCAAGACTCTCAAAATAAAATGTTAAATGATTCCAAGTTAAAGAATTTTTTAAAAAATATTCTTACTGGTTAAAAAGTTAACCAGTAATGGAATAAAAACTTATTCCAGGCTGGGCATGGTGGCTCACACCTGTAATCCCAACACTTTAAGAGGCCTAGGTGGGCGGATCACTTGAGGTCAGGAGTTCAAGGCCAGCCCGGCCAACACGGTGAAACCTTGTCTCTACTAGAAATACAAAAATTAACCAAGCATGTTGGTGCACGCCTGCACTCCCAGCTACTTGGGAGGCTGAGGCAGAAGAATCACTTGAACCTGGGAGGCAGAGGTTGCAGTGAGCCAAGATCATGTCACTGCACTCCTGCCTGGGTGACAGTGAGACTCTGTCTCAAAAACAAAACAAAAAACTTCTTCCAAAACACTAGGGAAGAAAGGTAAAAGGGACAGCAAAGATTAGAAGATCAGAATCTTTGAAAGCAAAATTAAAAGTCAACCAGGAGGTAAAACTAAGGGTCATTTGTTTCTGCCAAAGGAATTATTTCCCTCTATCAATAAGGCAAAACCAGTTAAATACAGAAAAAAATGTAAATGGACAAAACCTACATATTAAAAAAAAAGACTTAAAGATTGAGTCAAAAATCTAAAATCAAATCATGTGATGTTTATAAGAGACACCCCTAAAACAGCGACAGAAAAAAATTTACCCTAGTAGGATGAATCTCCCCATGACAAGTCTATCCTCTTTGGTGCCCTTTCTTTCTTCCCTTCTCCACCTATCGAAACCCTTCTAATAGATAGATGTATTTGTACATGCCTGGAATCTCTCTTGAAGAATAAGCAAGAAGCTGATAACATTGGTTGACTCCAGGGAGGTGAACCGGGTGACTGACTGGAGGATAGAGGTGGGAGGGAGATTTCACCTTTTGAATTGTGAATTATGTACATATATTACTTTTTTTTTTTAAAGAACAAGCCAAACAAACTAAAAATGAAACCAAACTGTATGATCCTTAAGTGAAAGCCATCCCCTTTCCTCAAAAAATTAAAAATAGAATTATCATGTGATGCAGCAATTCTGCTTCTGGGTATATGCTCAAAAGAATTGAATGCAGAATCTTGAAAAGATATTTGTGGCAGGGCGCAGTGGTTCATGCCAGTAATCCCAGCACTTTGGGAGGCCGAGGTGGGCAGACAACTTGAGGCCAGGAGTTAGAGACCAGCCTGGCCAACATGGTGAAACTCCGTCTCTACTCAAAACACAAAAATTAGCCGTGCATGGTGGCGGGCACCTGTAGTCCCAGCTACTTGGGAGGCTGAGGCAGGAGAATGGCTTGAATCTGGGAGGCGGAGGTTGCAGTGAGTTGAGATCGCACCACTGCACTCCAGCCTGGGTGACAGAACAAAGCTCCATCTTGAAAAAAAAAAAGAAAAATAGAAAATATTTGTACACCCATGTTCATGGCAGCATTAGTCACAATAGCTAAAACGGGGAAGTAATGCAGGTATCTATCAAAAGATGAATGGATAAGCAAAATGTGGTAGGTGCATATGATGGAATACTATTCAGCATGAAAAAGGAAGGAAATCCTGACACGTGCTACAACATGGATGAGCCTTGAGGATAGTGAAGTAAGTCTGTCCCAAAAGGACAAATACTGTATGATTCCATTCATATGAGGTACTTAGAGTAGTCAAATTCATAGAGACAGAAAGTAGAATGAGTTGCCAGGGCCTGTGAGGAGGGTGGGGAATGGGGAGTTGTTTAATGGATACAAAGTTGCAGTTTGGGAAGATGAAGAGTTCTGTGGGTGGATGATAATGATGGTTTTACCTAATATGAATTTACTTAGTATCACTGAATTATACACTTCAAAATGGTGAAGATGGTAAATTTTATGTTACATGTAATTTTGCCACAACAAAAAAATTGAAAAAGAGGCCAGGAGTGGTGGCTCACACCTGTAATCCCAGCACTTTGGGAGGCTGAGGCAGACAGATCACTTGAGGTCAGGAGTTTGAGATCAGCCTGGCCAACATGATGAAACTCCATCTCTACTAAAAATACAAAAATTAGCAGGCATGGTGGTGGGCGCCTGTAATCCCAGCTACTTGGGAGGTTGAGGCAGGAGAATCACTTGAGCTGGGAGGCAGAGGTTGCAGTGAGCCAGATCATACCACTGCACTCCAGCCTTGGTGACAGAGTGAGGCTCCGTCTCAAAGCAAGAAAAAAAAAAAAAGGAAAAGAAAGAGGCATAGTTGCCCCCTTCCAAGAGGCCCCCTTCCCACACATCTCCCTCTTCTCTGACCCTGTGTTGCTCTTAGGAAAGTTCAGCCCATCTCTAGGCATGTTAGTTTCCTGGCAAAACCACAGACTCAGATCCTTGAGGACAGGCCTCTTTTATTCTTTTTTTTTTTTGACAAACAAACAAAAAACTACCCCTCCATACTCCTGGACGGCAAAATTTTTAACGAATGCTTGATGGAATTGGCATATTTAGCTTCCTAGGCCAAATCTACCCTTGGAGAGCATACTTTCTGGGGCTCTGGAAATAGGAACACTGCCAACTTGACCACTGTGCTGTGGTGGAAAGAGCGCAGGCTTTGGAGTCAGCTGACTGGGATTGAAATGCCAGCTCGGCCACTGTGGCTTCCGGCAAATAAGTACACCACCCCGGCCTCAGTTTTCTTCACCAAATAATGGGATAATAATGTGTGCATAAATACAATGTGGTTCTTCAGAAGGATGGATTTGGTGAAAAATACACATAATGCAGACCATTCTTATCTGTTTTCTACATGGAGAGAGCTTGTGGATAGAGCACTTATTCCTCTCCTGACTGTGCCTTTTCCTATCTTTATGTCAGGAGGCAGAGAGAACTCTGCTGAGGGAACAAAATGCTTTTTTGTTTATTTTTCCTTTTTATAACTTTTGTCTTTTGAGGTCATAGTAAATTCACATGCAGTTGTAAGAAGTAAAACAGAGAGATCCCATATACCCTTCATCCAGTTTCCCCAGTGGAAACATCTTGCATAGCTATAGTACAGTGGCACAAGCCAGAGATTGACACGGGTACTACCCATTGACCATATTCAGGTTTCACCAGTTTTACATTCACATGTGTTTGTGTGTGTGTGTTGAGTTCTATGCAGTTTTATCCCACGTGCAGATGTGTAGATCCTCAGGCTACCCTTTTACAGCCACAGGTCTTAGTTCTGTTTAAGGGCTCCTGTTTCAGAAGGATATTTATCCTACATGCATCATTGAAGTTTCCTTCAAAGACTCCAATCTTCACAGCTCCACTACTGCCTTTATCTTTCTTTTTCTTCCACATCTTAAAGGTTCCTTAGAGAGTTGGAACAGGCCGGGAGTGGTGGCTCATGCCTGTAATCCCAGGACATTGGGAGGCCAGGGTAGGAGGATCACTTGAGCCCAGGAGTTTAAAATCAGCCTGGGCAAAATAGTGAGACCCCACCTCTTAGAAAAAAGAGAGAGAGGGAGAGAGAGAGAGAGAGAGTTGGAACAAGTAACGGGTGCATCAGAGAATTCCCTACTCATCTTCATTAAAATGTGTCCTACGTCCCCTGGAGCCCCCTAGACTTGAGAAGGGCCCCTATTCCAGCAGAGGCCTTTGGGTGACAGGCCACCCATGTGTCTTCAGACATGCACTAAACTTGCCCCCTCCCATTTCACCGTGACCCAGTGGCACTGAAGAGAAGCCATCATTCCTATTAACTTATCTGAGGGCCAGTAGGCTCCTGAGAGCTGGATTTACCACCTGATTAGTGTGGTGAAGTCCTGCCTTCCAGCCTGGGCCAGTGTGGGCTCAAAGTGTTCCCACCTTGGTGAGCTCCAAACCTCCTGAATTACCTTTCTCTCCCTTCGCGGGGGACTTCCTTAGAGCTGCAAGTTCCAATTCTGGGTCTTTTCATCCTTATAAGGCAATAGAGTCCTTGGGTGCTTGGGGGTGTGCCAAAGGAGCAGCTGGCGAAGTCAGGGACCCAGAACTCTCAATATGTTCCCATCAGTTGGACTTGTGCTCATTGAAAAGTGAAAAGTGGATCCCATCAAAGGTGCCCCTTTCTTTGTTCCCTGGGATCCACTTTTCAGATATGTGCTTTGTGGCCTCAATGATACTGGTGATCTAATCTCTCTGGGCCTCAGTCTTCCCATCTGTGAAATGGAACCAACAGGCCCCTCCCAGGGCTCTCATTGATGCTTCAGTGAGATAACGGCTGCAGCAGGCCCACAGCCTTGATGGCAAGTGCTCAGTGAAAAGAGCTGTCAGATGCCATCCTATTTGTCATGCTTCTCCTCACTCCCCAGTCACCCGCCGTACGTGTCACTCCACGGGGGCTGGATATGCCACCCTCATCCTTCCATATCTTTGTCTAGATTAATTGTCCTAAGAATTGGGTCTCATCTCGAGGGTGGGAGGAGAAACCAAAACAGGTGATGTGTAATCAGGGACTTAACATGACTCAACTGTACCCTGGCTGCATCCCCTGTTTCCCAGGCCATTTAAGCCACTTCCAATTATACAAGATTAACTTGCTTGCTAGGACTCCCAGAGAAACCTGAGGTCCCGGTCTCTGTCTCTCTCTGTCTCTCTCTGTCTCTCTCTCTCTCTTTCCCCTCTCTGTCTCTCTCTCTCTCTCTTTCTCCTCTCTGTCTCTCTCTCTCTCCTCTTTCTCTCTCTTTTTCACGGCCCAGGACAGAATAACTCAGAGCTTCCCTTGGGAGGGTGCTCAGGACACACAGCAAGAGGCAGAGCTCAGATCTTGCTTCTTTTCTTCCTTGGCCTCTCACACCCCTGCCGCCAACCCATGAAATCCTGCATCCCAGGGCGTCCCTGGGGGGGCAGTGGCCCATCTTTCTTTGCAGGGAGGCAGGGTTGGCAGGATTTGGCTAATAAGAACCAGCTGTGTTGTTGGTGGGTTTTATTCTGCCCCTCCCCTGCCCTTGCTCTGATAGCTGTGAGAAACTGATGACAACCTGTTTGACCTCTGATCTCCGAACTTGACCCGCTGCTAATACCTCCAGCTGCTGATTGCTGGCCGAGCCCTTTGTCTCAGGTTGTTTGGGAGCCAAGACAGACAAATGATTTCTATTTGTCCTCTGGTGCCGCGGACGGAGCTGATCGATAGGAACCGCGAATGATGTCAAGGATTTGTCACCATGGCTTATGAATGACAAAAACGCTCCTCGACTCCCCCCTCTACCTTTTCCCCCTCCCCAAAGAAACACCTTTTGGGGGAAAAAGAATGAAAGCCTGAGAAGGCATATTGATTTTTTTTTTTTTTGCTTTCTTAAATAGCAGCTCGAGCCACAAAAGAGAGAAAGACAACACTTTTCTGTGCTAAAATGCAGCAAAAAGCTTCCCAGAGAACGAGACTGGTGATTAGATCAGCTATTGCATTTAAGTACCACAGCCTGCCTCACAGCACAACTGCTCAATTTCGTCTGCTGAAGGCTGTACCATTTCTCCCCGATTTCTGATCATTCCAGACACAAGGGAGGCTCCCAGCAAGAAGGCACTTTGCTCTCTCTCACTTCTTCATCTGCCTTCAGCTTGGTGACCATCTCTCTCCCTTTTTCTCCTTCAATCTCCTTCTTTTTTCCTGGTTGGGCATGGGTTGGACACCCTGGTATGTGAGCCTGAGCTGGTTTCCAGCCTTTAGCTAGAGCTTATCACAGCCTTTGAATTTGGATGCTTATTTGGAAAAGAAAAGACAGAAGGTGGGGATGTGATCTCAACGGCAGGGGACACACAGCTTGGGAAAGCCCCTCTCAGTCTCCCACACAGGGGTGGGGGCAAGTTTCAGAGGGAGGCTGGGGAGGCAGCCCATTCCTCTGGAAAGGTGGAAAGCCCCAAAGCAGGGAGGGCAGCAGGGCGCCCCCTCCTTCCACTTCAACATCTGATGCCTTCAGTGAGAGCCTCTCTGTGCTGGCACGGGACCACAGGGAGAGTGAGATCTGTCTGCTTGTCCTTGGGGAGCTCACCCTCTAGGACAGATGAGCAAACCATGGCAGGGCAGCCAGATGGATGCATGCTGGGGCAGAGGAGAGCAGGGAGTGGGGAAACCTGAAGTGGCAACAAGGGTTTGCGGGGGGCGGGGGGTTGGGATCACTAGAGGAGGGGACACCTTTGTTGAGCTTGGACAAATAAGCAGCAGTAGAAAGAGGGCCACTGCATTCCAGGCTGTAGAGACCAAGGACCTCATCCAGCCTGTGGTGTGGACTCTAGGCTATGCCTTATTGGAGGCCCCAGAGTGAGCAGCCATTGCATGAACGACTCAGAGACTCCATTTTCTCATCTGTGAAATGGACACGGCAATGGCATCCACCTCATAAGGTTGCCAAGAGTATCACATGGGATAATCCATGCAAAGTGTTGATACTGTCTTGTCATACATGTGGCTGTTCTTGTTTTTATTCTTTTTAGCTGTTAATATTTGAAGACTTGCTTCTAATCTGGAGATTCCTCAGTCAAGCTGACTGAATGAGGGTGGAGGGAGACAGCTACTACTTCCCACACACCCTAAGTAGAACCACGACCTGGGTGTAGCGGGGAAGCCAAATAAATGGGGCTCTGGCAGGACAAGGCCGCTGACCAAGGTCAGAGCATGGCTCTGGAGAAGACCAGAATGACCTCTCTCCTCAAGCACAGGCCCTGGGCATAGACAGCAGAGAATGCCTGCTCCCAGATGAGGCTTAGACAGAGTAACTACAAGGGCACAAGGCTATGTAGGACTCAGTACTGACTGCTTGGACTATTGCAGTAGCCACCTACCTGGCCTTGGGTCTCTCCCATCCACTGTCTACACCACCATCAGGTTGACCATCCCACCTCACATCAGATCATGACACTTCTCTGTTTGGATCCCTCCAGTGGCTCCTCATTCTCTCTAGGATAAAGCAAAAACGTCTTATACCAGCATTCAAGGCCACCCTGTAGTCACCTGTTTTGCATCATGCTAACCACACAAATCATACATCCTGTGTGGCTCTACTACCTGGCCTTTGCTCAAGCTAGTTCCTCTACCTGAAATGCCTCCTTCGCCTCCATTTTAGTAGGAATTCTCCTTTCTTTCTCCATTTCTTCCCACAGCACACTGTTCTTCCATTCTAGTACTTACAGCCCTTGATCAGAACGATTCTGTTCACTTCTGTCTCCTGCCTAGATTGAGGGCTCTGAAGGCCAGGAGCCATGCTGTGCAGAGGCCATCACACCAGATAACTGTGTACTGAATGGAATATTTGGAAAGTGCTTGAATCTTAGAGAAAACTTAGGAAGTGGTGAGGGGTGGTGGCATGGGAGCAGGAGGTGCTGCGCTTTAACAAAAGACAATGGTAGGCAAAGTATTTACTTTTCAGATCGATCAAAATGTGAGGTGATTAAAGTCAGGGTGTTTGCCATCTGTGACTCACAAATAGCTGCTCAATTAAAATGTTTGCCAGGTCCAGTGGCTCATGCCACTCAACACTTTTTTGGGAGGTTGAGATGGGAGGATTGTTTGAGCCCAGGAATTCAAGACCAGCCTGGACAACATAGTGAGACTCCATCTCAACAAAAAATTTAAAAATTAGCCAGCCTTGGTAGTGCATGCCTGTGGTCCCAGCTACTCAGGAGGCTGAGGTGCAAGGATGGCTTGAGCCTGAGAGGTCAAGGCTGCTGTGAGCTGAGATTGTGCTGCTGCACTCCAGCCTGAGTGACAGGGCAAGACTCTGTCTCAAAAAAATTTTTTTGTAACACTGAAAATATAACATACTTATAATGGAAAATTCAAGCAATATGGAAAAGTAGGTCAGGTTCAGTGGCTCATGCCTGTAATCTAGCACTTTGAGAGGCCGAGGCCAGAGGATCACTTGAGGTCAAGAGTTCAAGACCAGCCTGGACAACATAGTGAGACCCTGGTCTCTAGAAAAAATAAAATAAAAATTAGCTGGGTGTGATGGCATGCACCTGTAGTCCTAGCTACTTGGGAGGCTGAGGTTGGAGGATCACCTGAGCCCTGAGTTTGAGGCTACAGTGAGCTATAATTGGTTATGCCACTGTACTCAAGCCTGGTCAACAGAGTAAGACTGTCTGAAAGAAAGAAAGAAAGAAAGAAAGAAAGAAAGAAAGAAAGAAAGAAAGAAAGAAAGAAAGAAAGAAAGAAAGAAAGAAAGAAAGAAAGAAAGAAAGAAAGAAAGAGAGAAAGAGAGACAGAAAGAGAGAAAGAAAAAAGAAAGAAAGAAAAAGAAAGAATTAAAAAAAGTTTTAAATGAAAAAGTATAAAAAGGTAGTAAAATCCTCTTAAAATCCTCTTGTATTGATTAGAACTATTTCTTCTACCCGTGGTAGAAAACAGCTCAAACTAGCTGAAGTGTAAGGGGATTATTGGCTCTTGGGACAAAGAAGCATGGTCAGGCTCAAATGATGCCCTCTGGATCTGCTCTCTCTCTCACACTGTCTCGCTCTCACTCTCTGGCATCCCTTGGCTCTCCTCCATGCTGGTTTTATAGGCAGGCTTCCCCTTCGTGATTCCAGGGCAGCTACAGCTGTTCCAAATCTCACATCTCGAAGCTTTGGGTCCAGCAGGGAAAAAAAACTGTCTATGACAGATTGTCTTTTCTGTAGAAGGCCACATGCTATCTCCATCTTACATGCTCTTCTGCAATGTGACCTTGTAACTTCCCCATCAAGAGGTGGGGTCTAATTCCCCTCCTCTTGCATCTGAGCTGGCTTTAGTGACTCATTTGCAACCAAGAGAATGTGGCAAAGTGGTGCTGACATGGTTTCTGAGGCTAAGTCAGAAGCCTTGCCCCTTTTGCTTTGGCCTCTTAAAATACCCTCCAGAGTCTTCCCTCTTAAAGACGCCACCCCTGGGAACCGGATGACAAGCTGTCAGAAGTCCAAGCTACATTCAGCCCGCGTGTAGGTGCTCCAGTTGACAGCTCCAGCTAAGCCCAGCCTTCCAGTGACTCCAGGTCTGAAGAGCTCTCCAGCTGATTCCTGGTCAAGTCATCTGTAGCTGGAAGTTGTAACTTCCCAGCTGAGGCCCTGGATATCATGGGGCAGAGATAAGGCATTCCAGTTGTGCCTTCTCCAAATTCCTGACAACAGAATTGGTTATAAAATGGTTATTGTTTTACACCATGTACGTTTTAGAGAGCTTTGCTATGCAACAGTCTTTCTCAGGATCTCTAGAATAATCCATGCTGATGTCCCCTGGTCCATCCCCTTGAGCGTATCCAAGGGCACAGTCAGTCATCCCAATCCCAGGGCAAGTCGGCTCCATCAGAATGAGAACTGGGACCACGGGGCACACCCAGATGGTCACTGGGCACTGGTTACCTATAGAAGGCACAAACCACAGAATCCACTTCCTACCACCTAGAAATTTTGGAGACTACTCTTCCAGACTCCTTCCTGGGAGTACCCACTTAGGTATACAATTCAACACAAATGAAGCATACTCTACATGATCTTTTATAACCTTTTTAAAATTTAATGGATTATGGGGCTCTGTTGATGTCAACGGATACATACGTCTTTTTTGTTTGTTTTTTTGAGACAGGGTCTTGCTCTATTGCCCAGGCTGGAGTGCAGTGGTGCAATCATAGCTCACTGCAGCCTCAAACTCCTGGGCTCAAACGATCCTCCCACCTTAGCCTCCTGAGGAGCTGGGACTCCAGGCATGTACCACTACACCTGGCTAATTTTTCTATTTTTATTTTTTGCAGATACAGGGTCTCACCATATTGCCCAAGCTGGTCTTGAACTCCTGGCCTCAAATGATCCTCCTGCTTCAGCTTCCCAAAGCTCTGGGATTACAGGTGTGAGCCACTATGGCCCAGGCATCATTTTTAATGGCTGCATATGATTTCATTATATGAGTGAAGCATAATTGATTCAACCAGTTCTCTATTTATGGGTTATTAAGTCATTTCCATTTTTTTGCTATTATAAATAGTACTGAGATAAACATCATTGCACATATACCCTTGGGCACATCTTTCAGTGTTTCCCTAGGATAAATTCCAAGAAGTTGAATTGTAGATTCTAAGGTTATACACATTTTCCAGGCTTGCCAAGGGTTTCCACATTGCCTTCCAGAAATGTCCTTCTTTCCTTCCTTTGCTTTCCCTTCGTTCTTTTCCTTCCTTCCTTTCTTCCTTCCTTCCATCCTTCCTTTCTTCTTTCTTTCTCTTTCCTTTCTTTCTTCTTTCTTCTTTCTCGCTCTTTCTTCTATTTTTCTTTCCTTTCTTCTTTTTTTCTTTCCTTCTTTTCTTTCTTCCCTCCCTTCCTTCCTTCCTTCTTCCCTCCCTCCCTCCCTTCCTTCCTTCCTTCCTTCCTTCCTTCCTTCCTTCCTTCCTTCCTTCTTTCCTTCCTTCCTTCCTTCTTTCGTTCCTTCCTCCCCTCCTCTCTCTTTTCTTTCTTTTTGAGACAGGGTCTCACTCTGTTGCTCAGGCTGGAATACAGTGGTGTAATCATGGCTCACTGAAGCCTCAGCCTCCTGGGCTAAAGTGATCCTCCCACAACAGCCTCCTGAGTAGCTGGAATTACAGGCATGTACTACCATGCCTGGTTAACTTTTAAATGTTTTGTAGAGATGGGGTCTCACTGTGTTGCCCAGGCTGGTCTCAAACTCCTGGGCTCAAATGATCCTCCCACCTCTGCCTCCTAAAGTATTGGGATTACAGGTGTGATTCACTGTGCCCAGCCCAGAAGTGTACTTCTTTTTTTTTTTTTTTTTTTTTTTTTTTGAGACGGAGTCTCGCTCTGTCGCCCAGGCTGGAGTGCAGTGGCGGGATCTCGGCTCACTGCAAGCTCCGCCTCCCGGGTTCACGCCATTCTCCTGCCTCAGCCTCCCAAGTAGCTGGGACTACAGGCGCCCGCCACCGCGCCTGGCTAATTTTTTGTATTTTTAGTAGAGACGGGGTTTCACCGTTTTAGCCGGGATGGTCTCGATCTCCTGACCTCGTGATCCGCCCGCCTCGGCCTCCCAAAGTGCTGGGATTACAGGCGTGAGCCACCGCGCCCGGCCAAGTGTACTTCTTTACACTGCTGTTGCCCCACCATCAAAGCACAAGACTGGCCATTTCTCCTCATCCTCAGTAACATGAAATATTTGCCAATGGGAAAAGTGAACAAATGATTCCTCATTGCTGCTTTAATTTGAATTTATTTGATTACTAGTGAGGTCAAGTACCTTCTCATATCCATTTCTTCTTGTGTAATATTGCCTGTTCATGTCCTTTGACCAATTTTGTTGCTGCAGTGTTCATATATTTTATTGTTGATTCATAAAAACTTTTTGTATATTAGAATGTTAACTTTTGTTGCTCATATGTCTTAGAAACATTTTTTGTCCTATAAGTTTGTATGGGGGAGGCACTCTTTTTTTTTTTTTTCTTTTTTGAGATGACGTTTTTCTCTGTTGCCCAGGCTAGAGTGCAGTGGCGTGATCTTGGCTCACTGCAACCTCCACCTCCCAGGTTCAAGCGATTCTCCTGCCTCAGCCTCCTGAGTAGCTGGGACTATAGGCATGCACCACCACACCCAGCTAATTTTTGCATTTTTAGTAGAGACAGTGTTTCACCATGTTGCCCAGGCTGGTCTTGAACTCCTGACCTCATGATCCACCCGCCTTGGCCTCCCAAAGTGCTGGGATTACAGGCGTGAGCTACCACGCCCAGCCCGGCACTCTTAAACTAATAAGCAAAGCCCTCAAACAAGACAGAATCTAAGCCTTCAAAAGCAGTTGGCACCTGGCAAGAGACTTAACTTAAACCATTCTTGTCAAAGGGCATCAGCTGTCTAGAGAAGAATCCAGGGTGGGGGAACTGGAAAGGCCAACAGAATTGACCATTCTGAGAAGAGGCTCCAATATGTACACCAGAAGGAGGCAGATGCCCAGGAAGCTGAATGCCAAAGTAGCAGACAAAAGTCAGAACTGGGGAGGAGTGAGGCAGAGGAAACCAGGAGGCCAGGGACTCTGCCATTGTCCAAGACAGCCCCAGGCTCCATCCCGGTGCAAGGCAGCTCTCTCTGGTTGGCTCCTGCTCTAGGGGCCCTGTGGGAGCAGGGGTACCCTTGGGAGCAGTGCTAGGGGTAGGAGGCCCTTAGGGTCCCCCAAGCTTGGAGAGGCATTGCTAAGCAGTCAGAGGGATATAAAGGTGATTTAGCCCTGGGATCATGGAGGGAGTCAGGCCATTGCCAAGGAAACAACGGAACTGAGTATTCAATCTGAAGGGCAAGGCAAGGAGCCTGTAGCTGACATTCTGCCCAAACCCTCCTTGCTGCTGGGCATGTTAGCTGTAATGGCTCTCAGCTGCCCCCATCTCTGGAGAATTGCACTGGCTGAATGGAAGCTGCCTACCCTGAAAGGTTACACATTCCTGGGAAGCCCATAACCAATGACTGATTGACATGAGGGGAGGAGAGTGCAAAAGGCTGGCCCCCTTGCCTCAAGGAGGGACCAACTCTCTGGCGCAGCTGATGCTCCAGAGTGCCCTGTGATATCAGGCTGAATCTGGCTGAGGCTGCATCCTCGCTCCTCTCTGCCCTTGCCTAATTCTGCTTCTTTCATACCCTTTCTCCTGGGACCACACCCCTGATGAATCACATGTGCCCTAATCCTTGTCTCAGACTCTGTTTCTAGGGACCCTGTCCTATGATGGAGCCCAAGCTGCAAGTTCAGGAGCAGGATGGGATGAGATGAAAGGAGAGGGGCAGAGAGGGTGAGTCGGAGCCAGAGCTGGGCTATTTAAATGGGGACTGGGGCTCTCCTTGTTGGGGTGGGAGGGATATTGTTGTTGATCGCCCAGCACTCACTGCCCCCTCTACTAAAAACTGAAGCCCAAATTCCGTTTGGGAAACTACTCCTTCTCCATTCCCTAGGTGATCTGGTGGGATTATACCACCCAGAGCCCCAGGGATGGGTTCTGGGTTTATTCAATCTTCATGTCCTCCAAGTTTATTCAATCTTCATGACCTCCAGTCATAGTGAGAGCTCCAGAGCATATAAACCAATCACAGCCAGTGAAATGCTGGGGCTTCTGGGAAGGGAAATTCCCTCTTTTCCACTGGAGTAGGCGAGTATGTATCTTAGTGTGGCACAGCTATTTCTGCCAGCCACAGAGCTGAAGAATAGAGATAAACACAAGCAACTGAGCTGAGAGATGGATTCTGGTGATGTCATTTGGGCCCTGTATCAAACTTTACCCGAAGCCAGACCTACCCCTGAACTATTCCATTATGAGAATCAATAAACCCTCCCCGCTTTCTGAAGCTGAGGAAGGTTTTCTGTCACTTGCAACCAAGAGTCCTAACAGACATGTATGGTTTGCATTGAATGGTTCATGCAGGGATCTAAAGGAACCCAGCAAGCCCATGCAAGTTAAAGCCAGGAGAGTGACCCCTAATCTGTCTTTCTTCATTCCTATTCCAGGCAGGCTGCTCCCTCCCCAGGGCCATGTTGATTAGGGAAAATTGGCCGGAGTGAGGCCAGGTCAGGACAAGCCCAGCACTGTTGTCATCATGCAGCATCCGTGGCCAATTCCTTCCACAGTGGCCTTCAGATTCTTTCTGCAGAACTGCCTCCCCCAGGCAGTTCATTGCTTCTTCTCCCCTCTCTGGAATGGAGCAAAGGGAGTCTATTCTAAGTGAGGAAGAACAAGGCTGTTTCCAATGCCACATCAATTAGGTGGTGAGGGAGCTTTCTTTGTTGAGTGTTTCCGCTTCAGACTAGGAGGCAGGGAGGTAAGTGGGTATGGGAGAAAGACCATGTGCCTTGGAGCTGGATAAACTTGGGCTCTGGTCCTGGCACTTCTAGCTGTGTGGCCTGTTTGATGTCTCTGTGCTTCAGGTTATCCATCTGTAAAGCATGGAGAAGCATGTCACCCTTACAGGAGCTCCAGAGCACAGAGCTGATGAAGCAGCTGACTAGGTCCGGACCAGGCCTCCCTGAGGTGTATCATCAGGGGTCGGGAGAGGGGATGCTAATCCCTGGACCCGAGAGAGGCAAGGATAAGTTCAGTTCCTGGGATTCACAGTGGGAATGCCTGGAATTTGGCCAAGAGATAAGAAAAATTGGGGCCCAGTGCACCCTCTCCCCAAGCCAGTGCAGGGTCCGGGGCTCATGGCACCTGCAGCGGGAGTTAAATGGCACCCTCTGGGGATGGGAAAGTGGTCTAGGCAGGCTAGGCACTACTCTTTACCCTCCTTCTTGACCAAACCAGTCTCCCAGTCACCTCTGATCCCAGCAGCTATAGTATCAAGTCAGAAGGAACAAGGCCCCAGGGCTGGAGGCAGGGCAAAGTCCTCCCTCCACCCCACACCTAGAGGGAGAGACTAAAGTGACCAGGACCTCAGCTGGAAGAAGGGGCCCAGTACAGCCTCCCCGAGTAGTTTCTGCTGTCCTGGGTGGAGTAGGTGGACATTTTCAAGCAGATCTCCTGAAAAACATAAGAGAAGGCCCTCAAAGGACAGTCCCAAGGGAGAGGGGGAGGATGTGGAGGAAGCAGGAAACTAGTGTTTACTGAGCATCTAGTAAGCACCAGGCCTGGAGCTTTAAGTCCGCAATCTTAACTAATGCTCATGGCAAGCTGGGGAATAGAGATTATTCCCCTTTTGCATGTGGGGAAACTGAGTCCCTTTGCCCTGAAGTATCTTGCCTGAGACCAGCTGAGGGGTGCCAAGGCCAGGATCCCAGAATCGGTGGGTTAGGCTCCCCGGAGCTCCTGCTTTCCCAAGTGGCACAGCGGCACCTCCATGGTGGACCCTGGAGGAAGCACACTGCCCTTCCTGGAGGAACCCCCTGCAGCCTTCTGAAAGCCAAGGCCTGATGTGACACCTGGAATTGGCCTGGAGCCAACCGGACTGAACCCAAGAGACAGCCCTGGCTCAGCTGCTGCAGGAGAGGAAGAGGAGAGGATCCATGGGAAGTCGGGAAAGGCCCCCAACACCGGTAATCCCCCCTCAACTTCAGCACCAGCGCCCCTACTCCCTGGAGAGCTGGGCCTTGTGAGGGACTGGGTAGGGGAGCTGGCCTGTGAGGAGATGGAGGTGTGCCTCCTTCTAGGGACCACTTCCTAGGGATCTCCCTCTGAATTCCTGAGTCGGTCAGGTTGAATGGAAAGAGAGCACAGAGATGGAGTCACACAGATCTGGGTTGACCCTCAGTCCCACCATTTCCCATCTGTGTCCAAAGGCCCACCACGCAAACCTCCCTGGGCCTCAGATTCTTCAGATGAAAAATGGGAATGATGCCTACCTCCTGGCATCCTTGTGAGGACTGAATAAGGAGAAGCACATGGAGATGCTGAGCGCCCTGCCTGGAACAGAGCGGGTGCTCAATAAATGTTAGTTCTTCATGGAGCCAGGCATGGTGGCTCACTTCTGTAACCTCAGTGCTTTGGGAGGCAAAGACAGGTGGATGGCTTGACGCCAGGAGTTTGTGAACAGCCTGGGCAACATAGCAAGACCTCTGTCTCTACAAAAAAAAAAAAAAATGTTTTAACTAGCCGGCTATGGTGGCACATGCCTGTAGTCCCAGCTGCTCGGGAGGCTGAGACAGGAGGATTGCTTGAGCCCAGGAATTAGAGGCTGCAGTGAGCTGTGATTGCACCACTGTACTTCAGCCTGGGTGACAGGTGAGACCTGGTTTCAAAAAAATAAAATAAGAAATAAATGTTAGTTCTCACTCTCCATTTGAAATTCTCATGACAATGAAATCTCATCTAGCCCATTTATGTAACTAAATTATAAATAATATCTAACATTTATTGAATACATACTATGTGCCAGACTTTGCGCTGAATGTTTTAATCTGTTACCTCATTTAATCCTCAAAGAGTCCCATGAAGCAAATGATTATCCCTATTTGACAGATGAGGAAACTGAGGCACAGATGTTAAAGCAACTTGCCCAAAGTCACACGGCTAATGAGTGGTGGAGTCAGGATTTGAATTCAGCTCAGCTTGGCTCTGGATCCTGGACTGAGAGCATGCCCCCTCCTGCCTTCCCTCTTCCCAGCCCCTTCCCATGCCCACTGTATGCTCCTAAGCCCCTTCCATGAGTAAGTGCCATGCGGGGGGGCAGGGGGAACTAAATGAGATACTCAAGGAGCTCCTGGTCTAGGGCAGGAGATAAAAGGCACAGAAACACAAGGTAAGAAGGGGGCAAATGTCACAAGAGGAAAACTGAGTTGCAAGTTGAGACGAAGGAGGGATCAGTGTCAGAGACCAACAGGGTGTGAGGTAGGCATCCCAGGCAAGGGCAATCTTCTCCCCCCACCCCTGAGATGGAGTTTCATTTTCACTCTTGTTGCCCAGGCTGCAGTGCAATGGCACGATCTCGGCTCACTGAAATCTCTGTCTCCCGGGTTCAAGTGATTCTCCTGCCTCAGCCTCCTGAGTAGCTGGGATTACAAGTGCATGCCACCACGCCTAGCTAATTATCATATTATTAGTAGAGACAGGGTTTTGCCATGTTGGCCAGGCTGGTCTCAAACTCCTGACCTCAGGTGATCTGCCCACCTTGGCCTCCCAAAGCGCTGGGATTACAGGTGTGAGCCACCATGCCCAGCGGCAATATTTCATTTTTTAAAATAGAGACAAGGCCTTGCTCCGTTTCTCAGGCTGGTCTCGAACTCCTGGCCTCATGTGATCCTTCCACCTCAGCCTTCAAAATGCTGGGATTACAGGAACAAGTCACTGTACCTGACCATCCCAGGCAAAGGGAACAGCAAGAACAATGGAGTCGAGGTGGGAAACGTCTTTGAGGTATGGGGGCTTGAAGGGGAGTTTTGTGGTCAGATTTAGGAGGGTAAGTTGGGGACAAATAGTGAGCGCCTGCTTGGGAGTTTAGGCTGTGTACCAGCGGGGAGAGGATTGAAGGCTTCTCTGAAGATAAGTGACACCAACACATTTGTGCCATATAAACACAGCTCTGCCAGCAGTGTGAAGCTGGCATGGGACTGGATGAAGTTAGGTACAGAGGCAGTTTGCGAGGCAGTTGTAATGGTCTGGTTGAGCACTGATAGGGGTCTGCACTAAGGTGGAGACCATGGATGAGATACTCCATATCTCTCTCCCTGGGGGAGCTGTGGCTAAGAAAGTTCATCTTTATCTGGACAGCAGCTGGTGCCTCCTAGCTCAGCCTAGTCCCACTGGTCAGCTCAGTCTTGGCCACCTGTTCCAACCACCCAGTGATGTGGATGGCAAGGATCATTAACCCAAGCCATGGACTCACCCTCCCTCCCAACACATCTGGCCAGATAGATGTCCCTCCTCTACTTCCACCCCCCACTCAAGGGTGGTGGCTTTCAGACCAGCTGAGCATTTCCCTCCCTGCAGAAAGGCCAGAGAAACACACCTGCCACTGTCATTATATTAATACTGCCCACTAGAACCACATACATGTACCTCAGCCATGTGGCGTCACAGAAGCAGCGCTGGACTAGGAGTTAGGAGGTCTAGGTATGGATCTCAACATGGCTGCCCATGAGCTCTGTGACCCTCAGCAACCTATTTATGCTTTCTGAGCCTCAGTTTTCCCATCTGTGACATGGGGATAAAGTGCCTGCCTTCCAGGATTGCTTTGTGGACTGAAAGAGTGTACATGAACATCTTCCGTAAACCTTTGGAGTGCCATTTAAATGTTGAATTTTGTGTACATTCATTCATCCCACCAATCTCTGTTGGGCTCTGACTCTTTATAGGTGCCAGAGTGTGAAAACACCTGCCACATTCATGGTCCATTCCAACCTTTTGCCTTCCTGTGATGATGAAGAACTTTGCTTGAAACACAAGCTATCTTCACATCCTGTGTATGACAAATGGGAAAATGGCTTAAATTAAAGGAGGAAAGATTTGATCAGGACTAACTTCCCAATGCAGGAGGCTAGTTGGTTCCTGGAAATCTTCCCAGAAGAAGAGAATCAATTAAGTGTTTTGCCCAGAGTAGACACCAAATCAATTGTTGAGTGGAATTGACTCTGTCATATCATTTGCCAGGAGACAAGAGAGTTGATCCAATGACTTAGGACCCACTTTTCCGTCTGACTTTCCATACACCATATATACATGCTTGCATGTTTGGTGCAGGGGAAAGAGGCTTAGGCTGACACTTAGCAGACCTGCCTCAAACCAGCTGTGTGACCTTGGAAAGATCTCATGCCCTCTTTGAGTCTCTATTGTCTCTCCCGAATGCCAACCAGAATAAGAAATACATCGAACCTTCTAGGATAGTGATAGTGTCTGCCCTTGACATTCCACCACAAGTGTTTGCTAAATGAATGAATGAATGATGAGTGAATGAATGAATGAATGAATGGCACTCAGGAAGGTACATGATTCATGAAAGCTCCTCTTTCTTCTCTGAGCCTGAGTGTGCCCACCTGGCAGATGTGGGAATTTGGTTGCCTGTTTCCAGGTTCCTTGTCAGTTCAGGCTTCTGTGATCTGCCCCTGTGCTGGAGGAGGGCAGCTGGGGGATTTGGGATCTGCATCTTCACGCCCAGCAGCTCAGGCTGCCCTCCCGTTTCAGGGCATGGACAGCAGGTATGTGCTTCTGTTCCCACGGGGCCGCCTGGCTTAGCCCGAGGCTCCCTTTGCTGGGAGAGTAGCCTGGGCTGCAGCCCTGCACTGACCTGCTCTTAACCTCCAGGAAAGTTACACAAATTCCTCCACGCTCCACTGAGAGCTGGGTTGCACAAGGTGGGGGCAGGAACAATGCTTCCCCTTGTGCCCTCCGCCTATTCCACTTCAGCACACATGGAGGAGGAACACAGGAGGCAAGCTGGTGGGGGCACCCAGCTCCGGTTTCAACCATGCCTGGAAATTGGATATTCCTCCCTGGCCGGAGCTCTCTGGGCCATGAAGTGGGGCTGGAGCTCAGGTCTCAGGAGAAACCCACTCTTTCCTCCCTGTGGTTTTCCCTCTAAGACCAGTCCTGTGCCTCAGTCTGTGCAGATCTGTGCAACTCCTTAGCACTACATACCCCTTTGGTAAACACACCCCAGTTCTGAGATGTACTGCATGAAGATGGTAGGAAGGAAAGGGTCTACCCTGGGAACCAGGAAGCCTATGTCTGGTTCTGCTGTGGCCCAGTAAGATACCAAGAATTGGACTAGCCAGGGGCTGAAAATACAGGATGTGGAGCCAGGCTGCCTTGGACCAGGTATCTACTACTTTGACACGCCATTTCCTCATCTACTATGATGGCACCTATCTACCTATCTACCTGGGTTTGTTATGGGGAATAAATGAGTTCTTAAGCACAACATGCTTGCTTAGAGCAGAGTTCAACAAATGCCAGCTGTATGGTTTGCTCTCCACACAGGTTTAGTGGGAATTAAAGGCATGTGCAGTCTTTCCTCAACTTTCAAGGGAAAAGCAAATTGTTCAAATTGTCTAAAACACAATAGAACTACTTAAAGTACACGAAACTAGCTGTCAAAATTGTGAACCATAATCACAGTTTTGATTGCTTTCTGACAGTGTAAAAATTACAAATATTTCATCAGGCAAGAAAAGAAAAACAAAGAATAAATACAGTCAACCCCATCCCCCCTCCCATTTGTGTTCTACGTGCCCATCTGAATTAGTTTGCTCATGTTGACACATGCACAGCTTTGTATCATTTGAGACACACGTTTCTTATTCTTCCTCAGTCATTTAGTATTTAGGCTATAGTTGTAGAGTGGTTGGTTTCTTTCCAGGCAACCACCATTGTTTGAAAACTATGTCAAAACAGAAGTCTCTCTTCTTCTCCCTGACAACTTGTCACAGCTATGCCTCTGGACAGCTTCTGCCCCTGTGCCCCTCTCTGTCAGTGACCTCTCTTCTGCCCCACGACCCCCTCTCCTCTTCCTTGATTCAGAATTCCTGGAAGAGAACAAACAGGAATCATCAAGGTCCCAGAGAGAGAAAAATAATGACTTGTAGTGTGAGAAGTTTCAGGACCATGGACAACAGCACACACGCCCTCACCTTCTTGTTTCCCCAACCCCCAAACATTTTGTTTATGTTATGACAATACCTCTCTGAGACTTGTTTTCCTCTTCTATAAAAAGGGCAGGGTGAGGGCCAGGCACGACGGCTCACGGTTGCAATCCCAGCACTTTGGGAGGCCAAGGTGGGTGGATCACTTGAGGTCAGGAGTTCGAGACCAGCCTGGCCAACATGGTGAAACCCCATCTCTACTTAAAAAAAATACAAAAAAAGGGGGGATGGGGGAGGTAACTGGGAGGGTTGGAGGTGGACAAGGTCATCGCTAAGACTTCCTACAGCTCTGTGACCCTAGGGATCTTTCTTTGGCTTTATGCTTGCCTTCCCTTACCTTTCTCCCTTTCTCCCTCCCTTCCTCTCTTCCTTCTTTCCTTCCTTTTCCTTTTTTTAAAATAGGGACCTTCCATGCATTTTAATGGGCTGATAGCCATCACCCAGGGAGAATGGTGAAAGACAGAGCTTCTTGTGAGAGGAACGGCAAGCTAGCCCTCAGAAACCCTCAAAACTCGACATTGAGGAGTCACTTGATTTTCCCCTCTGCCCCTACCCACATAGAGACATTGTGTTCGTTATGGCAAAAGGCTGAGCTGCTGTAAGAAAGCGTCCACTGGCTGAAAGAACAGAAAGGTTTCCTTGTTCTCATGTAACAGGGTGGGTAGGAGGGCTGCTCCACCCCACACAACCAAACAAGAGCCTGGCTCCCTCCATGAGGTTTCCCCTATTACCCCTTGGTGATGCTCTTGTCTACATGGTCACACTGGCCTGCCCACGTCATGTCTTCAGAAAGAATCAAAAGTGCGCATGAGTTGTGTCTTAAAAGCCAGGCCTGGAAGTTGCAACACATCACTTCTGCTCCCATTCCATTGGTGAGGACTTTGTCATGTGGCCACCCCGAGCCATAAAGGGGCCGGAACATTTATTTATTTATGTAATTTTGACTTTTAGGTTCAGGAGTACATGTGCAGGTTTGTTATCCAGGTAAATTGCATGTCACGCGAGTGTGGTGTACAGATTATTTCATCCCCAGGTAATAAACATAGTACCTGATGGAGGGTTTTTCAGTCCTCTCCCTCTTCCCAACCTCCACCCTCCAGCAGGCCCCGGTGTCTGTCGTTCCCTTCTTTGTGTTCATATCTATGCAATGTTTAGCTCCCTCTTACAAGTGAGAACATGCAGTATTTGGTTTTCTGCTCCTGCGTTAGTTCACTTAGGATAATGGCCTCCAGCTCCATCCATGTTGCTGCAAAGGACATGATCTCTTTCTTTTTTATGGCTGAGTAGTATTCCATGGTGTATATGTACCAGGCTGGAGTGCAGTGGTGTGATCTTGGCTCACGGCAACCTCTGCCTCCCGGGCTCAAGCAATTCTCATGCCTCAGCCTCCTGAGTAGCTGGAACTACAGGCATCCGCCGCCACACCCAGCTAATTTTTCTGTATTTTTAGTAGAGACGGGTTTTGTCATGTTGGTCAGGCTGGTCTCGAACTCTTGACCTCAAGTGATCTGCCCGCCTCGGCCTCCAAAGTGCTGGTATTACAGGTGAGCCACTGTGCCTGGTCTATATTTTCTTTGTCCAGTCTAATGTTGATGGTCGTTTAGGTTGATTCCATGTCTTTGCTATTGTGAATAGTGTTAGAATAAACATATGTGTGCATGTGTCTTTGTGATAGAATGATTTATTTTCCTTTGGGTGTATACTTAATAATGGGATTGCTGGGTTGAATGGAAATTCTGTTTTAACTTCTTTGAGAAATCGCTAAACTGCTTTCCACAATGGCTGAACTAAATTTACATTCCCACCAGCTGTGTATAACTGTTTCCTTTTCTCCACAACCTTGCCAGCATCTCTTACTTTTTGACTTTTAATAATAGCCATCTGACTGGTGTGAGATGGTATCTCATTGTGGTTTAGATTTGCATTTCTCTAATGACTAGTGATGTTGAGTATTTTTTTGTATGCTTGTTGGCTATGTGTATGTCTTCTTTTGAAAAGTGTCTGTTCCTGTCTGGGGCTGGGAAATCTAGTTCCTAGCTGGGCAGCCTTGTGCTGGGCTATGACTTCAATACTTGGGTTCAGCAAGTCCACCACAAACATTATCCTCCATTTAATGGATGAAGTAGAGACGTGGAAGTGGGAAATTTTACTCAGGGAAAGAGAATTTATTGAGTCAGATACCATGCTAAGTACTTTTCTGTACGCTTAAAACGCCCTAGGGTCTCATCGCCCAGATGCCCAGTCTAATCCAGTTACTTCCCAGCCTTTGCTTGTGCTGTGTCTTCTGCCTGGAATGCCTTTGTCTTCGGATGAATTGGTCCCACACTTTCCTCAAGCTCAAGAACTACCTCCTTGATCATAGAATTTCAGAAGCAGAAACAGCCTCAAAAACATTTAGGTCAGTTGGGTGCAGTGACTCATGCTTGTAATCCCAGCACGTTGGGAGGCAGAGGCAGGAGGAATGCTCAAGACCAGGCGTTCAAGACCAGCCTGGGCAACATAGCAAGACTCTGTCTCTATAAAACAAACAAAAAACATATTTAGGTCAACGATTCATTTTATAAGTGAAGAAACTGAGGCCTAGAGAGGAAAAAATACTTGCCCAAGGCCACATAGTACGGTATCTATATATTAATAGCTGCATGGCCCATAGCTAGGGCTCGGGACTCCAGGTCTGGTGCTCCTTTCAGCCCTAAGAAACCACTGCCTGCCCCACAGGTCTCTGCTCTGCCTTTGTGCTTTTTGCTCTGTGACTTTGGACACATCTCTCAGCCCCTCTAACCTCCAGATTCTTAAGCTATGAAATGAAGAGCTTGGATCAGATTATCCCTAGGGGTCCATCAGAACATAGACCCAGTTCCTTCCTAGACTTTCAAATCTTGGCCCCTCTCAACAATGCTGAGACATCACCCAGAAAAAATGGTGCAGACCCATGTCCACTTCCTCCTGTGGGCAAGTTCACAGTTGAATCAACAAAAGGCCTCCTTTTTTCTCACCCCTCTGGGAAGCAGGCATGGGGCTGAGCACCTTACATGCTGTATCTCGTTTCATCACAAAGATCTCCCTGGAAAGTGGGTATTATTATCCCCCATTTTTTTAGATGAAGAAACTGAGGCTGTAAAAGGTTAATGACTCTTTGGAACAAACAGATGAGCCTTGACCCTGGGATTCCCCAAAGTGGGGAGGTAGGATAAGTAGGGGAGGATGCAGGGAAACTTGGCTTGATGCAATAAAGAACTTCCTACTAGAACTTCCTCTGGAGAGACAGGCTGTCTTGGAAAGGGGTGATTTCCTGGTCACTGGAGGTGCACACACACTGGGTGAAAGATCAAAGGATTTTAGCAGTGAGGTAGAGGCAAGGGCGAGGGAGTGGACTAGATCAGTGATTCCCAAAGTTTCTTTCAGGTGCTACGTTGACCAGCATTCAATAAGATTGCTTACACGGAAAAAAAGTTACTCCTTAAATTATTTTTCAAGCTTTCTGATTTTGACTAGCAGAAGGTCTTGGTTTGAGGCTGGTACAGCTTGCATACCTCTTCGCCACTTGTTAGTTCTTTTTTAACAATAGACATTAAGCCTCAGGCTTAGAGCTCAGAAGCAGGTGGCAGGACTCAGCCAGGATGGAATAACACTGGGCTTTTTTTTTTTGTCAGAGGAGAAGAACTTGAAACATTGGGCACTTTATTTTTAAATTTTTATGGTTACCTTCTTTCATGGCAAAGTATTCTGCTTTCCCCATTACCATTGTGATATGAAGTTTCATTTTAACGTGAATACAGTATATTTTAAGAGAATGAACAGACAAGCCACAGACTGGGAGAAAGTGCTTGCAAAACACTTATCTGATAAAGGGCTTGTTTCCAAAATGTACAATGAACTCTTAAAACTCAACAATAAGAAAACAAACAACCCAATTAAAAAGTGGGCGAAAGATTTGAACAGTTACCTCTTCAGAGAAGATATCCAGATGGCAAATAAGCATATGAAAAGATGCTTGACACCCCATGTCATTAAGGAACTGCAAATTAAAACAACAATGAGATGGCGCACCGCTATTAGAATGTCTAAAACCCCAAATACCAACAACACTAAATGCCGGCAAGGAGGGAGAGCAACAACTCTTGTTCACTGCTGGTGGGAATGTGGAATGGTATGGCCACTTTGGAATACAGTTTGGTAGTTTCTTACAAAGGGAAACATAATCTCACCATATGATCTAGTAATTGCACTCCTAGGTATTTACCCAACTCAGTTGAAACCTTATGTCCTCACAAAAAAAACTGCACACAAATGTTTATAGCAGCTTTATTCTTAATTGCCAAAACTTGGAGCTAGACAAGATGTCCTTCAATAGGTGAATGGATAAACAAACTGTTGTAAGTCCACACAATGGAATATTATTTGGTGTTAAAAAGAAAGGAGCTACCAAGCTATGAGAGGACATGTAGGGTAGGGTAGAGAGGACATGGTAGGGCATGGTAGGCAAACTAAGATGATATTGTTAAGTGAAAGAAGCCAGTCTAAAAGACCACATGCTATATTCCAATTATATGGCATTTTGCAAAAAGCAAAACTATTGAGATAGTAAAAAGATCAGTAGCGGCTAGGGGTTTGGAGAGGTGGGGAGAGGGATGAACAGGGGATTTTTAAGGCAGTGAAACTATTCTGTGTGATATTATAATTGTGGACCATTCATCAAAATGTGTGCCCAACAGAAATGTGGTCATGTGTCCACCAAAATACATGAACAGGACTGTCCACAGTGGCACTGTTTTTAATAGCCTCAAACCAGAAATAATTCAAATGTCTACCAACAGGAGAATGGATAAATACATTGTGGTGTACTCATACCACTGAGTACTAGGCAGCATGAATGAGGAAAAACTATCGCCTTGCCCAACAACATGGGTGAAGCTCACAGATATGATGTTGAATGAGGGAAGCATGACAAAGAAGAGGACCTTCTGGTTGAGTCAATTTATCGGAAGTTCAAACACATAAAACTAATCTATGGTTACTTTTGGGGGGCACTGAGTGGGAGGGGCTATGAGGGAGGCTTCTGGGTGCTGAAAATATTTCGTATTGTGATGGGGCCGACTGCACGGGTGAATACGCAAGTGAAAACTGATGAAACTGTACACTTAAGATACATGCCCTTTATTTTAAGTTTAAAAATACAAGGGAACTTGGAAATGGTCAACATTATGAAAGCAGAATGCAAGTGACTAAAGCTTGGAAAATAGTGGGTGAGAAGTTCTTTCGAGGGTTTACTGTCCTGAGAATGGGATCCTCTAACTGCAGCACCACCACCCACTCCCCGCCCTGGGCCTCAAGGCCCTAAGGTCAGGGGGTGACCTGTCCCTTATCTGGTCTGTTGATCAGTGGAGGCACCAGGTTTAGGGGGTCAGACACCAGTTGCCACCTCCTGTCCCCAGGGCCAGCTTTGAGCCCTGAAACATGAGGCCTCAGGATCACAAGGGCAGATTCCTGCCTGAGACTTTACAAACAAACTGGAGGCCTTTGGGGGATGCACATGCTGCTGTCCCTCCCGCTACTCACCCCCACGGCGTGGTGAGTTCTCTTCTGGGCCTCTCCCGGCCTGCTGCCATCTTGCACTCAAGCATCGTCCAACATCTCCCCATGGGCATGGCCCCAGCCTCATTTTCATCCACCTGGTCTTCACTGGCTTTTCTGCAGATTCACTGTGGGACAGGTCACTTCCTTTTTACCTCCCCACACCTCATTTCTATCTCTGCAAAGCGTAGCGACAGAGAGGATTCAGGAACCACTCGGCTAGAAGCACAGACCAGCCCTTCCAATGGTGGGTTCCCTTCTGCAACACCCCAGGCAGTTACTCAACCTCTCTCTAAACGCCTCCTGTCACAGGGAGCTCACCTCTGGCTGATGGAAAGTGCTTCCTAGAAATAAGTGCAGCTAGTATGGACCTGTTTTTGCAAAAAAAAATTTAAATGATCTATCATCTACCAATCTAAATATCTAAATATGTATATAAATATATAAACACATATACGCCTACTAGGCATAGATAAGTTCTCTCTGGAAGGCTATACAATAAAAGAAGCAAGATGTACTCTCCACTCTGACCCATTTGCACCTTTTGAATTTTGTACTATGTGAGAACATTACCTAGTAAAAGTAGATAGAAGATGTCTGAAAAAAAGCTCTGGCCAGGCATAGTGGCTCACACCTGTAGTCCCAGCAGTTTGGGAGGCTGAAGCCAGATGATCACTTGAGCCCAGGAATTCAAGGTTACAGTGAGCTGTGATTGTGCCACTGCACTCCAACCTGGGTGACAGATCAAGACCCTGCCAAATAAAAAAGAAAGAGAGAGAAAGAGGAAGGAAAGGGAGGGGAAGGGAGGGGAAGGTTGAAGGGGAAGGGGAAGGGGAAGGGGAAGGGAAGAGAGGCAAAAGTTCTAGTTCTTACCCTCCTTGGCCACACCTCAACCACCAGTCCACCCGCTTGACTTGGGTGAGATTAAGGCTTTGAAGACAGATGTTTGAGCCTCCATCCCCCTCTGTCAGTACTTGTGAGACAGTGGCAAATTGCATACCTTCTCTGCACCAAGGTTTCTTTGCTTATAAGATGTGAGACTAACAATGTCTGCCTGCTGGGTTACTGTGAGCTTTCAGTAAGGCGATGTCTGGCTCAGAATAGGTGCTTGCTTAATAAAGTTTAATTATTGTTATTTAATCTTGTCCCCTTATTTTGCTTGCATAAGTATACCTTTTGATTTACAAACTATTCTATTTAACTCTCATGGAAGGCAATGTTGGGAGTTTTTTTGTTTGTTTGTTTGTTTCTTAGACAGGGTCTCACTCTGTCATCCAGCTGGAGTACAGTGGCACAATCACAGCTCACTGCAGCCTCAAACTCCTGGGCTCAAGTGATCCTCCTGTCTCAGCCTTCCAAGTAGATGGGACTATAGACATGTGCCATCATGCCCAGCTAATTTTTTTTTTAACTTTTTTGAGACACAGTCTCACTCTGTCATCCAGACTGGAGTGCAGTGGCACAATCTTGGCTGGCTGCAACCTCCGCCTCCCAGGTTCAAGTGATCCAGCCTCCAGAGTAGCTGGGATTACAGGCTTGCTTTACCATGACCGGGAAATTTTTGTATTTTCAGTAGAGAAGGGGTTTCACCATGTTGGCCAGGCTGGTCTCAAACTCCTGACCTTAAGCGATCCGCCTTCCTTGGCCTCCCAAAGTGCTGGGATCACAGGCATGAGCCACCGCACCTGGCCTTTTTTATCTTTTTTATAGAGACAAGGTCTCACTCTGTCACCCAGGCTGGAATGCAATGGCACAATCTCGGCTCTCTGCAGCCTCCACACCCCTGGATCAAGTGATCCTCCTACCTCAGCCTCCCTGGAAGCTGAGACTATAGGCATGCACCACCAGATCCAGCTAATTCTTTTTTACATTTTTTGTAGAGACAGGGGTCTCACGATGTTGCCCAGGCTGGCCTCAAACTCCTGAGCTCAAGTAATCCTCCTGCCTTGGCCTCCCAAAGTGCTGGGATTACAGGCCTGAGTCACGGCACCTGGCCACAATGTTGGCTGTTTTTAACCCCATTTTACAGATAAGAAACTGAGGCTCTGTGACTTGCCCAAGGTTACACAGCTAGCTGATAGGTTGCCAAGCCACGAATCAGGCCTCCAGATGTCTGTGGCACTCTTTCTTCCTCCCCAGGCTACCTCTGGGTCTGGAATCTTTGTTCGGCATCTCAAATTATTCTCTGAGTGCCACAGAGGTGCCTCTGCCCCTTTTCCTTCTCCCCTCACCTCTGTTGCTCCAGTAGCATCTTTCCTGAGCCCTTGCCCTGGAAACCTGGGTATTCTGAGAAGTCGGGGAGGAGAGGGGGATAGGGCTTTCTCCATGTCCAGACAGGGCCAGGCTTTACCTTAGAGAAAGCTGGGACCCCTGAGACTGGGTTGGAAGAGACCAGGAGAAGAGATCAGGAAACTCGATGGTCCCAGAGCCGTATGAAGATGTCACCATGAGAGGCCGGAATGGGAAAGGCAGCTGTAATTAAGACCTCAATGGAGGTCAGCGTGGGCCAGGAAGGCAGCTCCCGGGCCTCAGACCTGGCCCAGACACTGGAGGGCAGTGATTCCTCCAGATTCCCTCTGGCCATAAGGAATCAGCAAGGAGGCTCACCATCCCCAGGGAGGATGTGTTTCCAGTTTATTCCATTAAAGTCCATCTTGCCCCTGGGCTCCAGAGGGTTTGGCTCACATCTGTCATGCTTGACAGCACCTGGCACAGGCAAAGCTGGCACATGCAAGGCACCTGCTATTTGTCAAATGGCTAAGTGGTACCCCATAGTCTATCCCATTCACCCCTGCCTCTGCACAATGCTGCCTCCAGCACTCACCCATTTCTGTATACTCAGACCATCCCAGTGTCTGGGACCTTCTGGCTGAAGTCTCTCCTGCATCCTCCCTGTGCTAACCTCACCCCTGCTCCTGTGAGGTCAATGGAGCCTCCGGAGGGGGGCATGGGTGATACGGACAAGGAGCCGTGGCAGAGTTACTACAGCTCCCTCAGCTCCCAGTCTGGAGAAGAAAATCACCACTGTAAATTTCCCCAACAGCGCCCCGCCCAGCTCCTCCTCCCTGATTCCAGCCCCTTAGCTCATGATTTATAGCAGGAGCCTCGGTGGCCACCTCTGCAGGAGGAAAGCAGGCACCTGCAGCCCGCACGGAGGAGTCGTCTCACCCCAGGCCTGGGGCGGGGACCCCAGACGTTCACCAACACCCCTCATCCCCTGCCCCCAGGCAGGGCTCTTCTGCCTCCCAGCGGGCATCCTCTGCTACAGTCCCCATCACCCTGCCCACCACACCGTGGCTTCCCTGAACCCTGAGACCTCCGGAAGGGGAAGCCAGGAAGCTGCACCTCCCACAGCGGCTCATTCCACAGCCACTCGCCTTAACCTCCAGTTTTGTCCAATGGGACATTGGGGGATGACCAAAATGGCCATGGGGACCCAGATTGCACAGAAAGGAGGCTGTGGAGTCCTGGCCTTATTCCACCACGTGGTGATGGGGAAAGAGCCCTGGGCTACGAGCCCAGAAGTCTGGATTCTGGTCCCGGCTCTGGGTAAATGTCTGGCCCTTTCCAGGTGTCAGTTCCTTCATCTGTAAAATGGGGGCTTGGGTCAGGTGGCACCTAAGGGTTTAGGAGGAACCTAAGGGGGCACCTCTCCACACCTGTGCCCCTGGACTTGACTTCACATCCAGGGCTGGCACGCATTTTCTGGCTCCACAAGCAGCACCCTGCATTCGAGTCATGTTAGGCTTCCCCTCTCCTACTCCCCACTTCTGGAGGAGGCCAAGAATGGGGCCTGCTATCCTAGACCCATTCATTCATAAGGCAGAGGGGGTGGGTGGTGGTTGACACAGTGTCCCTGTCCCTCCTGGGGCTGTCCCACAGCAAAGGCCCCCTCCCCACCTCAGCCTGAAAGCACAGGCTCCTGGAAGGCCTCCTACCACCAGCAGCAGCAAGACTTTGCCTCTGCCTCCTTGTTCCCTCCCAGACTTACCCCAAGGCTGAGGCCACCCCCCTCCCCAGGAACCATTGCCCAAACCAGGCTAGGTTTTCTCCAGCTCCGGCAGGAACCTGGGAGCCAGGCCGCTTCTGAGAGGTCCGGGCTGGGGGCACATCTCTTCTGCCCACCTCCAGCAGCAGGTAGGCATCAAGGTTACTCCCTAGATCAGGGTCCCAGGGATCAGAAACAGGACTGGGTGATAAAATGACCGAGGTTGGGGGGACAAGACCTGAAGTTCCTGTAAACGTTCAGTGAGCTGAAAGCAGTTCCTCCAGCCACAGGGCTCGGGGCAGCACACTGGGCCTGCTGGTCCCTGTGAGCCAAGGGTTCTCTAAGGCCCTTGTTTACTAGTAATGTCATCAGTACCAGGACACAGAGGATCCATATGTACTTCAGCCAAGTTATGCATGGATTTTTGCCTGCAAATATCTTATTCTCTCAATGTCCAAACTCCCTAGGATAGGGTCTGTCTTTTTCCATCAGACTGAGGGGTTCCCAAGGCAGAGCTGTATCTCTGCCATCTGATTGTGGGTTCTCCTAAATAATAACAACGACAGCCACACATACTGAGCCTGGCCCTGCTGTACGCACTTTACCCACAATATCACAACAACCTTAAAAACTGTGTGCTGCTGTCATCTCCAATGTATAGATAAAGAAATGAAGTTCAAACGGGTTGAGCTACTTGGCCAAAGCAATAGATCACAACCAAACTCAAATCCCTGGTGGCATGGAAGCCTGAGCTCCACCCATGCTGCTTCTGAGAGTTGGAGGTGGGGGGCCCACACCTTTGATCTACTCCTTTTGCAATACAGAGACCCAGAGACAGGGAAAAAAATCCCCAAGTTTGCACAGCAAGATAGAAGCAATCTTGATGCCCAAACCAGGTTTCCTGAGGGCCTATCCTGGATTCTAGTCCACGTGCAGCCAGACCCTACTCAGCCGCAGGACAGAGTGGCTCTCAGCACCCAGAAAACTGACAGCATGTCCTCCCCTCCCCACCCCCAGCTTCCCTTTGCATAGAGAAGCCAGTTCTCCTTCATGTATGTGGCCACTCCATGGCTATTTGTCAGTGTTCTGTAAGCTCTTCCCGTAACACATACCCATTTGCAGTTCAAGTCATCAAAAGCCAAGTATACAATTTTTCATTTTTATATCAATCCTTGTTCTTAGGCATCAGTTTTACCCTCCTGAAACTCAGCTCAGCTGATGGTGAAATCATTTCCCTTCCCTGAGATCTTATCTTGCATGAGAGGCCGAGGGATGGCCTGGATTCCCTCAGCGTAGGGGACCCGCTGGCTCAGGGAGTGGTTTGCCTCAGGTATCAGGACATAGAGGACCCAAATCCACTTAAGTCAAGTTATGAGTGAACTTTTGCCTGAAAATATCTTATTTTCTCAATGCCTATAAGTGCCCAAGGACAGAGTCTCATTTTTTTCCATCAGACTAGGGGTTCCCAAGGCAGACTTGTACCTCTCCCATCTGATTATGGGTTCTCCTAAAACAGGAATTCGGTCTCCCCTATTAGACTAAGGGCTCTCCCAAGCCAGAGCTATGACTCCTTCATCAGACCGGTTATTACCCAAGGATAACACTGTCTCCCCCATCAGACTAGCTAATCCCTGAGGATAATGCTATCTCCCCCATCAGACTGAGTAGAGTCTATATCCCCTCCAGCCAGTCCCCATCCTGGGCATGGCTGAATCTATACCATTTGGCACAGGGCAGCTTCTCACAGAAGAAAGCTTTAGATGGCAGGAAAACTCCCCTCTCCCTCCCACCCCATCCCCAGGGAGCCAAGCCAATAGAGGCTGCTGTGAAGGCTCCTGGGGGCCTGTCCCAGACTAGCAAGATCCAGCCAGGCCCACAAGCTCCTCTCACTGCCTGCCACCGCCACTGGGCAGCCCAGCACCCCCTGACCTCATGGCCTTCCATCATGGGAGATCTATAACATTTACAATCCCAAAACAAAAGACCCCGAGAGCCGAGGACAGAATTCATCTTCCCAGCTGACAAGCCCCGTTAATTAACGACTTAGAAATCGATGACGAGAAGGGACAGGCGGCAAATGACACCTCATCGTGGGCCAGGAAGAGGGAGGGAATGTCCGGGGACTGGTGGACACGCACCGTGGGGCTGGCCAGGCGCCTGGGAGAGCCACCCTCCCATCTGTCACTGTCACTTCAAACGCGGTCGACTACCTCCCCAACCAGAAATTCTCATTTCCCACCATGGCAGACCCCCAAGAAAAGTGGGGAGAGATTGTGCTAAAAGAGCGAAGGGAAAGTAATTTATGGAGCACCTTCCATGTGCCGGGCACTGAGCTAGGTGCTTCTCATTCCTTATAACCTCTCATAGCAACTGGGGGAGGTAGGTTTCTTGATTCCCACTTTAGGGGTGAGAAAACTTAGGGGCGGAGGAAAGTCAACCTAAGGTTGACTAAGGTTGGGGTTGTGTTTGTAAATGCCTGCTACAGGTGGATGAAACCAGCTCTGCTTCTAAGGAGGCAACTTGATTAAAGCAAAGAGCTCTGGATTTGAGAGCAGAAGATCTGAGACTAAGCCCTATCTCCATCCCCGCTGTCTGTGTAACATTAGACAAGTTGCTTAATGTCTCCAAGTCTCCATTCCTTCATCTGTAGCAGAGGGAGAAGAATCCCTCACCCTTTCCTTACCACAAAGAGGAGTCACACACTCTTGTGGAGGAGCTTGGGCTACCTAAGGCCTATGCTTGGGTAAGGGGGCAGATGTTATTTTCTGTTCATCACCCCTACCCAACTTGGGGGCAAGATGTGGGATGAAATGGTATGAAAATCCAGAAGGGAAGGCTTGGGAGGGCCCAAGAGTGTCCATCAAAGATAGGAGGGCAGGGGCCGGGCACAGTGGCTCACACCTATAATCCCAGCACTTTGGGAGGCTGAGGCAGGCGGATGACTTGAGATCAGGAGTTCCAGACCAGCCTGGCCAACATGGTGAAACCCGTCTCTACCAAAAATACAAAAATTAGCTGGGCATGGTGGTGCGCACCTGTAATCCCAGCCACTCGGGAGGCTGAGGCAGGAGAATTGCTTGAACCTTGGAGGCGGAGGTTGCAGTGAGCCAAGATCACACCACTGCACCCCAGCCTGGGCGACAGAGTGAGACTCCATCTCAACAAACAAACAAACAAACAAACAAAACAAAACAAACAGATGGGAGGGTGGGGCTGGAAAACAGGCCCCTTGGGCCCACCTGTGAGTTCAGTCTTTCTGCAAAAAAAGGAGATAACAGGCCAGGCGTGGTGGTTCACACCTGTAATCCCAGCACTTTGGGAGGCTCAGGTGAGTGAATCACCTGAGGTCAGGAGTTCGAGACCAGCCTGGCCAACATGGTGAAACCCCATCTCCACAAAAATACAAAAATTAGCCAGGCATGATGGCAGGTGTCTGTAATCCCAGCTACTTGGGAGGTTGAGGCAGGAGAACCGCTTGAAGCTGGGAGGTGGAGGTTGCAGTGAGTGGAGATCACACCACTGCACTCCAATCTGGGTGACAGAACGAGACTCCATCTCAAAAAAAAAAAAAAAAAAGAAGAAGAAGAAGATAACAAAGGTGCCTACTTTGTGGAATTACTGTGAAGTTGAGACAGACAATGCCAGCAAAGGGCTTAGCATGGCCTGGGACATAGTAAGTGCCCAATACATGTCAGCAAGGGTCAGTGTTCTCCCATCCCTTCTCCCTCTCCCAAACCAATGTCAGAGATGTGGCAGAGTGAGGATCAAAGAAAATGCAAGGAGCACCTGCCTGACCCAGGGCTCCTTGCTGAGGGCCCCTGGGAAGGGAGTGAACACAGCTCCTGCTCTTGGAAAAGACCCTGACAATGGAGCTCACAGTTACCATCCACTATGAGGAGCTCAATGCTGGGACATGGAATGGTTCTCGGGGAGCCCAGAGTGGCTGCTGTCTGGCCTGGAAGAGTGAGTAGGAGAAATCGTGGCAGGATGTGAGGAAAGGGACTCAGCGAGGTGGGCTGAGGGAGTCCTGGTGCCCCACACATAGCAGATGCCTCCCCTTCTTCCACCCAGTCCACAGTCAGCAGAGTCCAGGAGATGTCTGGGAAATGTGGGAGTCGCAGAGGCTGCTGGGAGTGTGAGGGTGGGGGCGGGGCAGGATAAAAGCCTAGAGGGGCTGGGGCCAAATGGAGAAGGACGCAGGATACCACAGCACGCTGGGGAGTGAGAGCCTCAGCTTCTGGGTGTATCAAATGGGGCCAGGTTCCAAAGAAGAGGCATACTTGGCAAACAAGCACAGGAAACGAAGCTCCGCCTCCCTAAGCACAGGCAAATGCAAATCAAAACCACAGGAAGGTGGGCCAGGCACGATGGTTCATGCCTACAATCCCAGCACTTTGGGAGGCCGAGGCAGGCAGACCACTTGAGATCAGGAGTTGGAGACCAGCCTGGCCAACATGGCAAAACCCCATCTCTACTAAAAACACAAAAATTAGCAAACAGGCATGTGATCCCAGCTACTCGGGAGGCTGAGGCAGGAGAATCGCTTGAACCCAGGAGGCAGAGGTTGCCTTGAGCCAGGATCTTGCCACTGCACTCCAGCCTGGGCGATAGAGACTCTGTCTCAAAACAAACAAACCACAGGAAGCTATCACTCCATCATACTGGGATGGCTATAATTAAAACAGAAACACACAGGAAATAAGCATTGGAGAGGATGTGGCACTATTGGAACCCTTATGTATTGCTGGTGGGACTGTAACACGGTGCAGCCACTGTGGAAAACAGTTTGGAGATTCCTCAGAAAATGAAACCTAAAATTACCATATGATAGCAAGTCTATTCCTAGGTATAGAGCCAAAGGAACTGAAAACAGGGACTCAAACCAATACTTGTACACCCATGTTCATTGCAGCATTATTCACGATGGCCAAACTGAAGTGTCCATCAACCAGTGAATGGAAACACAAAATGTGAAACACAAAATGTGACACAGACATAGGACGGAATTCTACGCAGCATTAAGAAGAATTAAGTTATGACACATGCTACAACATGGATAAACCTTGAGGACACAATGCTAAGTGAAATAAGCCAGGCACAAAAGGACACATATTGTATAATTCCACTTACAGGAAATATCTAGAAAAGGCAAATTCATAGAGACAGAAAGTAGACATTACCAGGGGCTGTGGGAAGAAGAGAATAGAAAGTTATTGCTTAATAGGTTTCTGTCTGGGGTGGTGAAAAGTTTTAGAAACAGAGTGGTCATGGTTGTACAACACTGTGAAATGTAATTAATGCCACTGAATTGTACCCTTAAAAATGGTTAAAATGGTATAAGTGATATATGTTTTACCACAATGTTTAAAAAAACTTTAAAAATCCAACAGGAAAAAAAAATGGGGCTAAAGATCTTTTTGACAAGAATTCGGCTTTGTCTTCTTAGGGACTCCTTCCTAGGGATCAGGGAGCCCTATACTAGGGGGACCCTCTAAATTGAGGCTGGGAGGATGAATGATGCCACCCCCTCCTTCTTCTCATCTGCCCCCAAAACTCCCACCCCACCCCTTTCCCCCAGCCCAAGCCATGGGGGGAAAGTTGGCCAGGCCTGGACAAGCCTGGGCCTTCCTCTCAGAGCAGATGGCTTCACTCTCCTCCCCTCCCCCTGCCTTCTCCCCCACCCCCAGCCCCCTTAAAGAAGAAGAGACCTTTCCAGAATACGTCATCTCACCGGAGCCGTAAATGTCAAATTTAAATTCATACTTTGTACCACCTTTGATTTCAAAGCGGATTACACCTCAGTGGTGAAAGGCGGCCACAACGCGGGGCCTGAGAGGTCTCCTGGGCCTCCGCTGGCCCGAAGCATTGTTAACTTCTTCCAACTCATTAGCTCTAATCCCGATGGCACTGAGTAAGGGGCCCTGGGCCGCACCCGGCACTCAGGACCGTATGTGCCATTGTATCACTCCTCGGCTAATCCAGCACCCGTCGCAGGCACTGGCCCAGGGGAAAGGGACTGTGGCCACCCGCTCCGGCCGGGAGTGTGTCCTGGCCCTCAGTGGGGGAAGGGGAGGAGGCAGGCAGGCGTTCAGCCGCAGAACCCCCACAGAGCCTTTGAGGATCAGGACGAAGGGACCACAGGGTGGGGAGGAGGGGACGAGGGTGCTGGGAGAGGTGGAGGGACAGACAGACGTCAATTGGTGCTGCGCCACGTTTTCTCTCTCCCAATATACACTCACTCGCTATACACATCTATTCACACATCCATACTCACACTCCGTCACACACTGGCACACTCACTATACACACCTACTCACACATCCACACTCACACTCCACACACCAGCACTCACTACACGCACCTATTCACACATCCACACTTTGTCACACACCAGCACACTCACTATACACACCTACTCACACATCCACACTCACACTCCGTCACACACTGGCACACTCACTATACATACCTATTCACACATCCACACTCATACTCTGTCACACACTGGCACACTCACTATACACACCTATTCACACATCCACACTCATACTCTGTCACACACTGGCACACTCACTATACACACCTACTCACACATCCACACTCACACTCCACACACCAGCTCACTACACACACCTATTCACATCCACACTCACACTCGTCACACACTAGCACACTCACTATACACACCTATTCACAAATCCAAACTCACATCACACACCGGCACACTCACTATACATACCTACTCACACATCCACGCTCACACTCCATCACACCAGCACACTCACTGTACAAACCTAGTCACACATCCACACATATACACACCTACTCACACATCCACATTCACACTCCCTCACACACCAGCACACTCACTATGCACACCTCACACATCCACACTCACGTTCCACCACACACTGGCACACTCACTATACACACCTATTCACACATCCACACTCACACTCCGTCGCACACCACCAGTCACTATACACACCTATTCACACATCCACACTCACACTCTGTCACACATTCACTATACATATCTATTCACACATCCACACTCACATATACACTATACATATACACTATACTATAGGCACATTCACTATACATACCTATTCACACATCCACACTCACATATACACACTCACACATCCACATTCACACTGCATCACCCACTGGCACACTCACTATACACACCTATTCACACATGTACACTCACATTCCATCACACACTGGCACACTCACTATACACACCTATTCACACATGCACACACTGTTACCGGCACAGTCACTATACACACCTACTCACACATCCACACTCACACTCTGTTACACACCAGCACAGTCTCTACACACACCTACTCACACATCCACACTCATACTCCATCACACACCAGCACAGTCACTATACACACCTATTCACACATCCACTCACACTCCATCACACACCAGCACAGTCACTATACACACCTATTCACACATCCACACTCACACTCTGTTGCACACTGGTACTCACATATACACACCTATTCACATATCCACACACACTCCGTCACACACTGGCACACTCACTGTCATACAGCACCCTGCACCCACAGCAACACCTATGCACCTACACACCTTGCACACACAGATGCAACCACACCTGTACACACAATACCAACACCCAGAGGCACACCTTGGCGCCTACACACACATCCACATTCATGTACCCTCAATACAGCCGCATTCTCACACACTCATGTCTACCCATCCACACACATGCACACACATATCCATGCACTCGCAGACACCCAGTCCACTCTGCGGAATGTCCCTGTTTAAAAAAATAAAAGAGCTCCTGGCATTTTTTCCCCTGACCTTTCCAATGTCCAGAATGTCAGAGCTGGAAGAGACTTTAAAGAGAACTGAGTCTGCTCATCTCGCTTACTGGTGGGTAAACTGAACCTCAGCTGCAGTGCAGCCCAGCCCTTCCCAGCCTGGTGACGTCACACAATTCTCTTAATGCCACGAAGGCCCTGCTTCCTCTGCTGACTAAAAAAGTTCAATATTCTAATGAATTTAAAAAGAAAAAATAAAGTATAATAGCACTTGCCCTGCAGGATTCTTATCAGGATGAAATGAGACAATGTACATCCAAGCGTTTCATGAATGCAAAAGCACCCTAAACAAGTGTGTAAATGTCATAAATGGGTTCCCAGGACCACCCATGAATAAGCAGCAACGGAAGACTAGAAGCTAGAGCTTTGAGCTCTGCGCAGGCGTCCCATGGTCCTCAACTTTCCAAAAGAAAGACGGGGGGCAGCAGCCCAGACCCGGAAGGCTCTGGGTAATATGGGAAGAACAGGCTACAGCTGGGGCGGGTCATGGCGCCAGGCTGCTTACTCGGGCCCCACCCACACAGTGGTCTCAGGCTTAGGAGAAATCAAGTTTCCAGGTGAAAAGAGTAAACTAGGCATGTCTGACCACTGATATCTACCCAGGCCTGGGCTCCAAGCTCCCAGCGCTCACTCTCTGAGGAAAACCTGCTGGAACAGTCTGGCTGAAGGTGACATTTAGTTAGGATACGGGGCAGAGGCCAACATGTCACTGATCCTATCCCCAAGAAAGGGGACAGACACATGCAACACCGTAGGCTAATCACATGCAGAGGTACTAGCACAGCACCATCCATCTGTCTGCCAGTCTGTCTGTCTGTCCATATTTAGGGGTGTGGTGGGAGTGAACAGAGGTTAAAGCTGGTGGGGGAGGGGTTGGATCTGTTTCTTTGGATTTTTCTCTTAAGCTAAGAAAATACATGTACACATATAGATCAGTGGTGTGTTGGAGCCAATCATGGTTGTCTCTTTCCAAGGCCATGTTCAGTGACACCAGGTTAGTAATTTGAAATTCACCATGGTGGGAGTAGTTACACCATGGAAATTGGCAAACACTTCAAATCAGGACTCCCCGCCATTCCTCAAATCAATTGTTAAACATTTACTAGCACAGCACTGTGCAACATATGTTCCCTGCTCCCCACTGGGAAACTTATGCCCCTTGAACTTTAAACCCAGGTACTTTAAGTACCTGAACTCTCCCCTCCAGCCAATGCCTCGCCATCTTCTTCACCATCAGAGCCTCAGCTTCCTCAACCATAAAATTAGGAGAATAATGATAGCATCTGGAGCAGAGCCTGTTGAACTTCAATGTGCACACGAATCACTGGAGGATCCTGTTAAGATGCAGAATCTGATTAGTCCGTGTCTTAGTCCACTTGTGCTGCTATAATGAAAATATCACAGACTGGGTAATATATAAATAATAGAAATTTGTTTCTTGCAGTTCTAGAGGCTGGGAAGTCCAAGATCAAGGCACCGGCAAATTCTGTGTCTGAGAGGGCTGCTCTCTGATTCCAGCACAGCACATTGCTACTGTGTCCTCACATGGCAGAAAAAAAGAGGGGCAAAAAGGGCCTAGTTAGTTCCTTCAAGCCCTTTTATAAGGGTGCTAATCTATTCATGAGGGTGGAGGCCTCGTGACTTAATCATCTCCTACAGGCCCCACCTCCTAATCCTGTTGCATTGGGGATTCAGTTTCAACATGAATTCTGGAGGGGACATAGACATTGAAACCGTAGCAGTCAGTTCAGGATGGGACCCAAGATTCTACATTTCTGACAAACTCTCAAGTGGTGTTGATGCTGCTGTTCCATAGACCACACATAGAAGAATAGGGACATCTTTATTAACATCTCATTAGTGCCAGGTAAAGGTGTTGAGGCTGCCTTGAATCTTTAACCTCTGGCCTGACCGTCTTCCTCAGCCCCAGACCCCCTCCTGATAGCTTGTCATCTCTATGTAAATGCCCCTCTGGGACCTTTAAAAAAGCTAAAGCAAAATGGAAAATACTTATCCCTTCATCCCAAACACCTCCCTCCAGACTGTGATTCTCCCCAGCCACCCTCTTTCTCTTGCTCATGGCCAGTTGGTAGCAATGACGTTCACCAGGAACATCTTCCCTAAGTGGTGGGAGCTTGCTGCTTCTCTGATTCTATCCCCCAAGCTGGGCCCGCACCCCTCCAGCCCCTATTCATGGAGGTCAATGGCGGTTTTTCTCCCCAACCTTGAGTGGGTGCGGTGCCCACTGTCTCCAGCTTGAAGTCTGAAGGCTCTTGCCTGCCTGGTCTGTACTGTGTCTTGGCCACCCTCTCCCTCAAATGAGTCCCAACTCAGTGCTGCAGCTCACTGTTTCCGGGAAGTTCAAGGGCATCCCGCTGAGATCTGCCCTCTATTCCTTCAAGGTCAGCAGGACAGCTCCTCCCCCTAGGACCCACCCTCCCTTCTCTGGACCTCCTCCTTTGGCACTTATCTCTGTGTTACTCAAAGAGCCCAGGGACTGTTTTCTCAAATTTGTGTCCCTTTTTTTTTTTTTTCTCATGAGACAGAGTCACTCTGTCACCCAGGCTGCAGTGCAGTGGCATGACCTTGGCTCACTGCAACCTCTGCCTTCCGGGTTCAAACAATTCTCCTGCCTCAGCCTCTGAGTAGCTGGGGTTACAGGTGTGCACCACCACACCCAGCTAATTGTTTTTGTATTTTTAGTGGAGACAGATTTCACCACGTTGGCCAGGCTGGTCTCAAACTCCTGACCTCAAGTGATCCACTCGCCTTGGCCTCCCAAAGTGCTGGGATTACAGGTGTAAGCTGCTGCGCCCAGCCTCAAATTTGTGTCTTCTACTTAATTCCCCAATCTGACCAGGAGCTCCCCTAGGGCAGTGATTGTATCTGCAAAATCAAACTGGGGACATCTCCCAGGACAGGGGCTGTATCTCCTGCAGGGGTCAGGGAATCTTCTGGCAGAGCCCAGGTTTCCTGCAAAAACCCGGAATAGGTGACACCGTGTTTCCTACTCCTTCTGCAGCTCTGGCTGTGGGACTTGGGCCTCCTCCCTTTATTCCACCACTTCCCAGGCATGGCTTTCCTGGGCCCAGCCAGACAGAAGAGAGAAAAGCCACTACAATCACTCTTGGGCAGGGGGCTCTCTGTCCAGGGAAGGGTCAGCCTACAGTCTATCTCCTTCACTGACCCCCATAATTCCCCCGACACCTGTTTGCAGTACTATTCCAGCGTGCGAAAGGAGCTCAGGACTCCCAGGGCCATGAAGCCAGTTGCTAATTAATTGCACTAATTAGCAGGGATGAGGCTGGACATCTGGACCCTCTCATGGGTGAGTTCAGACCCTCGGCAATCTCAGGTTGAGGACAGCTGCCCAGCAGGGACATCGTCTCCAGCCTGCCAGACCTGGGGCCCCCTCCCGAGGCACAGAGCACCCCACATATGCTCTGAGCACCCCACATACACTCCAGGCACCCCAAAGGGAGAGGAGAAGCCAAAGCAGGCCAGGGGCAGGGAGTCTGAGACTGGATTCCTGCAGAAGACTTCCCGCCCCAGGCTCCTCTGGAGTGAGGAAGGGAGGGTGGAGGTGCTCTGCCCAGGGCAGGAAGGAACCCCTTTCGGGAGACCAGCTGTACCCCCTCTTCATACCCTTGCTCACACACCATTTACCCCTCATCCTCCTTTCTCCTCAACACCCAGGGGCACTTATTGTCATCTCTATGCAAACACTTCTCTAGGATCTCAAACACGATGGTTCTAAAACAAAAACAAAACCATAAAGACTCATCACCCCTTCCACTCATTCATTCATTCATTCATTCACTCATTCATTCATTCACTCACTCAGTCATTCATTCATTCACTCAGTCATTCAACAAATATTTACTGAGCACTGACCATGAGTCAGGCACTATGCCAGGCACAGAGCACGCAGTTGTAACCAAAACATTGTGTGTACAGGTGATGGAATATTATTCAGCCATAAAAAGAAATGGAATTTTGATATATAGTACAACATAGATCGAACTTGAAAATATTATGCTAAGTACAGTTAGCCAAACACAGAAGGACAAATATTGTAGGATTCCACTTATATAAGGTACCCAGAATAGGCAAATTCAGAGACAGAAAATAGAATAGAGGTTACCAGGAGCTGGGGGGGGAGGGATGGGGAAGTTATTGTTTAATGGGCTCAAAGTTTATTTTGGAGATGATGAAAAAGTATAGGGTATAGACAGGGATGCTTCCACAACAGTGAGAATGCATTTAATGCCACTGAATTGTACACTTACAAATGATTGAAATAGTAAGTACTGTATGTACATTTCACCACCGTTAAAAACCAACAGGCCAGGTGTGGTGGCTCACTCCTGTAATCCCAGCACTTTGGGAGGCCAAGGTGGGCAGATCACTTGAGGTCAGGAGTTAAAGACCAGTCTGGCCGACATGGTGAAACCCAGTCTCTACTAAAAATACAAAAAACTAGCTGGGCATGGTGTTGTACACCTGTAACCCCAACTACTCAGGAGGCTGAGGCATAAGAATCACTTGAACCCCGGAGGCGGAGGTTGCAGTGAGCTGAGATCGTGCCACTGCACTCCAGCCTGCGCAACAGAGCATCACTGTGTCTCAAAAACAATACAAAACAAACAAACAAAAAAACCAGAAGTCCCTACCCACATGGAGCTTAGCTTCTAGAGGAAGGAGATAATAAGCAAAATCAGTGAAATAGATGAAAGACGGTGACACACACTATGGAAAGAAATGAAGTCAGAGAAGGGAAGAGGGAGCGCTGGGTGGGGCTGCAGATTGGATAGGGTCAGGGAAGGCCTGGCTGGGGAGGACCTGTGAGCAAAGCCATGGAGAAGGCAAAAGAGCACGTGGACATCCAGGATAAGCAATCCTGGCAGAGGGAACGGAATGCCAAGGCCCCAGGGAGAACTCACTTCTGGTGCACACAAGGCACTGCCAGGGGGCAGTGTGGAGCTGGCGAAGTGGACAGGAGTATGAAAGGAGGTAAACAAGGTGATGCGCGTTCACCAGAGAGCCCCGAACACCTAGAGCTCATCATGCACGCTGCATATATGCTGCAGTACCCAGCATCTCGCCAGAGTACCTGCTGCGCCCTCTACCAAGTACTTACCAAGCACCTCACCCCTCCCAGACTGGTCCCTCAGCTCTTCCCAGGGCCCACCTCTCACACCCCACCCTCCAACCCCACACCCTTGACTCATGCCTCATACCTTGACCCCACTCCCTCTGCACCCCCTCCCCCAACCCAGGTATCTAGAAACCTTCTTGAACCTCCAGCCCTCTCCTAGCTTCATGGCAACAACATCCAGGCATTCTAGCTCCTACCTGCCCAGCCCTCAGCCCAACCCAGGGTTCTTCCACAATCCTCACTCCCATTTCTCAGATGAATACACCAAGGCTCAGACATATGGAAGGGCTTCAGCTTCTTAACGTTTCTTCTCTTTCTTTCTTTCTTTCTTTTTTTATTTTTGAGACAGAGTTTTACTCTGTCATCCAGGCTGGAGTACAGTGGTGTGATCTCGGCTCACTGCAAGCTCCACCTCCCAGGTTCAAGTGATTCTCCTGCCTCAGCCTCCCAAGTAGCTGGGACTACAGGCGCGCAGCACTATGCCCGGCTAATTTTTGTATTTTTAGTAGAGACGGGGTTTCGCCATGTTGGCCAGGCTGGTCTCGAACTCCTAACCTCAAGTGATCCACCCGCCTCGGCCTCCCAAAGTGCTGGGATTACAGGCGTGAGCCACAACACCTGGCCTCCTTAGCAATTCTTCATCAGAGGAGGGAGGCCTGCATGCAATCACATAAAACAGAGGAGGGAGGCCTGCATGCCATCACATAAAACAGGATCGAAGCTCTTGGAGGCAGCCCATGAACACACACACATGTGAGTGTGCGTGTGTGTGCACATGCCTCCCTAACAGCTCCCATGCAAGGCCCACACTGTAGTAGAAATGGCTGCCACAGAGCTCCACGGAGCAGGAGAGAAGGGAACTGGAGGGTATAGGCTATTGGAGACAGCAGTCTGGACATGTTCTGTACAAGAGAAAGGCACTGGCTCACAGCACACTCAGAAGCAGCCCACCCTAACCTCTCCGAGCCTCGTCGCCCTTGACTCCTTTCTTTCTCACTCAACCCCACAGCCAATCCATCAGCTAACCTGGGTAGCTCTCCCTGCAAAATTCATCCGGAATCTGACCACTGCTCTCCACCACTGCCTCTCACCTGGGTGACTGCAGTAGCCTCCAAATGGGCTTCCACCCTTGTTGCCCCACAGCCTGCTCTTGACCAGTAGCCAGAGGAACCTCGTTCTAAGTCATACCGTGTCCCTGCCCTGCTCAAACCCTGCCTGGCTCTCAGCTTCCTTCAGAGTCAAAGCCCTTGCAATGGTCTGTGAGCACTGCCCCATCTGGCTCCCTTGGCCTCCTCCCCGTGACCTTACCTCCTACCATGCCGGCCTCCCTCCTTCCACTGGTCTCTCTGGCTTCCTCGCCTCTCCCTGAACTGGCCAGGCCAATCCTTCCTCAGGGCCTTTGTGCTGGCTGTTCCCTCTGCCCAGGAGTTCCTTCCCCAAAAATCAGCAGAGTTTGCCTCAGTCAGGTCTTTGCTCAAATGTCACCTTCTCAATGAGGCCCCTCCTTGACTACTCTCTTTAAAATTGAACCCATTCCCACAACACCCTCTATGTCTCCTTTCCTCTTCATTCTGTATAGCACTTATACAAGCACTTAGACACTTAAATAACTGATGTAATTTGCTGTCTGTCTCCCTCCACTAGAGTGTAAACCCCCTGAGGGTAGATGTTTTTGTCTGTTCACTCCTTATCTCCAGTGCTTAGAACAGTACCTGGTACTAAATCGGTTCCCTGTCGAATGAATGAATGAGTCCACCAGGAACTACAGTGAGGGTGAAGCTCCCAGGGAGGGGGCAAGTAGCGAAAGGAAAAAGAAGAAAATGGATATTTGTCTTAGCCTTTCTGAGAACTAAGCACTTTACATTCAGCAGACTGACGCCCAGAGAGGTGAAGTAACTTGCCGGTGGTCGCACAGCTTGAGAAGGGGCGGGGCAGTAAGATATGTGTGTTTGCTTCAAAACCTGTTTAATTTACCCTGTGCTGCCTACAAAATTTTGGCACCCTGACCTTCTGGATACTGTTTCCACCCTGATTGTTCCCCCAAATGCTGTTTCTGACAGCTCTCCCCCTACCCCCATATGGCAGCAATCACAGCCCTCCCTTTCCCCAGCCACACCACACCCACTAGGAATCCTGTTCTGGAAAACCCTGGTGCCCAGTGGTCTGGGTTCTATTACTAAGAACCCCTGTGACCTTGAGCAAGGCTGGTCCCCTTCCCTCCACACCCCTTCGCTCCTCACTGCCCCATGCCCACCCCACACCACACACTCACTGGGAGCATGGAGCTGCATTGAAAGATCCCGGAGATTCCTCTGAGCCTGCTTTAAGTCCCAGACACGTTCTGTAGGCAGGACAAACCCCTACCCTCCACCCAGGCTCCCACCAGTGTATCTGTCTCGCAGAGCGCCTGGGGTGGCTGAACTCCGGTGGAGAGGAGCTGCTGAGATGAGATGGGGCTGGGCTTACTGAACTCCCCACTACAGGGCACAAGATCAATGAAGCTTCCTTAAAGTAGTGAATGAAGTGAATAAACCTGAGCACCACAGGCCTCCTGGGGTCTTGCCAGGAGTCTGAGGGCCAGTCATTTGCTTTTTCGGATGGGACCGCCCCTCTTTGGCAGCACCCACTTTTTAAAACCCTAAGTCTCTGCAGCCCCAGTGGAAGCCTACCTGGATTTATCCCTCTGGTCTGTCTCCCTTAGGTTCTGGGTCAGCCTTGACAACTGTTCCGTGGAGCTGTTGTGAGGATTCAATTAGATTTTAATGTATGCAGAACACCTGCCCAGTGCCTGGAAACAGTAAACAGCAAATGTTAACTAAGGTTGGTGATGATAGGAGGGGCTCCCCAAGGGGCCCGTCTTCTATCCCTCCTTCCAGATTTTGCAGGCTCAGCAGAAAGGACAGAGATTGGGGTTCTGAGGTGGAAAGCAGCTGAGTCTAAAAAGTTAGGCTATATGGAAAGAGTAAGGCTGGAGAAGGGAAAAGATGTTTACTGAGCAACTATTATGTGTGGAATCATCTTCTTTCACCCTCACTGTACTCTGAGCCCGTGATGCCATTGCCTGCCTCCTGCTGAATGTCCGTGCACCTCTGTCATAGCTCACACCGAATTTGCAAGTATTTCTTTCCCCTTCTGTCTTTCCTGTCATGGAACTCCTTGGAGGAAGGGCTGGGCTACATCCTTGTGTGTGTGCCAGAGCCTTGGAAGCATGCAGGCAGGGCAGCTTTACCCTGTTTTCTAAATCAGGAAATGCAGACGTAAGGAAAGTAAGCACCTTGCCCAGGGTCATGCAGCAGGTGAGTGCAGCAGCTGGGTTGGGCTGTGTGACTGCACAGAGGAGTGAGTGAGGAGGAAGAGCCACTAAAGACAACAGAGCCGGGGGGGCAAGGGACCTAGCTGGGCACTGGGGACAAGGAGTCTGGCCTTACAGCCTCCGTGATGTAGCAGCCGCCACACTGTTGCTGCGTCCCCTGCACTTGCTGTGTCCCCCACGCCATGCTAAGAGCTTCACACACGTGATCTCATTTCATCCTCCCAGGTGTCCTGGGAGGTAGGTCCTATTTGCTCATCCCCATTGTATAGGTGAGAACACTGAGGCCCCGGAAGGCAAAGTGACCTGCCATCGGTCACACGGCTGGAAAGAGAAAGAGTCAGGATTAGAACTCAGTTCCTCCTGACTCCAAAGCCCATGTTCTTAACTGCTACCCTGTTTTGCAGACTTTAGAATAGGCAGGAGCCACCCCGCCTCTCCCAGAATGGCCTAGTTCTCACCGTCTCTATTTGAGACTCATTGATTGATTATTGATGGATGTATTTGTGGTCTGGCTCTGGGGCCTCTTGGCCAGGCCCTGGGCAAGGACAAGAATGGGGATGAGGTGGGGGTCTTCCAACCCCAGGAAAGGCCCTCAGGCTGCCTCCCCCAACCCCCAGCATCCCTGCTTCTGGCCTCCACCCCTGCCAACTTCCCTCCGCCCCTGGATTTAAAGTCACAGTGACGATTAATCACCCAATGACATGGAGGGCAGGCTGCAGAGGAGTTAATTAATTAGGGAAATTTCTCCTGGCCCTTTGAAGGTGAAATGTGTGGGGAGGGGACAAGGCCAGGGACAGATATTATTCAAGCTGAACAAGCTGACTCTGGGAGGCTTCGAGAACAACTCCAGGGGAGCTTTGAAAGGATGGAGACCTCACCAGGGTAGCCTGGACCCCGCCTAAGACTGCCCCTCTTAGCCCAGCTCGAGGTTTCAGACACAGTGGGATGGGGTCCTCCTGCGCCAATGGGCTGGGGCAGACCTGGAGGCAGAAGGGCCTCTAGGAACGGAGGGTAATAAGAAGCCAAAGCTGTTATCTGCATTCCCTCACCAAATTAAAATAGCCAATAACACTGCATACGCCAAAACCCCTGGAGAATGATTCGGTGTCCTTTGTACAGCTTGGATGCTCCAGACACACAGACAACTGGGAGGGGACCCTATCAGACCAGCGCACGCTGCAGCGGGGAAGGGAATGGAAGGTCTGGGCTTTTCAACGTCCTCCTTCCTCCTCCTGTCACCGTAGCCTGGAGGGATTGATCCTCTTGCACTGGCTGGGGTTCCCTATTACCTGCCAGGTGGGCAGCTGCCCATTCTCTCCCACAGCTGGAGCAGGCAGTTGACTTGGTCATGAGATTTAGAAACAGCAGGACGCTCCCCCCGACCATGCACCAGGTATCATCCTTCTGCAGTGCCAAGACTTGGAAACTAGAGAGGTATTGAGGGACAGAGATGCTTAGGACCTGGACTCCACCTTGAAAGCACCTACAGACCCTCCTACACCACTGACAGATGAGGCAAAGATCTGAGTCCCAAACATGGTAGATGTGAAGCTCCATGGGATCACAAAGGAGGGCTTCAAAGAGGTGACGTCATCGGGGGTGAATACCTGGGAAGAAAGCTGAAATTTCAACAAGCATCCATTCCAGGCAGAGGGAGCAAAGAAGAGGAGGTAGCAGTTTGCACAGCGCATGTGGGGAAGGGTGAGGCGGTGGACGAGGTAGGCTCAGTCTACGGTGGGTGGACAGGAAGCCTGAGGACGGGGCATGAGGCAGGAGAATTGAGGTGGACGGTGGTGGAGGGCCGTAGAGGATGGGGCTGGACACGACTCAAACATGGTGGGAAGTCAGCTGGAGTTCTGAGACAGGGCCTGTCTCGATGGAGGGCTCTGGGCTTAGAAAGAGCCTATGGCAGCTGGGGACAATGGGTTCTTTGGAGAGGGGTGAGGTGAGGTGGAAACCAGTGGGAAGCCAGGTTTCACAGTCCAGGAGAGAGATGAGGATGGCTTCAGTCAGGAGACAGAGCAAGTGGGGAGCTCCAGGTCACTGTCCACCAACTCCGTGCTGGGCACCGCACCAGAAGCTGCACATTCACCTTCTCGCTTGGATCTCAGAAGCTTCATTATCTCCAGGGCTCCTGGGCACCTAGCGGGGGCTAATGAAGCTGGGTTGAGCAGGTTCTGTACACCTGCACAGGTATCTTTTCTCCATTCCCTCCTCCCCGCTGCCTCTTGACATCTCCTTCCCACCCTGAAGAAGGGCGAGGTGCCTGGACACACTGCTGGTGCCCAGCTCAGGAGTCCTCACAGCGAAATCGTGGAAAGCAAGGCCATGCGGCCCACACCACCCCAGCCTCCTCCCCCATCCCTGCCCCCTCCAATCATTCGTACGACAGGAAGAGAACCTAATCCCGAATCTGAAAAACTATGTGATGGAGGATTTACAGTATTAGAAGGCAAACAGTGGCAGGTGTAATTAGGAGAAAAATTTGTCATGCTCTCGACTCGGGGAAGAGAAGGGAAGGTCTGGCATCACAATCTCCCCAGTGTTTACCCAGCGTGCGCACACACGCGGGGGAGCGGGCGCTGGCCACGGGCAGATTAATATTTGATGCAAGGAAGAGAAACGCATGCTGTTCATGTTTATTTAGGATATTGTGAAATACAGTGAAATTTGCAATTTTATTGGATTTGGGGGGACGGTGTTTTGGAGAAGTCTTAAGCCGCATGGTAGGACACGCACATCTCTCTGGAGCATAGAGGCACCAGCTTTGGTGGCGAGCCCCCTCTACCCCCCTTCCCAAATCCAAACTCTGAGTTCCATTCCCCTCCTGAAATGAGAGAGGATTGGCCCCAGGAGTATGGGTGGAATAAGACAGAAATCTCAGCTGGGCCTCTTAATTTGGAGTTTAGTGGCATGTGGCTGGCACAGAGAGAGGCCATCTCTTAGGGAGGGGGGGAATTCTTGTCAATTACACAAGGGCTGGAAGCCAAGGCTGGGCGGCTTTAAACACTGGTGACCCTGGCCCAGCTTGTGGGGCGCTGGGAGGGAGTGGGGAAAAATGGGAAGAACGCAAGATAAAGAGAGCTGTTCTCTTTGTATCCAAGCAGCTGGTTCATGGAAAGGGCCTTAGACGGCATGAGTCTAACCTTCCTCCTCCAAGGAAGGGCCCAACTCTCCCATTTTTCTTTCCCCAAGTGGTCATCTAGCCTGTGCCTCCACATCCCCAGTGTTGAGAGCTCGTTAGCCCATTTCATTGTCAGATATCGCCCAATGGAGAACTTTTCCTCAGAAACACCTTCCAAGCTACGTAGTTAGGTTGGGATGAGGGGAGGGGAGGGGAGGCAAGGATCAGGGCACATGGTATGCTCACATTTGTGTTAAATAAAGGACAGATCAACAGACAGAGAGAGATGCTTGCACGCACAGTATATTTCTGAAAAAACACATAACAATTGGTAACAGTGGTTGTTTCTGGAGAAGGAAGCTGGATGACGATGAGCCGGAGGAGCCTGGGCAGCCGGAGGAGCCTGGGCAGCCAGAGAGAGAGACCTTCTTTTCGCCATACATCCTTTGACCAATTTGAATTTTTCATCATGTGAACTTAATATTTTTTCCTCAATAAAAATCTGATTTTCGTTTTTAAAAAGAACATATTTTCTACTCCAAGAACAAGCTGAGATAAAGAGAAAATAGTACGGTATGAAAAGCCATAGGATGAGCTATAGGGAGCAGAGGAAAGAAAGGGCTGCAAGGAGATGGAATACACAGCAGCAGAATGTACACCACGCATGCTGGTAGGTGGGTGCACGCACGGAGAAATCACGCTGATCACTGTATTCAACTAAAGGCTGTCTGTCTCATTGCAGCCTCCACCACTTTCCCACTGTCCTAGTTCTACCAACTGGGTCATGCAGAGGAAGTCCTTTCCCTCTGCCCCACGGCAGCCCTTCAGGTGTTTGAAGATAGAATGAAATTCCCCTAGAACCGTGGCTGGCACCTATAAATATCCGAGCTGGCCCTCTTGCACCAAGTCTTCTCTCCCTTACCACATCTTGCCACTCCTTTTCTCCAGGACATGACTTCTCCTGCCCTCATGAGGCCTGCCCCTGAGGTCAAACGCTTCTCTTAGGCTGGGAGCTCGGAGCGGGGCCGAGATGCCTCCAGGTTGGGGGCGTCTCTGCAGTTGTCTCACACTCTCTGACTTGGACTGAGGCGCCACCTTCTTCAGCACAAACTGTGGACATCTGGAGCCTGATGGCCTCAGAGACCATCCAATTCCCACATTTTAAAAATGGGTAGGCCGGGCGCACGGTGGCTTACGCCTGTAATCCCAGCATTTTGGGAGGCCAACACGGGCGGATCACCTGAGGTCAGGAGTTGGAGACCAGCCTGGCAAACATGGTGAAACCCTGTCTCTACTAAAAATACAAAAAAGGCAGCTAGATGTAGTGGTGCACACCTGTAGTTCCAGCTACTCGGGAGGCTGAGGCACGAGAATTGCTTGAACCTGGGAGGTGGAGGTTGCAGTGAGCAGAGATCACGCCACTGCACTCCAGCCTGGGTGACAGAGTGAGACTCCATCTCAAAAAAAAAAAAAAAAAAAAAAAAAAAAGGAAAAAAGAAAAAGAAAAGGAGTAAACTGAGGCCTGGGACAGGGCACGGACTGGCCTGAGGTCATGGAAATGAGATCTTCCTGTGTCTACTTCTCCTTCCTCTTGTGAGCCTGCGGAAGCTCCCAGCAAGATGGAACCTTGGGCAGGCCCCTGGGAGAAGTGGGAGCAACACTAGCCAGCCTGCTGTTGGAAGTGGCTCTGCTTCCAGGATAGACAGCAACAGAACCCAAGAAAGGGCAAGCCAGACAGGGCGTGAAGTTAACTTGGGCTTGCAGGAAAGACAGAGGTGAGGCAGGCACCAGCATGCGGTGTCAGTGGGAGGGTGGCTATGCTGATGCTTGAGTGTACCGGTGTGTGTATGTGTGTGTTGTGCATGCACACGTGAGTCCATGTGGTGTGAGGTATGTGCCTGTGTAAGTGCAGGGACTCTGTGTGCATCTGTGTGTGCACATATGAGTACTGGAAAATATGCACACTGACAATGACCAGGGCGTGAGTGTGTGTACCTGTATGCTCTCTGTCTCTGCTACAGCCCTCAGCATACTGACTTGTCTGCATTTGTTCCTAAAGCTGCCTCTTCCCCTGAGCTATAAGCTGAGATTCTGCCTTTTTTAAAAAAAAATCTCCGTAGTCCCAATGCCAAGTACAGCACATGGCATCTAATAGGTGCTCAGTCAGTGTTTGCTGGACTGACCTGTTTGAACTGAATTGAACCGAACTGAACTGAATTTCCCCAGTGTGTCTCTGTGCATAGGAGTCTGTACCGGGGAGAGGGAATGAATCTGCGCCACGTGGGCAAATGCTCGTGGAGTGTCTGTGCATGCGTGTCTGGGGTGAGTCTTCACATTTACATGTAGGTCTGTGTGCATGCTGTGAACATGCCCTGGCACAAGCGAATTCAAACCACACGGAGGGAATGTGCCTACGTGTGTATGCATGTGTGTGTGTGAGTGTGTGCATGCACATGCCCACTCCCACAGCCTTCTCATACATCCAGGCAGCCCGCTGGCACCCCAGCTTCAGCTCAGCCAGGCTTCCTCCCCGTAAACCTGGAGCAGCTAAAATTAGTATGAAAATGGTAGTGTTCGGTTAAAAGGAACGGGGGTGGGAAGAGATGAGGGTACCCATGAGTGCTATTTTATTTCTCAGTGAGAGGATAAAGTGATTTTTCCTACATAATTTTTGATGTAGAGGCTAAATTAGGCCGGAGAAGAGGGACAAAGCAACTTTCGCCCTCATTAGTATTCTGGCCGCGTTGGCCCAGGCACGGCAGTTATGTATTTTTGCAAGTATGCATATAATTTATTGTGGAGAACACAATTTACATGGTAGTCGATGCCTGTTTTATAGCCTCACAAATAGATGTATGAACTCAAGCATATAATGGCCCAACCAGCAGGCGCAAATACGTTCTAAATCTTCTAAATGTGCTTCACAAAAATGTAACTGAGGAATATAAAACAGATCAATTCTTGCATGTTATATATTGGTTTTTGATTTACAAATCTAATCTGGGACATTTCTTCAGAAATGAGGGGATTTTTCCCCCACGCTTTCCCCTCCTCTTCTTCCACAACTTCTCTGTGCACAGACCTCGCCTGCTGGTCAGGTGCCAGCAGGCATTGCCACTTCTGGGATATGCCTAGGTGCCCGTGTGTGTGCTCATGTGTGGGGGCCACGCTCTTGCCTGTCTGCCTGGGTGTGCACTCGTATGTGTGTCAGGAATCTGCAGACCTCGGGTGGAAGGGAGAGAGTGGTTTCTCTCCATCTGTGTGACCTCCCCCATTTGAGGCTGAAAATTTGGGGAGAAGGGCTGATGAGAGGACCCCATGGGGGTGTGGGCATCTCTCAGATGTGTTCCCTCTGGGCTTCTGCTTAAACGGCCTATTTTCTTCTGAGACCCAAGCTGTCTTCATGACTTATTGGAGCAGAAAAGGGAATGAGGATCCTAGGGATGAAATTAAACTAATATGTGTTGAGTTGCATTTTAAATGTGCATTTTATCAGAAATATTTTAATCAACCTATCTTTAGGTACATGGCTTTTTAAAAAGCCCATTCCATCAATAGTTGAACAGACACATAAATGATGGTGTACTCATAAAATGGAATATGATACAGCTAAGAAAATTTGAGCCAACGACTGCTTCCTACAACAGCATGGGGAATCTCACAAACAGAATGTAAAATGCAAGAAGCCGGACCCAAAAGAGGACCTGCTACTTGATTGGATTTATCAAGCACGAACTGAACCCAACTATTGTGTGTAGAGATGGCAAAACTATCAAGGAGAGCAAGAGTATTTGCCATAAAGGTCAGAATGGTGGTTTTCTTTGGGGAGGAGGATTGGCTAGAGTACAGGAGGGGCTTCTGGGGAGGTGGTAATGTTCCTCTTGACCAAGTGGTGGTTTCATGGATATTCACTTGGTGATAAATTACTGAGCGGTACTTTTTAAAAATCCACTTTCTGTATGTGTCTTATATTTTGCAATCAAAGCATTTACAAAAATAGCCCTTAAGGACTTATAATAAAAAGCAGGCACCCCAGCTCCACCCACCCCAGCCCTGTTTCCCTGAAGGCAACTACTGGTAACCATTTCCGGATGTTCTCTCCAATCTCTAGAAATGTTGTGGAGTTTCTTTCGAATCTATCAGTGAAATTGTATAATCCTTTTTATTTCTGTAAGGTCAGTGGCAAGGTCTCCACTTCCATTCCTGACTTTAGTAATTTCAGTTTTCTCTCTCTTTTTTTTTTTCTCGGTCAGTTTAGCTAAAGGTTTGTCAATTCTGTAGATCATTTCAGACAACCAACTTTTGGTTTTGCTGATTTTTCTCTATCGTTTTTCTGTTCTCTGTTTCATTTATCTCTGTTCTAATTTTTTTATTTGCTTGCTTTGGATTTAGTTTGCTTTTTTTTTTTTTAGTAAGGTGGAAGGTTATTGATTTGAGATCTTCTATTTTAAGGTAGGTGTTTACAGCTATAAATTTCCCTCTGAGCACTGCTTTTACTGCATCCTGTAAGTTTTAGTATGTTGTGTTTTTGTTTTCATTCGTCTCAAAGTATTTTCTAATTTCCCTTATGATTTATTTTTTGACCCTTTGGTTAGGAGTGTGTCGTTTAATTTTTACATATTTGTGAATTTTCAAATTTCCTTCTGTTTTTGACCTTCTAATTTCATTACTCTGTTGTCAGAGAACATATTTTGTGTAATTTCAATTTTTCTAAATTTATTGAGATTTGATTTGTGGCCTAAGATATGATCTATGCTAGAGAATGGTCCGTGTGCACTTGAGAAGAATGTGTATTCTGCTGTTGCTGGGTGGAATGTGCTCTTCAATCGCCGTTAGAAAGCAGTGTCTGTTAGGTCTAGCTGGTTTACAGTGTTTTTAAAGTCTTCTATTTCCTTACTGATCTCCTATCTAGTGTTCCATCCATTACATCGATGAAATTTTTTATCTCATCTATGTGATACTTATAAGGTACAAGTCACAGCCCTAATTTCAGGAGGTTCACAATCCAGTGGGGGTGGGGGAGCTTCACTTCTACCTAGCTGGGCCACCCCATCCCTGATCTCCAATATGGGAGGATCGCCCTCATCCCCATACTGTCTTGCAGCCTGGGGTCTTGGGCTGTGCAACTCCCCATCAGCCTCAAGTATCTCCATCTCTCCCATTCCCACGGTTACTAACCCTGGTGCAAACAAAGCAGAACTGGAAGAGGTCTCGAAGACCACGTGGAGGTCAATGCCCTTGTGGTACAGATAGGGAAACTGAGGCCCAGAGAGGGGCAAGATCTTTTTCTAGGTCTCCTGGAGAGCCAGGCCCAGTGATGTCCTATCAATCATCTGCTCAGCCCACAGCACCATGATCTAGTGGCTATCGAGAAAAAGGGACCAGTTGATGTCACCCTCTGTGTCATTTCCATTTGTAGTATGGGGTGGTGGCAGACAAGGCCAGTATTAGAGGGGGTGAGGGGGCTGTGTTGAACACACATCCCAGAGCACTTAGAAGACCTACGCTTCCATCCTAGCTTAACCACTCTGAGCTGTGTGAGCTTGAGCAAGTCACTCTCCTGCTCTGAACTTCAGTTTCCTTATATGCAAAATAGAAAACATCGTAAGCACTGCCACCATTCATTGAGTCCCTACCAAGTACCCAGTACTGTACTCATACAATTTCATTCAGTCCTCCTGACCGCCTTGGGAGAGGTCAGTACCTTTGGCATAGGAAGAAAGAGAGGCCCCATAAAGCAAACCACCCACCCAAAGCCACAGGTATTCAACCCTCACCCTCTTAAGGCTCCAAAGCTAAAGCACAGAAGCCGCCCGGCCACATGGCCCTCCATCCACCCTTGCAGTGTGGGTTTACATATTTACGGGAGGAGGCGGGGCGCAGTTAAAGAGGGACTGAGTGTCAGCTGACGCTCACCATGGGATTACTGTTAATTTCCTCAGGTGTGATCCTGGCATGGCCAGTTAGTGAGAGGTACTTACTGAAGTCATTCCACATGAAGTCACCTGATATCTGGGATTTGTTTTCAACTACCCTGGCAAAAAAAAAAAAAAAAAGAGGGGACAGATGAAACGAGATGGACAAAGCTAATAATTGTTGCAACTGAGTAGTGGGTACTCGGGGTTCATTAAATGCTCTCTCCGGCTTTTAATGTTTGAAATTTTTCACAAGAAAACATTAACGAAAACCCTCACGTGTCCTGACTCCAGGTAGAATCCACCTCAGGAGAGCTGGTGGTTTTCACATAAACTTGCCCCTGCTCGGGGACCCACCCGAACCTCTCAGCGTCCCCGATGCCAGCAGGAGTCTGGTCGCTGGGTGGGGTTGGCTGTACGGTCTGGAACACAGGTGTGGCTGCGTAACCACATGTGTTTCCCTGCCTGCCCTGGTCACCCAACCGCAAGGGGACCCACCATTCCCCAGTGTCGGGACCATCAAGACAGCCATTTTCTCCCTTGACCCAGGACAGCCCTCCTGAGGGAAAATGGAAGGAACGGAAGCCTTTGCTTTAAATAATGGGGGGGAGGGGGCGTGGACGGCATGGCTCTGCAGTTCCCTTGCCAGACAAACACACCCCAGCTGGGGGTCTTCTCTTGCCAGGAAGGGGAGGCTTGAGCTGGACTTCTAGGCCTGTATTCACAGCTAGCATCTCCATGGCAACAAGCCAGTTAGAGGGGCCTCAGCCCGGGCCCGGCCCCTGGGGCCACTTATCTGCACCCACCTCAGGAGGGCGGCATTAATAGGCTGGTGCCTGCTCCCAGCTCTCAGCTCCCAGGCCTCCCTATGACTCCCATCCACACCGCACAGACACTGTCCCTGATATAAGGAGCCCAGGAGACAGAGGCCCCCTCCCTGGCCACACACTCACACACACACACAGCACACACACATTCTCTCAAACTCTCTTCCTCTCACACATACACATACACACTCACACTCTGTCTCACATACTCACACACTCAACACATACATGCACAGAAGTATACCTTTCTCTCTCACAGACACACACGCTCTCACACTCTCCCGCGTCTCTCTCCCTCTCACGTACACACCCGCAAGCACAGTCTCTCACACACATTCTCTCACACCCTCTTCCTCCCTCTCACACACTCATACTCTCTCCCTCTCACATACACACACACCCAGCACACACACTCTCACATACACACCCCAGCACATTCTCTCACACACCATACACAGCACTCTCTCACACATGCACACACGAACACACAATACACACACACTCATGCACACACACACTACACACACATTCTCATACTCTCACACATACACATACACTCTCACACGTAAACACATACACAGAAGTATACCTTTCTCACAGGCACACACACATCCCCCATCTCCCTCTCTCACACATCCGCAAGCACACACACATTCTCTCACACACTCTTCCTCTCACACACCCATACACACAGTCTCACATACACACACCAGCACACACTCTTATACACACACATACACCAGCACACACTCTTACATCCAAGCAGTCTTACACACACACCAGCACACACTCTTACATACACATACACACACCAGCACACTCTTACACACAAACATATACACAAGCACACTCTTACACACACCAGCACACCCTTACACACACACCAGCACACACTCTTACATACACATACACACCAGCACACACTTACACACATACATATACACCAGCACCTTCTCTTACACATACACTAGCACACACACTCTTACATACCAGCACACACACTCTTACACACATACACACACCAGCACTCTCTTACACACATGCCAGCACACACTATTACACACATACACACACCAGCACACACTCTTACACACCAGCACACACTCACACACATGCACTCACACCCTGTGGTCAGTTCAGTGGGAGGAAGGAGGAGGCAAACATTGATCCCCTACTCATACACACGCTCCCACCCACACACTCTCTCTCACATACACACACACCCCAGCACACACCCCACCCACTGGAGCACCTGCAGTGCTCCAGTCTGGGAAGCTCCTGGCTCTCATGTCCGATGCCAGACGCCCCAGTGTAAGCTACGGAACCTCTCTGCCTAGTTTCCTCATCTCTACCTTGAACATAATTAGACCAACCACCTATATCAGGTGTAAAACTTAAATTTCATCATGAGAACACAGTAGATGCCCAATAAATACTTCCTCCTTCCTCCCACTGAACGTGGGAAGATTCTGTTGTCTTTGGAAGACTCTGCTGGGCTCTGGCTTAGTGAGGTCTGGGAGTCGCACAGCTCACCAGGTGTGCAGGGCTCTGCTGTGGACCATGGGCCTGATGTGAGCAGCCAGGTGCTTTCTCGGAGCCTTAGTCTCCTCCTCTCTGGGGCCATAAGGACTAATGAGTTAAGAAGTCATTTAGTACCGTGCTTGGTATGTCCTCGATGTTGGTAGTGTTGTAGGAATAAGAATAATGACAGAGCCATGATGCTGAGAAACAGGGCTTACTGTGTCCCCAGCTCCCCACTGACACATGAGCTCGGCTGGTTCTGAAACGTCTATGTGGGAGCTAGAACATCCCGATTTCAGATGGGAAATGAAGGTTTGGAGACTAAGAAACTCATTCAGGCCACAGAGCTAGAAAGTGGTGGTGTGGGGCAGCCAGCTCTGCACCAATCTCAGGGCCACAGTGCAATCAATGCTCGGGAAGCGGTGCTACTGTCATTATTAATTAGAGAGAGCAGATGGATCACAGACTTGCTTAGCCGAGAGCCAGAGCCCTCACTTGGCAGAAGACAGGCATGAGGGCCTAAGTGGGGCAGCCCCTCACTGAGGTCACCCCTGCGGTCAGCAGAGCTCTGGGCACCACCTGGTCACATGCCCGACATCACAGGCCCAATCTCGTGTTCCTAGAGTGCCCTCCCCCAGATCGGGCTGCTGAGGAGAATTTAGCATCTGCAGTTGACTGGGACGGCAAGGGGACTGGGGGGCCTGAGTGGGCTCTCAGTGGCAGAGACCCCTGAATCCTCCCATAAATCCCCCCATATAGTCTTTCTTTTTTCCCTTCCTCCTCCCTCCCTCTCTTCCCTCTTTCCTTTCGCCTTAAATAAGTTTGAATGTTTCAGTTCCTTGTAAGCGATCTCTCACCCTCACCAAGACTGTGCCCCTACCCTGCCCCATTCTTCAAGCTGGACAGCACACAGGGGTACCTCTGCCACTTCTGCAGAATCCCTGGCCCGGCCCAAGGAAGCCAACCCCCGCAACTTCTTCGTTTCCTCCTCTGTGGAATTGGGGTATTGAGTCCTAATTCACAAGGTTGTTGTAAGGACTAATGGAGAGAGCTTAGAAAAGCCCAGAGTGAGCCGGGCACGGCGGCTCACACCTGTAACCCCAGCACTTTGGTAGGCTGAGGCATGTGGATCACCTGAGGTCAGGAGTTTGAGACCAGCGTGGCCAGCATCGTGGAACTCCATCTCTACTAAAAATACAAAAATTAGCCGGGCTTGGTGGCAGGCACCTGTAATCCCACCTACTTGGGAAGCTGAGGCAGGAGAATTGCTTGAACCTGGAAGGCGGAGGTTGCAGTGAGCCAAGAGCATGCCGCCACTGCACTCCAGGCTGAGCAACAGAGTGAGACTCCATCTTGGAAAAAAAAAAAGGAAAAAGAAAAACCAAAAGAAAAGAAAGAAAGAAAAGCCCAAAGTGAGGTTGGGAGCAGTGGCTCATGCCTGTAATCCCACTGTGGGAGGCCGAGGTGGGAGGTAGCTGCGACTACAGGCATGCTCCACCACGCTCAGCTAACTTTTTATTTTTTGTAGAGACAGGGTCTCCCTATGTTGCTTAGCTTGGTCTTGAACTTCTAGGTTCAAACCATCCTCCTGCCTCAGCCTCCCGAAGTGCTGGAATTACAGGCATGAGCCACTGTGCCTGGCACAGTACTATTAATTACAGCCCTCCTACTGTGCAACAGAACACCTCCTATCTAACCATAACTTTGTATCTGTTGACTAATCTCTCCCCATCCCACCCTCCCTACCCCCAGCTCCCTGTTTCTGGTAACCACTATTTTACTCTCTACTTCTGTGAGAACAATTTTCTTAGATTCTACATATGAATAAGATCATGCAGTATTTGACTTTGTGTGCCTTGCTTATTTCACATAACATAATGTCCTCCAAGTCCATCCCAATCCATCATGTTGCCACAAATGACAGGATTTCATATTTTCATGGATTAATAGTATTCCATTGTTTCTATGTACCACATTTTCTTTTTTACTCATCCACCAATGGACACTTAGGTTGATTCCATATCTTGATTATTATGAATACCCCTGCAATAAATAAAGGACTGCAGATGTCTCTTTGACATACTGATTTCATTGCCTTTGGATCCAGTAGTGGGATTACTGGATCATAGTAGTTCTATTCCTTCCTGGATCATAGTCCTTTTCTTTCCTTTTTCCTTTCTTTCCTTCCTTCCTACTTTCTTTCCTTCCTTCCTTCCTTCCTTCCCTCCCTCCCTCCTTCCTCCCCTCCCTCCCTCCTTCCTCCCCTCCCTCCCTCCTTCCTCCCCTCCCTCCCTCCTTCCTCCCTTTCTGTCTTTCTGTCTTCCTAGTCTTTTCTTCCTCTTTTGAGATAGGGTGTCTCTCTGTTGTCCAGGCTAGAGTGCAGTGGTGTAATCATAGCTCATCACAACTTTGAACTCCTGGGCTCAAGCAATCCTCCCATCTCAGCCTCTCAAAGTGCTTGGATTACAAGCTATTTTTAATTTTTTGAGGAACCTCCATACTGTTTCCCATAGTGGCAATACTAATTTACATTCCCACCAACAGTGTATAAGAGTTCCCCTTTCTCCACAACCACACCAGCACTTGTTATTTTTTGTCTTTTTGATAATAGCCATTCTAACTAGGGTAAGATGATATCTCATTGTAGTTTTGATTTGCATCTTCCTGATGATTAGTGATGTTAGGGCCAAATGAAGTGGCTCATGTCTGTAATCCCAGCACTTTGGGAGGCTGAGGCGGGCAGACCACTTGAACTCAGGAGTTTGAGACCAGCCTGGACAACATGGTGAAACCCTGTCTCTACAAAAAATACAAAAATTAGTCAGGCATGGTGGCACACATCTGTGGTCTCAGCTACTCAGGAGGTTGAGGTGGAAGGATGGCTTGAGCCTGGGAGGCAGAGGCTGCAGTGAGCCTAGATCGTGCCACTGCACTCCAGCCTGGATGACAGAGCCAGATCCTGTCTCAAAAAAAAAAAAAGTGATGTTAAACATTTTTTCATATACTTGTATACTTGTTGGCCATTTTCATTTCTTCTTTTGGGAAATGTTTATTCAGGTCTGTTCCTTGATTTTTAATCAAATAATTTGTTTTTTCTGAGACAGGGTCCCAAGCTGGAGTGCAGTGGCATGACCATGGCTCACTGTAGCCTCAACCTCCTGGGCTCAAGCAATCCTCCCTCCCCAGTCTTCTGAGTAGTTTTCTGCTACTGAGTTATTTGAGTTCCTTACATCTTCTGGAGAGTAACCCCTTATCAGATGCATAGTTTGAAAATACTTTCTCCCATTCTGTACCTCACTCTGCTGATTGTTTTCTTTGCTGGGCCAAAGTTTTTCAGTTTGATGTCATCCCACTTTCTTCTTCTGCTTTTGTTGCTTGTGCTTATGAGGTCTTATCCAAAAGAACTTTTCCCAGACCAATGTCATAAGGCATTTCCCCCATGTTTTCTTCTAGTAGCTTTATAGTTTGGGGTCATGTGGACTCTTAAGGCTAGAAAGGACCTTAGAAATCAGCTTACCCAACTCTTCACTATCCAGATGGAGAAACTGAGGCACAGGGAGGGGTGTGCTGGAAGTTACCAGCATTTAGGTGGCAGTGTTGCTGGTGAGATCTCTCAGCACAATCCTTGGATTGAGGGGCAAGGATGGGTGATGTCCTCTCATTGTTCTAAGAGGTTGCCAAAAAATCGTGCTGGGGACAGGTGAACCAAGATACAGAGAAAGGGGCGGCATTAGTTTCCTAGCACTGCTGCAGCAAATTGCCACAAGTTTGGTGGCTTCAAGAGACAGAAATGTATTCTCTCACAGTTTCAGAGTCCAGAAGTCTGAAATCAAGGTGTTGGCAGGGCTGCTTCCTTCTGGAGGATCTGAAGGAGGATCTATTCCTTGTCTTTCTCCCACCTTCTGGAGGCTGCTGGCAATCTTGGTGTTCCCGGGCTTGTAGCTGGGAGTCATTCCAATCTCTGCCTCTGTCCTCACATGGCCTTCTTCTCTATGTTTCTCTGTGTCTCAAATCTGCCTCTTCTGTCTCTCATAAGGAAACCAGCCATTGGATTTAGACCCACCCTGAATTCAGGATGATGTCATCTCAAAATCCTTAATTACATCTGCAAAGACTCTATTCTAAATAAGGTCACGTCACGGGCACTGGGATTTAGGTTTTGGCCATATCTTTTGATGAACACAGTTGAACCTGCTCCGAGAGCTCCCAGGGTCACCATGGAGGAGGGGAGAGCGGTAGCAGCCCCAGAGGTGACCGTCTCGGTGATGGCCTATCCTCCCAGGCCGGGGCATGCCCTCCTTTCTCATTCTCACCCTGCAGATGAATAAATTCAGACCTGCTGCTGGCTCCTGCCACTGGGGCCAAGGCCAGATGTATATTGGGAGCACCAGGTCTTTGAGGGACCTTTTCACGTCTTCCCACTTGAGGGGCACTGTGCTGGATGCTGGGGAGGAGCCGAGTTCCTCTTTCCGAGGCTCTCACAGTCTCCCGAGGGAGCCAAACCCAAACTCCCACATGGAGGCCTGAGACTGCGGGGCAGAGGCCAACACAAAGCTGTGGGGCTGCTGAGGGGACAAGGAGGAGATGCAGGAGGGACAGGAAGTGAAGAGAAGGATTTTGAAGGAGAGAAGTGGTGAGGAGGTTCCCATGTGAGGGCCAGGGCCCTAAGAGCCCTTGGTTCAGAGAAATGCTGCAGCCTGTGTGATTCTGGGGGCGGGTGCCTGGAGGACCCTCTGCTGGAGTGCCCAGGATGACCCCAGGGGATTCTTACCACATCTGGTGTCATGGGCTGACCCCTCTGCCAGGCTCTGAGCTCCTGAAAACAGAGGCTAGGCATTCCATTACAGCATCCCCAGCACGAGGCCTGGCATGCCCCTTGGGAACCTCAAAGTAGAGGACCACCCACCAATCTCACCTCCGACACATTATTACCCCATTATTACCAATTATTACCATCAGTGACTGACTCCACAGTGTCTTTCTTTCCATGCTTGTGTTTTCTGTTGTTGTTGTTGTTTGTTGTTGTTGTTTTTGATAAAGTTTTGCCCAGGCTGGAGTACAGTGACGTGATCATGGCTCACTGCAGCCTCAACCTCCCGGGCTCAGGTGATCCTCCCACCTCAGCCTCCCAAGTAGCTGGGACTACGGGCATGTGCCACCCACCCAGATAACTTTTTATTTTTTATAGAGATGGAGTCTCCCTATGTTGCCCAGGCTGGTCTTGAACTCCCAGGCTAAGTGATCTTACTACTTTGGCCTCCCAATGTGTTGGGATTACCAGCATGAGCCACCTCGCCCAGCCTCTTGGTTTCTTTATGTACCACCATGGATACACACATGCACACACACACACCCCCTTCAAGGATTGGAGACAGCTTGCAGAAAATGCCCAACAGGGTAAAATAAAATTTAAATAAGTGGAGGTGAAATTGGGACCAAGGGAAAATGTGGGTGGAGATACTAATATCGGCATCATGCGTTGAGTGCCTGCTGTACACAGGATGCAAATTGGTGCTTCCAATTTCTCAGGGGAGGAATGGAGCCCAGCTAGGGAGGAGACTGGTCATCTCAGGCTCCCAGAGCTTTACATTTGGAAAAGCTCCTGGAAGTGCCTGAATTCAGTCTTCTACACAAAGTGAAATGCTCTCTACTTCATTACTTCACTGCTCATTTGTTAATTTATGCAACAAATCCTTATAGAGCACCTACTGTGTGCCTGCTGATAAGCACTGGTCAGAGCCAATCCTCGCTCTTCACGAAGTGCCCTCCGTGGGTGGTCTCTCTGGTGCCACTTGCTCTGTTGCTCTGTTCTGCTGCAGGGAAGATGGACACAGGTGCAGAGATGAGGCCCAGCCCGCCAGGGCCTCTTAATAAGACAGACAGTGGAGCCCAGACCCACCTAGGTTTTCTGGAATGAGAAAGACATCAGTGCTGAGCATTCTCCTACATTGCATTTCATTGAATGTGTCATAATGAATTGTGATTCTGGGCTGGAAGCTCAGCTTCTCTGTGCCTCTGAAACCTCATTAGTAAGGTGGAGAAATGTACCAATGTTGGTTTCTTAGTTTTGAAAAAATACTATGCTGGCCGCTGACGTAAGATGTTAACAGTAGGGGAAGCTGGGTGGGGAGCTTATGGGAACTCTCTGCACTACCTCTGTGACTTTTCCATATAGCTGAAATTATTCTAAAGTGAAAAGTTTATTTAAACAATTAAAGGACCTGTCTGACACATTGGCTGTGAGGAAGACTTACTCAGAACACTGTTGTTTTGTTTTGTTTTGTTTTTTGAGATGGAGTCTCGCTCTGTCACCCAGGCTGGAGTGCAGTGGCGCTATCACGGCTCACTACAACCTCCCCCTCCCAGGTTCAAGCGATTCTCCTGCCTCAGCCTCCCGAGTAGGTGGGATTACAGGTGTGCACCACCAGGCCCGGCTAATTTTTTGTATTTTTGGTAGAGACGGGATTTCACCATGTTAGCCAGACTGGTCTCAAATTCCTGACCTCAGGTGATCCACCCACCTCAGCCTCCCAAAGTGCTGGAATTACTGGCATGAGCCACTGTGCCCAGCCCAGAGTCTCACTTTTTTTGCCCAGGCTGGAGTGCAGTGGCACAGTCTTGGCTCACTGCAACCTCTGCCTCTGGGGTTCAGGCAATTCTCCTGCCTCAGCCTCGCGAGTAGCTGGGATTACAGGTGTGCACTACCATACCTGGCTAATTTTGTGTTTTTAGTAGAGATGGGGTTTCACCACGTTGGCCAGGCTGCTCTCAAACTCCTGACCTCAAGTGGTCCACCCACCTCAGCCTCCCAAAGTGCTGGGATTACAGGCGTGAGCCACCACGCCCCGCCAGCACACTGTTAAGCATTGGTCATTGTTACTGGATTCTCACAAGCTATTGTGATGGAGATTTCTAATTCCCATGTTTCAGACTAGCCTCAGAGAAGTTCTGTGACTTGCCTGAGGTCACGCAGATAGCATCAGGCAACATCTGGATTTGAACTCAGGCCTGACATGCTCCAAAGGCCACAATTCTTCTACCACACTGTGCCCCCTTCTAGCATCTCAGTGCTTTTAGTGACAAGGACATGACCACTTTGCCTGGAACAGTTCTGTGAGGTGGGAACTGATCATTATAGTTAGAAATTATCAAATGTGCCTTCCTGTACATTTCATGTAGGCATATTTTCCTGTAGCTTTCATGGGTTGATCTTGGCTCCACTGCTTAGGATTGCATACAGCACATCTCCATCCTGTGCCCCATGCAGCCCTCAGGTGTGTTAAGCAGAGTCCACATTCTATGCTGAGGTCAAGCTCCGTGGTGCGCCCCCCGACCCATAGCACAGCCAGAATGCATTGCTCAGGCCTCAGTTCCAAAGACCAAATGGATGTCCACCTTCCCCAGCCCTAGTCCCCCGAGCAGGCTCACCTCATTTGGTCAGCTTCCCTCTTTAAGTGAGGGGCTCAGAGCAGACCCAGGGCTCTGGGTGAGGCCCCCTCATGCTGAGCCATTCTCTTCCTCAAGGGATCTGAACGTCTTGGTTCTGCTCCTGCAACCTGGGAGTAAGGTAGCTTTAGAGCAGCCTTCTCTTGCTACCCAGATGAGGTAAGAAGAGCATGATCCAGGCTGCTGGAAGCTGCAAGTCAGAAGACACAAGCGTTCAGTCCTGGTGTCTCTGTGCGGTGGTGTGGTCTTGGGCAGTCCTTTAACTCTCCTAGGCCTCAGTTTCCTCATCTGTAATATACAAAGATCAATAACGATACTTCTTGTCCCCTCCTACCTCCCAAATGAGCCTGGAATGAGACAGGACGCCCAAGCTTTGGCCGTCCCGCAACCCTTAATATTTCCCTACAGATGAGCACATCCCACGAGGGACCCTAATGCCAGTTTTCTTGCATTTTTCCCCAGGAAGTGTGTGATTTCCTTTAGGGCAGCAACTCTGTTTTATTTACCTTTAGATTCCCCAGTGCCTAATAAGATTAACATCAGAAAACACTTACACAGCACTTAGTCTGGGCCATGGTCAAGCTTGTGAGGTAGATCCCATTATTACCCTTATTTTATAGACGAAAAAGCTGAGGCACAGAGAAATCCCCAGTGCTGTACCTGGCACAAACACGTGTCCAACATCTGGCTTTGTTAGATGGATGCAAGCGTGGATGGGTGAATTAATGAGGGGCCTGGTGGATGAGTAAGTGGATGAGTGGGTGGATGGAAGGATAGATGGATGGACACATGGGTGGGCAGAGAGATTAGTAAATAGATGAGTGTATAGGTGAGTGGGTGGGAGTGGGAAGGCGCGTGGAAGGATGAAAGAATGGATAGGCAGATGGATGGGGGGATGAGCGGATGGGTAAATTGATGAGTGAATGGATGAATGGATGGATGGATGGTGGCAGGCGGATGGATGGTGGCAGGTGGATAGATGGCAGATGTGTGGATGAGCGAGTGAATGGATGAGAGTGGATGAGTGGACCGGTGCATGGTTAGTGGTTAAGTTCTTGTGTTATCAAGTCCTGAGAGTGGGGAGATAATTTTGGGACCATTTAAATGGTGCAGGCATTTAGAAATAGCAAAGGAAACCTCTTCACCCTAACAGTGAGAAGACCCTAGGAGCAGGAGTTCCCCTCCCATCCGACCCATCCACCCAGCCCAGATCCCTGGGCAGGCAGCCATCTCCCATGCCTGCAGATCTCTTCTCCCCCACCCCTGACACTGCCCCCGAGCAGCCCCCCATGCCTGTGGATGAAAGGTTGGCAGAGGCAGCAGGTGGGCGGGCATCTTGTTCCCTCATTGTTGGTGGTAACCTTCCTCCCAGCTGCTTGTTCTGCGTAATGTTACACTTGTCTTCCTGCAACACTTGGATACCCGAGCCAATTTTGTTATGCAAATGAATTCAGCCCATTGTAAATCCCAAGGAGTGAGTGCGTGCCTCGCCAAGACAGCGGAGGCGGGGCTGCGCTGGGATATGAGGCTTTCCTGCTGCCCCTTTCAGGGCACAGAGGAAGGGGGTTACAGACCTTTGCTGCAGACTTCTGGCCCTTTCCTCCTAGAATCCGAGACCATTAGAGCCAGAACGGGCCTTAGGGATGGATTCTCTCCAATTATTGGTTAAAAATCTGAGGCCCAGAGAGGGCCAGTGTATTGCCCACAGCCACACAGCCCATTAGCCAGGGTTCAGCCAAGTTTCCTGACTCTCAGGAAATAACTCTCAGCCATAACTCTCTCTGTGAGGTTGAGCTGAGCCTGCCACCCTGAATCTACCCCTGCACCCAACCCAAGCTGCAGGGGAACCCTGAGACCTTCCAGGGTCCAGAACCTCCCAGTAGCTAGCTGTGTTACAGGGCACGGAACTGACATGTGGACTAGGGACAGGTCTGGCCTGGACAGCCAAAAGGGTCTAGGGAACAGTCTGTGGGTCTAGGCAGGTGTAGGTCACATCTAGGGATGTTGGCAAGGCTGGGCTGACAGGTATTACCGGTTGGGGGCGAGGGTGGAGTGAAATGCCAGGTGTTCTGCCAAGGAGGACAGGCTGGGACCAAAGCCAGGACATCATTGTCAGCAAAAGCAAGGGAGACAATGCTTGGGCACAGGGCAGATGATGAGTGACAGCCCACAGGGCTGCCTGCAGGTGAGCGCTGCCTGAGGAGGGCAAGGACAAGGTACTGGGACACACTGCCCCAGCTGGAATGCTGGCAGCCTGTGGTGGGTGGGGGAGGGAGAACTGGCATTTGTTTCAAGGCTGCGACATGCCAGGCACTTCACACCATCCCCAGATAATTCTCACAGTTATGCTTGGAGACAGCTGTTGTCCCCACTTTATAGATTAGAAAACTGAGTCCAGGGAGGTTACATGCCTAGCCCCCAAAGTCACACAACTTGAAACGGAGATTTAATTTTAAATCCATGAGATGCAGGCATTCCAGAGTCTATGCTCTTTCCGCTCCACATTCTGCCACTCCTGCCAGGCTCTGCCATCATTTATCAGCCCCTTATTGAGTTCACTAACTCAATAACAGCTGGGGACATTGCGGGGCAGGGAGTTGACAAGGGCAGTGGTCACTGGTAGAGCCCAATTTTCCAGGAGGTGAGCATTTCCAGCTATTTGGAACACTCAGGGGACCCCATTGATGCACTGGATAAAGCCCTGTCTTCTTCCTCTGGCATTTGAGGTTCTTCCCAACATGCCTCCCCCTCCCCTATGCACACACCCACCTCCTCACTGTTCCCACTCATCCCGCGCTCTTCTTTGCCTCCGGGTCTTTACACAGGCTGTTCCCTCTGCTTGGAATGCCCTTCCCCACCGTGTCCACTATCTAATCTTCCAGTCTTGACTCTACTGTCTCCTGGGCTCTCCATTCCCCACCCTGGACCAGGCTGGCTCCTCCCTCCTCTGTACTCCTGTAGTTTTCTCATTCACTGCACTGGTTGTTTGTAAGAACTTTTATTGTGTTGGTTTTCCCCACTAGTCCTACAGGGCCAGAGTGGCTCCTGTGCTCATACTGCAGATTCTGTGGTCAGCGACCCCCAGGCTGACCCTCTAGACTCCCCAGCGTCTGTCCGGAGCCCCTCTTCCAGTCTGTAGTCCATCTCCCCCTCAATCACTAAATCCCTGCGCTGTTGATGCTGCCCCTCTCAGTTGGCCTGAGCCAAACCAAATGCAGATCAATCAACTGCTAAAAGCGCTGGCATTCCCAAGCCTGGCCCAGGTCATTCTGAGGAGGCAAGAGACCAGAACAGCCTCAGATATGGGCTCAGGGTCCCTGGGGCTGGTGGCAGGGCCTTGGGTCCCCTCTTCCCCTGATGGCTGCAGCCATGCACCAGTACTCTCCTGCCTGGCCAGCCTCCCAGGCAGAAGCAACCCAGAAGGCAGGATGCTGCCAAAGAAAGCATCCAAGGTTTTGCCATGGCTGTGAGACCCGGTCCTTTGTCCAGTTCTGCCTGGAGCCTGCGGTGTGCCCTGAGCTGGGCCCTTTCTTCCCTGGGCTCAGTTCTCATCAGCCAACTGAAAGGAATGGACTCAGACAACGCCAAGGCCTCCCCTCTATGGGAGCATGTGACAAGGATAAAACATTCACTTACAGCTCAGATGCCTTTCCCTGGAGGCCCCACCCTGGGTCAGATGAAGGAAGCAGTACTGAGCTGTCCAGAAGGTCCTTAGGGCCACCAGAGGAACAATCATTATAAAGATAATAACAGGCTTACCGAGCACTTAGTGTGTCCAGGCAACGTGCTAACAAACCTTCTTCTATAAACTATCTCATCAGTCCTTTCAACCACCCTATGAAGTGGGCTACATTATTGTTCCCATTTCACAGATGGGAAAGGGGCCAGAGAAGTGTCCCCCTCCCAGGCTACACAAAGCCCAGTTCTGCTGACCTAGCCTCTAGTCTTTCACTGCACAGCTTGTCCCCATCTGGCCTTAGGCTTGGCTTGAGGACACTGTGAACCTCTCTGCCCAGGTCTGCCTGCCCCCTTTGCTGGAGAGGGTAGTTCCATAGTAGATGGAGGGAGGAGGATGGCTGGGGGGTTACACACAGTGCGCCCATGACCACAGTGCCCGCACATTCCCCAGTGCCTGGCTTCTCATGGGCACTCCAAGAAAATGTGCTGGAGGAAGGGAGGGAGGGAGGGACCCACAGGTATTAACAGTATATGACCCCTCCACATCTCCACGTGGACAGTGGACTGGGTTATGGGAGGCTCCCATCTCTCAGCCACTGCACAGGCGAGGCATGGATCTGGATAAATACCCCAGAATCAGAGGAACCTGCTCTGCCCTCCCTCAGTAGGAGGCCCCAGACACACCCCTTCCCCTCTCCAGACCTCAGTTTCCCCCTCTGTGCAATGTCAGAATGGAACCAAAGAATTGCCTGCACTGCAACCCCTCCTCATTGCTCTGCCATAAACCCCCAGAGCTCAGGGAGCCCCTGGGTGTCCCCGACTGGCACCCCTGCAGCCGACCACACTGCGGGCACCATCCAAGCGCTCCCCTCGGCCATTCATCCAGGGCCACGGGGTCCTCCAGCTGCCCGCACTCATGCCGCCGCCTTTTGCTTTTGCTGGCATAATGTATGCCCCGTGCTGCCGCCCCAGTCACTCAATCCCGGCCGGTCTGCGGAGGCAGAGATAGTCCTTAATGAGAAGAGCCTGGGCTTTATCTGCTTTCTACTTCAGCCATTATCTCCCCCAGTCTACAGACACGCAGTTACCTCTGACAATAACGCTCAGAGGCAACAAATGCTGATGAGTTTTCTATGCAGTCCGCACAATAAGTCTATCAAAACAACCTCAGAAAATTATGAACCCCCGTGACAGACAAATACAGCCGGCTTCGGCGTGAATTTAGAGCCCCAACGCTACGTTTCTTTTAATTCTTCAGGCTTCCCTTATCTCTGCTGTTCCTCTTCTGGTGAGGAGATAACAGTAATTCTTCTCTGTGCTGGGTTGTTGTTTTTTTTTCTTTCCTTGCCCCCCTTGCTTTTTTTTTTTTTTCCACCCACTGAGTGAGATGTTTTCCATGTCTTTCTGCTTGCTAAAGATAAAGGGTTAAAGACCAACTTATGTTGGGTGCTGGGGAAGGGGGGAGGGGGCAGGGGAGAGGGGAAAAAAGTAATCAGCATTCAAGAGATTGCTATCAGAGAAACCGCGCAGAGAACAGTAATTTTGCTGGCTTCGGCGAGGGTTCTCTCCACTCCACCCCCCCTTTTTTATGAATGCACATAATGCCTGGAGTGTTGGGGGCAGATAAAAGAATTAGCAGCAGCCAGGGGGACGGAGGCCTGGAGAACGGGGGAGAATTAGAATGTCTATCTTTGTCTCTTCCGGCTCATCCAACCAGCAGAGGCTCCCGGCTCGTAAACAATTTAATCTTTTTGCTACAGTTAAAATACAAAGACAGCAAGCCTCCTTCTTCCAAATGGAAAAGGGAGGAGGAGCAGGACAGGAGGAGGAGGATTGGGTTGGGGGCTTGTCGGGGGACATGGTGTAGGATGAGGGAGAGGGAGCTAGAAAAGGGCTGACACCACAAACCTTCCTGCTGCCTGCCTAACCCGTTGGCCCTTGAGACCTTAGAACTGCCAACACTGTCCCCGCTGGGGGACACATACAACCCCGGCCTGGTTGGGTCCAGCCAACCTCCCAGGCAGGAGGCTCAGCCACTGGGGGTGGGAGTCTTGCTCCTGTCAAGGGGCCCTGGTTCCTGTCTTCCTGGGAGGTGGCAGCTGTTGGCTGTCCCAGGATTCTGCCCTTGGTCATCCCACTGTCAAGGTCTGTCCTTTTTTCTCCTCCTCTTCCTTCCTGTCCCACTGGCTTGCTCTTCTCCTGAGCCTAGGCTCTGGTGAGAGCTCTCAAGTCATGCCTTCTCTTCCCCACCAGGATAGGGACTCCTGTGGTGGCTCTGCCCACATGCTCCCCACACAGGGCAAGAGTGGGGCTCACTGCATAGAATGGGGGCTCCGGCTCTTCAATTACTGCCCAAGACCCGCCACGGAGAAAGGCTGAGATGGGATATAAGCATGCATGTGTGCCTCCATCTCTCTTGCTATCTTACATACACACACAGTGGGATGGACAGAACTCGAGGGAAGAATGCCACTTAGAAGGAGGTGGAGCCCTTCTAAAGACAGATCATTTGGAGGGACCTGAAAGTTAACCAGAATAAAGAAGCCTCCTGAGGGGCCCTGCGGGTAGATTAGAGGAAGGCGCACCCTTCCATCCCAGGAAGGCCCGTGGCCCATGCAATTGATCTGCTGGGCATCCTCAGGGTCGATTCTATCCCCATTGCTTGAGGTGCCCCCAGAGTGTGGGTTGTTTTAGCCATTCTGGCTGGACCCTTGTCATGTGCAACATGAAAAGTCCAGTTTTCACAGGGCCAAGTTGGAGGCTGGTTTCTCTTCTCTGCCCTTGGAGTGCCGAACCCAATGTATTGGCCTTGAATGTACTGCCCTCTCTTGCTTGGGAGCTCTGAAAGGTCTTCCTCACCTCTGGACACCCGAGCCTAGCACAATGCCTGGCCAAGCCTGCCAAGTGCTTGCTAGGTGAAAAAAGGTAGATGAATAGACAAGCGGATGAATGAAGTCAAATCAAACAGGGCAGGTGGTGGAGGGGTGGGTGAAAGAGGAGCTTCCTGGGGCACCAGACACACACTTGAGGAGAGACCACTCAGGAAAAGGATGAGGGCAGAAGCAACAAGAAAGGAGAGCTAAGGAACCACAAGGAGAAGGACAGGGTGTGGTCCAGGGAGCTGGTCGGTCTCTTCATCCCAGGCTCCATCGGCTGGAGCCATCCCCAGGAAGGCATGCGGGAAAATCATGAGCCTTGGGGTCAAGGGATCTGGGTTCTGAGCCACAGTTCCCCATCTGTAAAATGGAAATAGTCATGACCTCCATCTTACAGGGTTGGATTGGCACATAGCAGGGACCCAGCATGTGTTGGTCACACTAAAGAGACGATGTAGTTCCTTGTAATGACAAGCATAGCAGACACAATAAACCAAGGATGTCAAAACCACAAAACCATCTCGAAGCTCCACAGAGATGCTTTCATTTGTTATTATTATTTTCTTAGTTATCCTTCCACTGCCCTTTACTCCTTGGAAAACAGGCTGGACTGAACCACAAAGTGAGGGATAAAGCTGCTTCCTCCAGCTCCTGTGTCTCCTCTCAAGGCTGGGGAGTGCGGAGTTCAGGAGAAGATCTTTGAGGACTCCGTGGAGGTGGAGTTCTGGCCAAAGGAAGTGGATGTAGTAACCAGCTCTTTCTATAGCTTTGCAGATCATGCCCGGCCTTCTCTCTTTCCCTTTTGGTTGCTTCATGTCTCTGATCTGGGCCAAGCTCTCCTTCCAGTCCCAATTTCAAGCCCCACTGAGACACGCACCCTTCCACACCCTCAACTCCAATATTCCCCCATGTGGTTAAGCAGACATGGGAGTGGAACATGGGTATGAACACAGGCTTGTATAAACAATATTTAAATTATAATTGAATGTTTAACATTTATATCCTACAATCTGATATCAATTATTTTCAAATGTACATTAAATATTTATCATCTTGATCATATCCTAAGCCAGGATATCCCAAATTGTCCACATATCAGAGTCACTTGGGCAGCTTTAAAAAACATTAGTTCTGAGCCCAAGCCTGGAGATTCTGATCAGTATGTGTGTGTGTGAGACAGACTGAATTTTGGATTTGAGGGGCAAGAAAGTAGATTTCTAAAAAGATCCCAGGTGATTCCATTGAGAAGCCTGGTTTGAGGTCTGCTATCTTTAGCCACAAAGAAATGGGCTTCATTTTCTGCACTAATTCAATAAATACTTTCTGAGCACCTGCTATTTGTCTTCATGTGTGTTGGGAGGGGAGGAAGTGAGGGGAGATTAAAAAAAAAAAGAAGCATAGGGTACAATAAAGCAGTCTAGAAATCTCGCTATAGATCCCCACTCCCCAGCTTCAATCCAAAAACCCCACCCATCAGTGATTTCTCACCTTCTGAAATCCACAGGGCTTGGTGCTTGTTCTCTAGTTGGGAATAGAGCAGGAACACACATTAATTAAGGATCTACTAAGTGCCAAACACTACACGAAGGATTTAACTGTACATATGATCACATTTAATCCTCACAAAATCCTTAGTTAGTAGCCGTTATTATTTGCATGTTATTAATGAGGAGATAGAGGCACAAAGAGGCTGAGGAACTCACACAAGTTCCCAAAGCTATAATATAAAGTGCAAAGGTCATCTCCGCCCTCCCCGTTCCCCTAAAATTGTATATTGCCTAAGCACAGGGCTTCTAATTCTATTTCTTTGTTATTAATCACAGTGCCTAGCATTCAGTCATCCATTCAGAAAAACTGATAAATCACCCACTGTGTGCAAGGCACTAAACTGTGGGGGATAGTTATATAAGACCCTGGCCTGAAGGAATGTAGAGTTTAGGAGGGAATGCAGGTAATTGCACAAATAACTCAGAAGCAAGGAGAGAGGCAGCAGCAAGTGATCGGAATTCGGTAGAGATTCCTTCCAGCTTCAGGGACTCAGAATCTCAGAAATCCAGGGTCCTTGGCAAACATTAAGGTCTTATTTCATCAGAGAGGTGAAACACCGCACCCAAGGTCACACAGCTGGATGCGCCATAAATATGTGATGAATTGAATGAGATTATTCACCAACTCCAATTACATCTTAACCACTAATAACTTGGCTCTGGCTCACCTAATGGGATTTCCTCCTTGGACATCAGCCTTCCCTTCCCCCTTCCATTGACATCGGCCAATTAGAGAAGGGCAGGTGCTGTGATTGGGGTCACAGTGAGAGGAAGAGAGGGAGAGGACCACAGCTCACTCCCATTCTAGGCTGAGAAGGTGATCAGTTTCGGGTGCTCACAGCCTCTTATGATGGAGAGTCTGGGAGAAGCTCACCCACGTGGAGCGGGGGCAGATTTGGAAGTCCAATTCCCCTGCCACGAATGCCCAGGAAACACCTGCTTTGGACTCAGCATCCATTATACTCTGAGACCAGCAGGCATGAGGAGAGATGTGGGGCCACATGCAGAGACATTCAGGCAGATCAACAAACCTGAAACGGACATAGACAAGGAGAGAAAAACTACCACAAGAAATACACATATGCATGGGAATAAACCAGGTATACCCCTACACAGAACCACAAAACTAGCTTCTGAGGGTCACAGAGACCCAGAAAGTCAGGCAGCCAGAGACACAGACACTAAGGGATTCTTAACAGAGCCAGATCTCCATTCATTTACTCCACAGAAATGTACTAGGCTCCTACTATGTGCACACATGGGAAGATAAAAGACAGTCTTTGCCCTCACAGAGTCCATGGTCTGGTAGGAGAATTCCAGCATGGAAATGGATATTACAATACAGTAAGCAAAAAACACAAAGATGAAAAGACGAGGCCCAGAGAAGCACAAGAAGAAAGCCAGGATTAGAAAAAGACATACAGACACCCAGAGGTGCCAAGACAGAACAAGGCAGAAGCAGAGACACACAGGTGCTCAGAACGAGAGCCACAGACAGATGTTCACAGATGCACACACATGCAGACACACACGTGCACATGCCAACACCTCTGCTGTACAGGAGAACAGAAGAAGGCCTCTTCCCAGGACCCTCCCTCAGCAGATCTCAAGCTTTCCCTTGTGGGAATGCCGGGGTTGGAGACAGCTAAGCTTTCTTCTTGAATGGTACACAG